>NC_000002.12:123114618-123739618 GCF_000001405.40 Homo sapiens
AATAATTTTTAAAAATCAACAAAATCTTCAAGAAATACAGGATTATGTAAAGCAAGCGAACTTATGAATTACCGGCATTCTTGAGAGAGAAGAAGAAAAGGCAAATAACCTGGAAACATATTTAAGGGAATAATCTAAAAAAATTTTTTTTATCTTGCTAGAGAGGTAGACATCCAAATACAAGAAATCCAGAAAACACCTGTGAGATACTATTTAAAACATGCATCACCAAGGTATTTAGTCACCAGAATGTCCAAGGTCGATGAGAAAGAAAAAGGCTTAAATGCAGCTAGAGAAATTGGTCAGATAATATACAAAGGGAGCCTCTTCAGGCTAACAGTGGACTTCCCAGCAAAAGTCTTATAAGCCAGGGACCATTCTGAAAGAAAAGAAATTCCAACTAAGAATTTCATATCCTACCGAACTGAGCTTCATAAAGGAAGGAGACATAAAATCTTTTCCACACAAGCAATCATTAAGGGAAGTGTTACCACTAAACCAACCTTACAAGACATCCCTAACAGAGTTCTAAGCAAGGATATAACAGGACGATACCAGCTACCACAAAACACACCTAACCCACTAGCACATGGTCCACAGGCCCTATAAAGCAACTATGCAGTAGAAACTACAAAGCAATCAACTAATAACATAATAATAGGATTAAAACATCACATATCAATATTATCCTTGAGTATCTTAAAAGACACAGAATGGCAAGTTAGATTAAAAAAAAAAATAAAAGACCCATCTCTCTGCTGTGTTGAAGGGACACATCTCACACATAATGACGGCCATAAGCTCAAAGTAAAGGATTGGAGAAAATTCTCTTATGCAAATGGAAAGCCAAAAAAGAGCAGAGGTTGTCGTTTTTATATCAGATTAAACAGATTTTAAACCCACAACAGTAAAAGGAAAAAATTGAAGGGCATTGCATAATGATAAAGAGTTCAATTAAACAAGAAGACACATTATAACTATTATAAATATGCGTCCAACATTGGAGCACCAGATTCGTAAAAATAAACACTTCTAGACCTGCAAAAAGATCTAAATAGCCACACAGTAGTTGTGGGGGAGGGGCTTTAACACCCCACTGACAGTGTCAGACAGATCATTGAGACAGAAAACTAACAAATAAATTCTGGACATAATTTTGACACCTGACCAATTGAACCGAATAGAATTCTACAGAGTACTCTACTCATCAACCACAGAACATACATTCTTCTTATATGCACACAGAACATACTCTACGATTGACCACTTGCCCAACCATAAAGCAAAGCTTAATAAATTCATTAAAAAATTATTGGTGTTGATTTCTTAAAACCACAAAATTAGGTGGAAATTAAACAAATTGCTCCTGAATTACTTTTTGTTTTTACTTTTATTTTAGGTTCAGGGGTATATGTGCAGGTTTTTTAATATATAGGTAAATTGCATGCTACGGGAGTTTGTATACAGTTTATTTTATCACTCAGGTAATAAGCATAATACCCAATAGGTAATTTTTTGATCCTCTTCCTCCTCCCACTCTCCACCCTCAAATAGACCCAGTCTCTGTTGTTTTCTACTTGTGTTCATGTGTTCTCAATGTTTAGCTCCCACTTATAAGTTAGTGTGTAAGCAAGTTATACAGTAAAACGAAAAAGACAATGAAGGGCATTCTAAATGTTTAGCTCCCACTTATAAGTTAGTGTGTAAGTAAGTTATACAGTTATAAGTTAGAACATGCAATATTTGGTTTTCTGTTCCTGTGTTAGTTCGCTTAGGCTACCAGACTCCAACTTTATCCATGTTGCTGCAAAGAACATGATCTCATTATTTTTTTTATGGCTACGAAGTATTCCATGATATTTACCTACCACATTTGCTTTATCCAGTCTATCATTGATGGGCAATTAGGTTGATTCCATGCCTTTGCTATTGTGAATGTTGCTGCAATAAACAGATGTGTGCACGTGTTTTTAAGGTAGAATAATTTCTATACCTTGGGACGTATAAACAATAATGGGATTGCTGAGTTGAATGATACCTCCATTTTAAGATCTTTTAGAAATTGCTGCACTGCTTTCCACGATGGCAAAATTAATTTACATTTTCACTGGAAGTGTATAGTTTCCCTTTTCTCCACATCCTTGCCAAGATCTGTTATTTTTTAAAACATTTTAGTGATATCCATTCTGACAGATATGAGATAATACCTCATTGTGGGTTTGATTTGTGTTTCTCTAATGATCAGTGATGTTGAGTATTTTTTCATATGCTTACTAGCCAAGTATACGTCTTCTTTTTAGAAGTGTCTGTTTATGTCCTTTGCATAATTTTTAATAGGGTTGTTTGTTTATTACTCTTCAATTTATTTAAGTTTCTTATAGATTCTGGATATTAGATCTTCGTTGGATGAATGATTAGCAAATACTTTCTCCCATTCTGTAGGTTGTCTGTTTACTATGTTGACAGTTTCTTTTGCTGTGCAGAAACTCTTTAGTATAATTAGGTCCCATTTGTCAATTTTTGTTTTTGTTGCACCTACTTTTGGCATCTTCATCATGAAGTCTTTGCGAGCACCTATGTCCAGAATGGTATTTCTTAGGATATTTTGCAATGTTTTCATAGTTTTAGCTTTACATATAAGTCTTTAATTTACCTTGAATTGATTTTTGTATAGAGTGTAAGGAAGGGGTTCATTTTCAATATCCCAGCATTACTTATTAAATAGGGTGTTCTTTCCCCATTACTTGTTTTTGTCAACTTTGTCAAATCTCAGATGGTTTTAGATGTGTGGCACTATTTTGAGTCTGTCTGTTCTTTTTCACTAGTCTGTGTTTCTGTTTTTGTGCCAGTACCATGCTGATTTGGTTACTATAGCCTTGTAGCCTTGCAGTATAGTTTGAAGTCATTTACACGATGCCCCAAGGTTTGTTCCTTTTGCTTAAGATGCCCTTGGATATTCAAGTTCTTTTTTGGTTCCATATAAGTTTTAAGATAGTTTTTTTTCTAACTTGATGAAGAATGTCATTGTTAGTTTGATAGGAGTAGTATTGAATGTGTAAATTGCTTCGGGCAGTATGGTAATTTTAACAATATTGATTCTTCTTATCCATGAGCATGGAATTTTGTTTTATTTGTTGGTATCATCTCTGATTTCTTTGGGCAGTGTTTTGTACTTCTCATTGTAGAGATCTTTCCCCTTCCTGGTTAGCTGTATTCCTACATATTTCATAGTTTTTTTTTGTTATTGTGAATGGGATTACGTTTTTGATTTGGTTCTCAGGTTGGATATTGTTGCTGCTGATTTTGTGTAATGATTTTGTTGTAAAACTCCTAAATTTTGTTGGAGTTGTTTATGAAATTAAAGGGCTTTTGGGCAGAGACTGTAAGGTTTAGAATCATATTGTCTGCAAACAGGGACAGTTTTTCTTCCTCTCTTTATATTTGGATGCCTTTTATTTCTCTTCCCTGATTTATCTGGCAAGGACTTCCAGTACTATGTTGAATAGGAGTAGTGAGAGAGGGCATCCTTATCTTGCTCTGGTTTTCAAGGGGAATGCTTCCAGATTTTGCCCATTCAGTATGATGTTGACTGTGGGTTTTGCATACATGGCTCTTATTATTTTGAAGTAAGTTCTATCAATGCCTGATATGTTGACGATTTTTAACATGAAAGGATGTTGAATTTCATTGAAAGCCTTTTCTGAATCTATTGAGATGATCCTGTGGTTTTCATTTTTAGTTCTTGTTATGTGTTGAATCACATTTATTGATTTGCGTATGTTGAATCTATCTTGCTTCTCAGGTATAAAGCCTACCTCATTATGAGGGATTAGCTTTTTGATGTGTTCCTGAATTTGGTTTCCAAGTATTTTGTTGTGAATTTTTGCATCTATGCTCATCAAATATATTGGGCTAAAGTTTTTGTTGTTGTTGCTGTTGTTTTTGTTTTTCTGCCAGATTTTCAAATCATGATGACACCAGTATTATAGAAGGAGTTTGGGAGTTCTTTCTCCTCAGAGTTTCCATAGGAATGGTATCAGCTTTTTTATATACATCTAATGGAATTCAGCTATGAATCCATCTGGTCCTGGGCTTTTTCTAGTTGGTAGACTTTTCATTACCGATTAAATTTTAGAACTTATTAATGATCTGTTCAGGAATTCAATTTCTTCCTACTGCAATCTTGGGAGACTATAGGTTTCCAGGGACTGAATGACTTTTGAGTAAACAACAAAATTAGGGAAAATATATAAAAAGAAATTTCAAATTAATAATAACACAAACACAACATAATAAAAATTCTGGAATGCAGTAAAAGCAGTGTTAAGTGGAAAGTGCTAAACATCTACATTAAGAAGGTAGAAATATCTCAAATTAACAATATAACACCACACCTAGTAGAATTAGAAAAATAAAAACAAACTAACCCCAAAGCTAGCAGAAGAAACAAAACAACAAAATCAGTGCAGAACTGAACAAATTGATACCCCAAAAATCCTATGAAGAGTATCAATGAGATCAAAATTTGGTTTTTTGAAAGGATAAATAGGAGCAACAGACCACTAGCTAGATTAACAAAGAAAAAAAGAGGGAAGATCCAAATAAGCATAATCAGAAATGACAAAGGTAACATTACAACTGACAGAGGAAACGTGCAACTGTAAATACAAAGAATCCTCAGAGACTATTATAAACACCTCTGTGCATGCAAACTAGAAAATTTAGAGGAAATGGTTAAATTCCTGGAAACACACCACTTCCCAAGACTGAATCAGGATGTATTTGAAACTCTGAACAGACCAATATCAAGCTCTAAAATTGAATCATTAATAGAAAAAAAACCCACCAACCAAAAAAGGCCTCAGATGAATTCATAGTCAAATTCTACCAGATGTACAAAGAAAAGTTGGTACTAATCCTCTTGAAAACATCCAAAAAATTGGGAGGAGAGACTCCTCCTTAACTCATTTTACAAAGTCAGCAACACTCTGATACCAAAATCTGCCAAGACACAACAAAAAAATTAAAACTATGGGCCAATATCTCTGATGAGGATAGAGACAAAAGTCTTCAACAAATGACATCAAACTAAATCCAAAAGTACATCAAAAACATCATCCAACATGATTAAGTAGGCTTTATTCCTGGAATGCCAGATTGCTTCAATATACACAAATCAGTAAATATGATTCAACATATAAATAGAACTACACAAAACCACATGATAATATCAACAGATACATAAAAGTTTTTAAATAAAATTCAACATCTCTTTATGTTAAAAATCCTCAACACACTAAGCATCAAAGGAACATATCTCAAAATAATAAGGGATAACTATGACAAATGCACAGCCAACATCATACGGAATGGGCAAAAGCTGGAAGCATTCCCCTTGAGAACTGGAACAAGACAAAGATGCCCACTCACACCATTCCTATTCATCATAGTACTGGAAGTCCTTGCCAGAGCAATCAGGCAAGAGAAAGAAATAAAAGGTATCCAAATAGGAGAATAAGTCAAATTATCTCCCTTCACAGATGACATGCTTCTATTCACCGAAAAACCTAAAGGCTTCACCAAAAGACTCCTGGAACTCTTAAACCACTTTAGTAAGGTTTCAGAATACAAAATCAATGTAAAAAATCAATAGCATTTCTATACAACATTAATATTTAAACTTAGAGCCAAATTAAGAACGCAATTCCATTTAGAATAGCCACAAAAAATAAAATATCTAGGATTACATATAAGCAAGGAGGTAAATTATCTCTATAAGAAGAACTACAAAACACTGCTCAAATAAACCATAGATGACACAAAGAAATAGAAAAGTATTCTATGAGCATGAATTGGAAGAAACAACATCGTTAAAATGACCATACTACCTAAAGCAATCTACAGATTTAACGTTTTTCCTAACAAACTACTAATGCCATTTTCCACAGAATTAGAAAAAAATCTGTTCTAAATTCTATATTCTAAGTTATATATTCTAGAAAGAATATAGAGGCCAGGTGCAGTGGTTCACGCCTGTAATCCCAGCGCTTTGGGAGGCCGAGACGGGCGGATCACGAGGTCAGGAGATTGAGACCATCCTGGCTAACACGGTGAAACCCTGCCTCTACTAAAAATACAAAAAAATTAGCCGGGTATGGTGGTGGGCACCTGTAGTCCCACCTACTAGGGAGGCTGAGGCAGGAGAATGGCGTGAACCTGGGAGGCGGAGCTTGCAGTGGGCTGAGATCGTGCCACTGCACTCCAGCCTGGGCGACAGAGCAAGACTCTGTCTCAAAAAAAAAAAAAAAAAAAAAAAAAAAAAAAAACCAACAACAACAACAACAAAAGAATATAGAACTAGAAAGAGCCCAGTTTCAGTTTCAGAGTATACCAGAAAGTTACAGTAACCAATACAGCATGATTGATACTGGTAAAATAAATAAAATAAAATAATAAAATATAAAAGCTAAATTTAAAAACAGACAAATCGACAAATGGAACAGAAAAGAAAACCCAGAAATAAAGCTCGACACTTACAACCTCTGTCCTTCAAAAAAGTCAACAAAAATCAGCAATGGGGAAAGCAATTAATAAATGGTGCTGAGACAACTGGCTAGTCATATAGAGAAGAATGAAACCAGACCCCCGCCTTTTACCATATATAAAAAATAAACGCAAGGTGCATTAAAGATTTAAATGTAAGACCTAAAACTATAAAATTACTAGAAGAAAACCTGGGAAATAACATTCTGGATATCACCCTTCTCAAAGAATTTATGACTAAGTCCTCAAAAGCAATTGCAACAAAAAGAAAAATCCGCAAGTAGGTCCTAACTAAACTAAGAGCTACTGCACAGCAAAATAAATAATCAACGGAGTAAACAAACAATATACAGAACGGGAGGATATATTTACAAACTATGTGTCTGATAAGGGTCTCATATTCATAATCTACAAAGAACTTAAACAATTGTAGGAGGAAAAAACAAATAGCCCCATTAAAAAAGTAGGGGAGGCACACATACAGACACTTTTCCAAAGATTTACAAGCAGCCAACAAAGATCTGAAAAAAAAAGTTCATCATCACTAATCATCAAAGAGATGCAAATGAAAACCATAATGAGATACCCTCTCACATCGATCAGAATGGCTATTATAAAAAAGTCAACAAAGCAACAGATGCTGGTGAAGCAGCAGAGAAAAGGGAATACCTATATACTGTTGGTGGGAGTGTATAATTAGGTCAGCCACTGTGAAAAGACACATATATTCTCCCATTCTGCATATTGTTTGTTTACTCTGTTGATTATTTATTTTGGAGATTTCTGAAATAACTTAAAACAGAATTATCATTTGACTCAGCAATCTCATTCCTGGGTATATACCTAAAGGAAAATAAATCGTTTTATCAAAAAGACACATGAACTTGTATGTTCATCACAGCACTATTCACAACAGCAAAGACATGGAATCAACTTAGGTGTCCATCAGTGGTGGGTTGGATAAAGTAAATTATATATATATATGGCATATATATTATAATATATTTTATATTATATATAAATATCTAAGTATTATATGTAAATATAAGTATAATTATATTATACATAAATATATATGTACTATATATAAGTTATATATAATTCATATATATATACACACGCATACACACACACACCATGGCATACTACATAGCCATCAAAAAGAATAAAAATCATGTCCTTTGAAGCAACATAGATGGAGCTGGAGGCCATTATCTTAAGCAACTTAATGCAAGAACAGAAAATACCACATCTTCTCACTTATAAATGACACTTAAGCATTGGGTACATGTACTTAAAGATGGAAACAGTAGACTCTGGGGACTCTTAAACGGGGCAGAGAGGGAGGATGGTAAAGGCTGACAAACTACTTATTGGGGACTCTGTTCTCTATCTGGGTGATGAGATCCTTCCTACTCCAAGCCTCGGTGGTACAATATACCATGTAACAAATCTGCACATGCATCCCTTACTCTAAAATAAAAGCTAAAAATTATAAAAAAGTAAATTCTATGTACCAAATTTATGTAAAATAACTTTAAAAAATGGTAAGTTATACTAATACTTCCTACTTCAGCCATTATCTCTTGATTCACCTTTTACTTCCCAAATTAGATATTTTTATTTCACATCTTTCATAATAAGAATCTTATTCCAAACAATGCCAATGTTTTTACTTGTGTGATCAATAAGTATATAATTTGTTGAAACTATTGCACCAGTACCACAATGTACAAGAAACTTACTAAATATAGTTCAAGATTTCTTTGTAAAGCTTAAAGTGAGAACTCTATATTAATTTAGAAAAGAGTCAGAATTATGTTCAAATTATGTGGTTTGATTATTTTTTGCAAGTGGCAATTCTAATAATTCCATAAGTTATAATTATATTTTATATTTGTATTATGGTATTAAGCAATCTTTCTTGATTTAATATTATCCTCTGAACATGTAAAATATGATCATGGTTTAACAGTAATAATTTTCTAAAATGTATTCTTAGAGATACTTCTTACCTCTTTCATTCCATTCCCCACTGTAAATAACCATAACATTCATTTCTGGTTTGTCTTTCTTGTGTTTTCTTTTGTGGAAATATGTAGAATTTTTCCCATCTTTATTACACAAAACTTTGTAATCTACATAGGATATTTTATTTACAACTTATTTTTTTACTTAACATACTCTGAAATTTATTGCATTTCTACTACACAAATCTATTTTTTTACATTTGCATAGTACTCATTATAGGAGTGCACCATACTTTATTGAACCAATTTCTTCTATATAGCTATGCATGTTGTTTTCAATATTTTGTCTATTTTTTATATGTGTGGGACTATATTTATGATAAATTACCAGAAATCAGTAATGTTGGGCCAAAGTGTCCTTCACAGGTGCAATAGTTGTTAGATTTTGCCAGTTCTTTCTAACTATACTGCACCAACTTACACACTCACAAGCAATGCAGGACAATGCTTGTTTCTACACAGATTTGCCAAAGGAGTGTGTGGTCAAGGTTTTAATAGGTGAAAAAGGGTATCTCACTGTAGTTTTAGTGTGCATGTTTTGTTACGAATAAAGTCGAAGAAGCTTCCATTTGTTTAAGATTCATTATGTTCTTTTTTTTTTTTTTTTTGAAGAATTGTCTCTTTACCCATTTTTTTTTCTGTTGGGTATTTGGGCTTTTCTCTGGATGGCTGAAGAATCATTACACGTTAAGACATTATTCTCCTATCTGAAATATACACATTACAAATATTTCCAGCTTTTCCTTTTATATATATTTTTTGCTTAACTTTCTATTGTAATGCATTCAAAGTCTACTTAATTTATCAATCTTTTCTTGTGATTGAATTTTGGGTTATAGTTAAAAACACCTATACCCAAGTAATGAAGGAATTAATTTATCTTGTTTTTAACTATTCATAGTGTTTCAGAGTTTTTGTTTCTGCATTTATATCTTATTTATTTATTTATTTATTGAGACAGAGTCTCTCTCTGTTGCCCAGGCTGGAGTGCAATAGCGTGATCTCAGCTCACTGCAGCTTCCAACTCCTGGGTTCAAGCATTTGTCCTGCCTCAGCCTCCTGAGTAGCTAGGACTACGGGCACGCGCTACTGCATCCAGCTAATTTTTGTATTTTTAGTAGAGATGGGGTTTCACCTTGTTGGCCAGGCTGGTCTTGAACTCATGACCTCAGATGATCTGCCTGCCTTGGTCTCCCAAAGTGCTAGGTTTATAGGTGTGAGCCACCACCCCTGGCTTATATCTCATGTATTTAGGCTTTATTATGGTGTATGATGTGAGGTATGGATTCCATATTACCTTTTTCTGAAAGGTTATCCAAACTTTTCAGTAAATATTACTATTTACTAAATGTCATTCTTCACTCCAGTGCTTTGAAGACTTTGCTTTCTAATTCTAAATTTTCTATTTTGTTTCACCAATTTGTTTCTCTCTTACCATGTGCCAGTACCATCCAGTGTAATTTTAGAAATTCTGTAACAAGCTTATTTATTTACTGGTTGGCAGATCCATTCTATTTTCAGGGTTTTTCAAGCTATACTTAAATGTTTTTTTCTTCCAAATGAGCAGTAGAACCAACTTGTCTCCAGAAATAAACAAAAAGCCTCATTAAAAAGTCCTTTTTTTCAAATTATGAGAAAAATGGTGTATTTATGTTTACTCATTATATCAGAGGCTAAAATAATATTTTTCCATTTGTTCAAGACTCACTTTGTGTCTTTCCATAAGTAAAGTTTTATAATTTTCCCCAAGCTTCTCACTTAATTTATCCTTGGGTATTATATATTTTTATGTAGCTATTTTAAATATGACTTAATATTTTATTGTTTTTTAACCAATTCTTTATGTGAATGTTATTAATTGTATAGGTGAATTTTATCTTCTGTTAAATTATTTATTTCACCATTGATATCATTTGCAAATGGAAATCATTTTATTTCTCCTTTCCACATTTGATTGTCTAATTGTTTTCTCTGGTCTAATGGTATTGTCTAATACTTTGAATCAAATATTAAATAATAATGGATATAGATGAATCTTTTGCATTTTATTTGCTTTCCACAATAGCTAAAATAAATACCACATTTATTTTAATGACTATTTAATATTCCATAATATGAAACAATAATTTTTTAAATCAGACCTATACTGATGGAAATTTAAGGAATTTTCATCTTTAGCTATAACAGAAACTGCTGAAACGACATTTGTTTATAAGCCATTGCAAATTGTATAAATATGTGTGTAGAAAATATAGTTGAATTGTTGGATCAAGCAGTGTCTTAAATTTTTATAGATGTTTCAAAATTTATCTTAATATACACATACTTTTTAAAGCAATATTTATGAATTCCTGTTTCTTTTTATTCTTGTCTACATATTGTATTATTCAATACTTTTTTGCCCAAGTAATAGAAAAAATAGTATCTATTTGTAATTTTATTTTGCTTCCAATATGAAATATGCAAAAATATAAAGCATACATTAAAGAAAGTTAGCATGGGACTCATATCCTGAAAGAATATTAACATTCTTCTTTTAAAAAGTAATGATTTATGTAATAATATATTATTTTTATTACATCAATTTTGTTATTTGCAAAACTTTGCCAGTATTCTTAGCCAGTTTGAAGTGCATGTGTTTGATGTTTTTGTGGTGATTGTACTATGCACAAAACTTTAAAAAATTATATTGTATATTTTGTTATCTTCATTGATAGGTTTTATGGCATACTTAGAAAGGCTTTCTAAACACCAAGTTTATTAAAGACAATAACTCAGGTTGTTTCTATCTAAAATTTCATATGTCTTTTTTTTTTTTACACATAGCCATTCTATCTATTTGGAGTGTATTTTGGTGAAAAGTATGGTTCTATTTTTTTTTTTTTTTAGATTTTCACAAAGTTTCTTGGAAGATTTCATTCGTTTTCTATATTTTCCAATACATTAAACAGTGTTACAATTATCTCTGCCAGAAAAAAATAGCTAACTCTTTCATGTTACTTACATATGCCACTCACTCTTCTAAAGCCTCTCATCTAATCATCCTAGCATCATTATGAGAAAAGTTATGTGATTTTCTTTATTTTACAAATAATGCAAACTAAAGAATAGAGTGGTTATGCAATGTGACCAAATTCATATAACTGGTAGGGGTAGTGCTGAGATGCAAACCTAGGCTAAGTCTGAAGTCCATGTGCTTTTTACCATGTCAAGATACTCGCTGGAAGAATTTCCCCGTGAATTTGGCAGTATTCCCCTCTACCACTGACAATGTGTCATTTACTTTAGAAACCTGTGTTCTGTCAACTTCACCTGTGATCTTTTGCTGTGGGTTCCTCCCACCGAGTCTTTCTCTCCCCTGTTTAACATTAAATTTAGAAGCTCTTCACATATTTTATTACATGTGGTTTCATGGGCATTGTCCTTGAGCAGGAGGAATACAGTGCCCTAAGCTTGGAAGGGTCTCATGCTTGGTCTAATGCTTTGCCATCACTTTCCTTGAAGTCTTAATTTTTTTTAATAAGAAGTCTCACATTTTCATTTTGCACTGGGTACAACAAATTAGGTAACTTGTCCTATATTTTTGTTTCATGGATACTTCTGTTTGTATTAATCAATGCTAGGAATTCTACATTTCCCTTTTCTTGTTTCGTTTAGGTGATTACAGACACAATAAAATAAAAGTAGTAGTCCACATTGCCTTTTTTTTTTTTTTTTTTTTTTTTTTTTTTTTTTTTTTTGGAGACGGAGTCTTGCTCTGTCGCCCAGGCTGGAGTGCAGTGGCGCGATCTTGGCTCACTGCAAGCTCCACCTCCCGGGTTCACGCCATTCTCCTGCCTCAGCCTCCCGAGTAGCTGGGACTGCAGGAGCCCGCCACCGCGCCCGGCTAATTTTTTGTATTTTTAGTTGAGACGGGGTTTCGCTGTGTTAGCCAGGATGGTCTCGATCTCCTGACCTTGTGATCCGCCCGCCTCGGCCTCCCAAAGTGCTGGGATTACAGGCGTCAGCCACTGCGCCCGCCCCACATTGCCTTTTTAAGTCAAATTCAGCAGGTTTAAATAGTTTCCCTAAGGTCACAAATTCATAAGTGAGTATTGAAGCCAGAAGTGCTTTATTTCACCACCACTCTTTGAGAGCAACAACCTCACAGAATTAAAAGAATGGCATTTTGGAGATATAGCATCATTAACATAGTGTATAAAATTGAGTCATGTCTTTGGGCCACATGACAAACTGAGTGCACACAGCTGTCATTCCATCTCCACCACACTGAAATGCTGCATAAATTATAATTAAAAATATCACATTGCTGAGCTTGAAAGATAGGCAGGAAACTAACGTCTAAAGAAGTAAGTGCCACATGTTCTTGCCCAGGCCGGCCATCTTCTCAGACTGCATATTGATGCAAGAGAAAGAGACGAGTCCAAATGCCAGGTCAAGAGACTCTATAGGACATTTCCTGACATGGGGAAGCTACACCTCAGGTATCTTCTTAGAATCTGGAGCTTCAAAAGTCTATTCAGTTCTCAAAAAATAGGATAGAAAAATTTCAACTCAGTGCTATGGAAATAATGAGACATACTGACATTTTTCTAGAGTTTAGTGTAGCAAAATAAAATATTACTAATAAAAAACTGAAAGCTCAAGCATTTCTTTATTAAGATTTGTAACTCAAATTTAAAATGAATTTATTATGCATGATTCCCAAGCCTCAAAATTAAATGAAATCTGATCCTGGGTCATTAAAACTTCTGGAGGTTTGAATAGGAATAAACTTCAAACTGCTTTTTAATGAACTGTTTATACTTCAGGCCTTGCAAGATGCAAAGAATGATCAAACTTCAGTGAAGATAAGCTTACAATAGAAATAAAATTATAAATATAAATAAAATTATATTTGGAAGATCAGTGGGCATAATAATATAATTAATGCACCAAGAATGACAAATAATGAAATTAACAGGAGAAGCCCACACAATTATTGATTAAAATGATTAAATAGGTAAAAAAGTAGTAGCATCTTTTAGGAAAAAATTGGATGATATGAGAAAGAAAGTTTAATTGAAAATGAATCAACTAGAAAAATTACGAAAAGCTAGCCCTTATATCCAAGTCACTTTAAATAAGATACAGTTGATTATACTCAGCTGAAGAAAGAATTTAAGAATTGACTGATTGATTCAAGAAAATTGTTGCAATACATAAAGAGATGGAAATTGTGAGAAAAATGCTAACGTAAAAGATGGAATCAGCAAGGCTAACACAATTAGAGTTCTAGAAGAGTGAATAAGGAGAACAAAATAAAATATTTGAGAAGTTAAGATGTAGTGATATTTCCAAATTTAAGAAAGATATTAATATTCAAATTATCCCAGGCAGAATAAATTGCACACCTACACATATCTCACTGACACTGAAGAACACCACAGACAAAGGTAAAATATTAACAGGAAACTGCCCATTCTATTTTCTGGTCTGAATGCGAAGAGCTTAGAAGACATCACTCTCATCTCTAAAACAAGAAAATAGGCTGAAAAAAATGGAAAATCAATAACCTTTCCTATATCCATTAGAGAAGTAAGATTATAGAGCAAACCACCACTCCAAAATCTGCAGAGACAGACAGGTAAAATGGAATCACGGTCTACCTGAAGCATGCTGAGGACACAAAGATTAGGTGACCACCTGCTAAAGATGAGCATGTGAGAGAGATTAAAACTCCTGGGGAACAACCTTAGTGGATCCCCCTCCCCAGCTATGGTGTGTTTTACCTCCAGCAGCCCTACCAGGTTATCAGAGTGAAAATCAGAAAAAAAATCTTTTCCTGCTTCCAGCAGCAGGAAGGGAAAAGCAATTTTGAAATACACCCAGAGAGCTCCTTCTTAACGAAGGCCTGCCTTCAAGGGAAGCTATTTTATCAGAGCCCAACACAGGCCTCACTTGCCTGAGGGAAGAGAAATACTCAACTCCAGCTCTCTTTAGCCTTCTTGTCTCCCATAAAGAGGAGGAGAGGGGAATCTAGGAAGCACTTGCAGAAATCACAGCCCTTGGACACAGGCTTACCAAAAGATTCAGAGCTAATTATAGGTCTAGAGAATGCTCCACAACCCTGCATTTTACTGTCACATTAGCAGGGATCCTGTATCACATCAAGGGATGACAGCTAAAAGAACTTTAAGCTTCAGACCCTGTTTAAAAATGAGTCTCAAAAGATGCCCAAAGACAACTGGGGAGATGATAACAGGACACTAAAGGTAATTTTAGCCTCTGACAGAGCTGCTACAGTAAACAGTAAGTGCTGCCAGACTCCCAACTAGATATGCATAAGACCTCACTCTAAGAATGGACTTTTCTCTATTTCCTTTAATCCAGTATACACTTTCCTGCCCTCAAATGCATGTGTTCTTTTATGAATAGTGTCGTATCATGCCCACAATTTCCATCCCTACTGGCTAATGTGACAAACCAGCAATGGTTCCTAATTATCTGGGCATACTAATGACAGAGAACAAGGTATTCAGCTTGGGTCAAATGGGCAGTGTGATGACTTCTTTTTTTTTGGCACAACAAAAGCCTTGTCAAAAATAAACAGAAGGAAGCCATAAAGAAACTTATTCATAGATGTGCTTGCATATGGTTGAACAGCACAAATTTAGAATACTTTAATTATTATATAGCACTTAAATTAACGGCTCTGCAGCCACGAGAACATCTTAGAGGCAAAACATGAATGGCAGGCTGTGAAAGAGGTTTGCAGTCCCCTCCAGCACATCCCTAATGAAGATGCTATCACTATTACCCTTACAAATCTCCATTTCTATGAAGTCACTTCAATATTAGTTCTGTTCTGAAAATTATCACATGTTCATGGGCCCGAAATTTGTTTTTAAAGTAATTCATTTTAAATTAATTTTACCACTGCAAGTACATCTTACCAAGATTTATTCTCAAACTCTAAATGAGACATTATAAATTATTTTATTTAAAAGATATGGGAAGAAAGAGAAAATCAGGAACAAACGTGGAAAAAAGCAAAAAGAGAAAAAGTGCAGTGAGCGGTACAGAAAGTATTTGTTTAGGGGCAAGACAAGTTCTGGCTCCACTATTAACTCTGCACGGGTTCCCACACAACTTTTTAATTTATTTTTGTACTCAGTCTTCTTATGTGTTATAAAAGAAGAATAATAGCTTATTTAGCCATTTCATAACATTGGGCTAAGAGATCAATTAGTAATCAAAGAAGAGTACTTTGAAAGTACAAAGTATAATATAAATGTCATCATCATAATTATTTTGCTAATTAATGCATCTTGGAAATGTTTAAATTTTCCAATTGTTTACTAGCACTAACAGCCATCATTTCTTTGCTGTCTGATTTTCCTGAATGGTCCTCAATATCTTGCATAAGGGCTCACAAAAACACAGAGAAACACACACACTTGATTAACACCTTACGTCCTTGATTAACTAGTTAGTTTGCCTGGGCAATGAAATGCCAAGATATCTGATTAACCATTACTTCTGAATGTGTCTGTGAGGGACTTTCCAAAAGAAATTCACATTTGAGTTGGTGGGCTGAGTAAAGCACACTGACCTCCTCAATACGGGTAGACAACATTAAACCTGTTGAAGATCTGGGTAGAATAAATTGCTGACAAAGTTTGAATTCTCTCTTTGCCTGTCTGAGTTGGACATAAGTCTTTTCCTGCCCTCGAAGTAGGACTTATACCGTTGGCACTTCTAATTCTCAGGACTTCAGATTGAGAATAGAATTTACACCATGACTTTTCTGAATATCCAGCTTGCAGATGACACATCACAGGACTTCTAATCCTCCATAATCATGCAAACTAATTCCTTATAATAGATCTCATCTTAGATATAAGATATATATATCTTATCTTACATCATCTTAGATATCTTATATGTCATCTTAGATATAAGATAAGATATCAGGTGTGTATAAACCACATACAACTGATATGGTTTGACTGTATCCCCACCCAAATCTCATCTTGAACTGTAGCTCCCATAATCCCCATGTGTCATGGGAGGGGCCCAGTGGGAGATAACTGAATAATGGGGGGTGGGTTTTTCCCAAGCTGCTCTTGTGATAGTGAATAAGTCTCTTGAGAACTGATGGTTTCATAAAAAAGCAGTTCTCCTGCACATGCTTTCTTGCCTGCTGCCATGTAAGATGTGCCTTTGCTCCTCTTTCACCTTCTGCCTTGATGATGAGGCCTTCCCCAGCCATGTGGAACTGTGAGTCCATTAAGCCTCTTTTTCTTTATAAATTACCCAGTCTCGGGTATGTCTTTATTAGCAGTATGAGAACAGACTAACACAGTAAATTGGTACAGGTAGAGTGGATGATGGTATAAGGATACCTGAAATGTATTAGCAACTTTGGAACTTGGTAACAGGTAGAGGATGGAAGAGTTTGGAGGGCTCAGAAGAAGAAAGGAAGATGTGAGAAAGTTTGGAGCTGCCTAAAGACCTGTTGAATGGTTTTGAACCAAAGTCTGGGCTGAGGTGGTCTCAGATGGAGATGAGGAACTTACTGGGAACTGGAGCAAAGGTAATTCTTGCTATGCTTTAGCAAAGAGACTGGAAATTTTGCTCCTGCCCTAGAGATCAGTGGAACTTTGAACTCTAGAGACATGATTTAGGGTATCTGATGGAAGAAATTCCTAAGCAGCAAAGCATTCAAGAAGTGAGTTGGGTGCTCTTAAAAGCATTCAGTTTTATTCGTTCACAAAGATACAGTTTGGAATTGGAACTTATGTTTAAAAGGAATGCAGAGCATAAAAGCTCAGAAAATTTGAAGCCTGGTGATGTGATAGAAAAGAAAAAGCCATTTTCTGAGGAGAAGTTCAAGCCAGCTGCAGAGAATTATGCAACTAATGAGGAGCCAAATGTTAATTGCCAAGACAATAGGGAAAACGTCTCCAGGGCATGTCAGAGGTCTTCGCAGTAGCCCCTCCCATAAGAAGCCAGGAGGAATAGGAGGGAAAAATGTCATGGGCTGGGCCCAGGGCCTTATTGCTTTGTGCAGTCTCAGTACTTGGTGCCCTGCATCACAGCTGTGGCTAAAAGGGGCCAACATACAGCTCAGGCCATTGCTTCGGAGAGCGCAAGCCTCAAACCTTTGTGGCTTACATGTGATATTGTGCTTGTGGGTGCACAGAAGTCAAGAATTGAGGTTTGGGAACCTCTGTCTTGATTTCAGAAGATATATGGAAATGCCTGGATGTCCTGGCAGAGGTGTGCTCATAGAGAGCTTCTGCTAGGGCATTGTGGAAGGGAAATGTCCCCACTGGCCACTGCCTAGTGCAGCTATGAAAAGAGGGCCACCATCCTCCAGATCCCAGAATGGTAGATTCACTGACAGCTTGCACTGTGCACCTGAAAAAACCTCAGACAGTCAAAGGCAGCCTGTGAAAGCAGCCAGGAAAGGGGCTTTACCCTGCAAAGTCACAGGGGTGGAGCTGCCCAAGACCATGGGAACCTACCTCTTGCATCAGTGTGACCTGGATGCAAAACATGGAGTCAAAGGAGATAATTTGGGAGCTTTAAGATTTGACTGCCCCACTGGATTTGGACTTGCATAAGGCCTGTAGCCCTTTTGTTTTGGCCAATTAACATTGGCAAGATAACATTGCTCATGTTTATGTACTCAATGCCTGTATCCCATTGTATCTAGGAAGTAATGAACTTGCTTTTGATTTTACAGGCCTATGGAGAGAAGGGACTTGCCTTTTCTCAGATGAAACTTTGGACTATGGGCCTTTGAGTTAATGTCAAAGTAAGACTTTGGGGGACTGTTGGGAAGGCATGATTCGTTTGGAAATGTAAAGATATGAGGTGGAATGATACGGTTTTGCTCTGCCCCCCACCCAAATCTCATCTTGAATTGTAGCCTCCATAATCCCTATGTGTTGGGGGAGGGACCCGGTCAGAGATAACTGAGTCATGGGGACAGGTTTTTCCCATGCTGCTCTTGTGATATTGAATAAGTCTCACAAGAACTGACAGTGTTATAAAAGGGGAGTTCCCCTGCTCACTCTCTTGCCTGCCACCTTGCAAAACATGCCTTTGCTCCTCCTTCACCTTCTGCCATGATTGTGAGGCCTCCCCAGCCATGTGGAACTGTGAGTCCATTAAACCTCTTTTTCTTTATAAATTACTCAGCCTTGGGTTTGTCTTTATTGGCAGCATTAGAACAGACTAATACAACACCCTAATGGTTCTGTTTTTCTGGAGATCCATGACTAATCCAGCCTATATCTGCAGCACTTCTTTGAGGGAAGCGTTGAGCTCCAGAAGCCTCTTTGCCAGTATATGTAGGGAGCTAGAAGTAATTATGAGTATGTAGGCCTGGCTTGGTGGCTCATGCCTGTAATCCCAGCACTTTGGGAGGCCAAGGTGGGTGGATCACCTGAGGTTGGGAGTTCGAGATCAGCGTGACCAACACAGAGAAACCCTGTCTCTACTAAAAATACAAAATTAGCCGGGTGTGGTGGCACATGCCTGTAATCCCAGTTACTGGGGAGGTTGAGGCAGGAGAATTGCTTGAACCCGGGAAGTGGAGGTTGTGGTGAGCCAATATCACACCATTGCACTCCAGCCTCGGCAACAAGAGCAAAACTTCATCTAAAAAAGAAAAAAAAAAGAGTGTGTGTCCCCTACAGCATATTTTAGCCAATGACTGCCTGATGAACAGTATGAAAGAAACCCTAGAAACCATAAGCTATGTTTGGTAGCATGTGACATAGCTAACTTGTGGGAAGAGGTTTGTCTTAGGCCATTCAGGGTGCCATAACAAAATATCACATATAAGATGGTTTATAAAAGAAACATTTATTTCTCACAGTTCTAGAGCCTGGGGAGTCCAACAGAAAAGCAACAATAAATTTGATGTTTGGTGAGTACCCATGTCCTGGTTAATAGGCCACTGTTTTCTTCCTGTGTCTTCACATGGTGAAAGGGAAGATGGAGCTCTCTGAGATCTATTTCATAAGGGAACTAATCCCATTCATGAGGCCCCCATCACAGGTGATTTATAACCTAAACACCTCCCAAAGGCCCCATCTCCTAACATAATCAATTCAGGGGTTAGGATTTCAACATATACATTTGGCGGGAGGACACAAACATTCAGTCTGTAACATGGCTGAAGCTACTCCTGCAGCATGTCAACTGACCTACACCCTGGTGTAACCTCTTTCTATTCCCTGTCCTACTTTTTCTCTCCTTTAAGAGTTTCTCCTGCGCAAACTTCCTCAATGAATCACTTGCGCAAGGATCCTCTTCTGAGAGTCCACTTCTGGATGTTAGACATAAGATAACATTGCTCAATCTTTCTCTTTTGGCCCTCAAGTATTCCATGCGGGGAATTTTCTAACTGTCTCTATGATCTAGGGTGCCCTGTGTGCTAGAGGCACTAGTGTCATCTGTGGAACTTTCAATGGTCAGGACATATAAGAGAATATTTCAATAACTTTGAAACTGGTGAGGCCTCGGAGTTTTCTTTCAGCAGAAAATACTATTATTAAAGAGCAACACATGCTTAATATTTCAGTTTCCGCATGTGAAATTAACCTTGTTTCAAGAATACTTTTTTTTTATTTTAAATAATTTGAAAAATGCTATAAAACAAAGAAATAGCTATGAGTCTAGGTACCCGGATACAATTTATTAAAATGTAAATAAGAGCTTATATTTATATTAATATCCTCTTCTCAATTATGAGACTGGATTTCCAAATGATTTTTGATACCTTCTTCCATGGCTCTCTAAATATCATAGAACCATAGATGATAAATCAGGATACAAAATTCCTCTTTTTGGGACTCTCCGTAAATGATTGGTAAATTGGGGGCATCTTCTTTAGTCTTACTGCTTCCTCTCAACCCCTTCTGAAACCCACTACTTTCTGGAAGCACCGTGCAAGAGCATGTGAGGATGCTATGCTAGAGATATTCACTCCAGGAACAATCCAGGTTATAGGCAATTCTAAGCATATATTCCTATGAACATTTCCTTGACTCTTATTCAATTACACAGAGTCACTCATTTTTTTTTAAACAACATTTCATTTAGGTTCAGGAGTATATGTGTAGGTTTGTTACATAGGCAAACTGCTTGTCTTGGGGGTTTGGTTTGCAGATAATTTTACTACCCAGGTAATAATCATAGTACCTGGTAGGTAGATTTTTTATTCGCTCCCTTCTACCACCCTACACCCTCAAGTAATCCTGTGTCCATTGTTCCCCTTTTTATATCTATGTATTCTCACTGTTTAGCTCTCACTTATAAGTGAGAGTGTGTGGTATTTGTTCTTCTGTTCCTGTGTTAGTTTGCTTACGACAATGCCCTCCAGCTCCATTCATGTTGTGTCTGCATAGTATTCCATAGCGCATATGTGCCACATTTTCTTTATCCAGCCTACCATTGATGGGTATTTAGGTTAAGAATCATTCATTTTCTTTTTTTATCATAAAATTTATATATTAAAGTAATTGCAACTAACCTACTAGTATGTATTAAAGGTCTAATGTGGGTATCACATCTTCCCAAACCAATCTCCTCACACACAAACGCTCACACTCACAATTTTCTTGAATAGGATTTATAGATCCTAAAATTGCAGTATTTCAAAGGACACTAAATATCATTACATGTAACTACTTCATTGAAAAATGAGGCCATTATAACAAAGATGTTTTAAAATAAAATCAGCTGATTAGCATGAGAAACAAAAAAAGAATTGCACTAAAACCGTTGTCGTTTCCAAAATATTAACCTATTTATTATTTTCTTTTATAAAGAAAATCCCACTACCATAATCTATAAGAAAAACAACTGGCCATTTCACATTTTCTTCCAAATATATTTCATTTCTGCATTATATGATAAGCTCCTTAAACCAAATAATGACAGCATTTTATCTCCTAATCACACCTGCACCATCCGCAAAATTACAGCCATCATGAACCTTCATGCCTCTGCTTGATGTTTCACCACAAGGAATAGAAATGAAGTATCACTGATAAACTAACTCTAGCAACTAGTCTTATTTTTTTCTCATTAAAAAGTTTAATTCAGGTAATGTCTCTGGCAATAGAAGGCCTTTAGAGTGAAAATAAAGCATAGCAAATTAGCTGCACATAGATATTTAGACATCTGTTTTCTTTAATCTCTAGCACATATTCACCCACCCCATGCGTACACGGAAACAGTCTTTAATATGGTCTATTTTAATATTTAGGAAAGTCTTCCTCTTTAAAAATTGCTAGATCTTCAAGGAGAAGTGATGAGTTTATTTCACTGTTTTGTTTTCCTTCGGTCTGATTTCTTAGGTGTTTAGATGACAGCCACCCAAGAAATACACAGATAGACGAGTGATTGATTAACTATAGAAAATGCTCCCCAGAGTGAATTAGGCAGCTAAAGAAACCAGACTCGACAGGAACTATGATGAATGCCAGACATTAAAAATATCCATATCTTTTTCCTAGCTGATAAATCAAGAAATTGTCTACACAAAAAGTGCAAAGTTAAAGAATAAAATAAAAAGCCTTAAGAATGGAAATTTATAAGAAGACAAATGTTATAAGTAAAATTATACTTACTAGCTTCATGTTATTTCCTCATATACCCTTTTTTTGGGTGGGGATGTACTTGACAAGAGCCTACAGAGCCCCTAGGTATTACAAATGATAACAAGCAGGGGTCTTGTTATGTGCTGCTCACATGGAAGGCTTGTATTTGGTGAATGTCAATTTTCCTTCACATGATAGAAGTAAAGATTTAGGATGTTTTATATTTATTACCAACAACTCCATAGCACATTCTGTCTACAGTGGCTATAATGAGATACAGCCAACCTACTTGAAACTATGCTAGACCTGAAAAGTCGATTGTTAGTACTTTGGAAATTGTAATCTGGAGGGATTTTTAAATTACTATTCAGTACATTTCAAAGTTGCATCCACACAGATTTGTAGCAATAAATGGCCCTACCATGATCCATTCCTAGCTAAAATTTAATCTGATTTTATCATCTAATGTCTATTTGGAATAAAATTTGTGCTGAAGTGAATCAGTCAATTTACTGTGATTACAAAATTTCATTGTTTACTCTAACAGTATGCATTCCAGTTATTAGTGGGAAGAAAATGAGCATGAAGCACATCTAAATAAATTTTCAATTTTTTACATGTATTTATTTATTTATTCAAAATGAGGCCTCTTTAATTGATTATGTTAATAACATCTTTAAGGTTAAGTAGAATAGATCTAACAACAGAAAACTATGGTTTTTGTTTCTATGAATCCATCATTATTAAACCCATATTTTTACTGAAGAAAAATTAATTAAAATAAATAGGCCCCGGATTATCTTAATACTTTTATTTGAGAATAATAAAACATTGTAATTAATAAATATATGGTTTAAAAAGCAGACTTTGATGTGGTCAGGTAGAGGATCAGTGCGTATTTTAAATAATATATATATGATAATCTATACTGTCCAGACTTCTGGTATGTGATCAGGAGATAAGTTTCACATGCTAAAATATTGGCAAATGGAAAAGAAAGAAAATAATTGTCCCAGAAGAGCAAAAACTGGATGTGTATTCCTGGCCAGAGGATATAATATTGGTCCGATGGAGTAGATATAATTTCAGGTGGGTGCCTGAGCGCAGTGGCTCATGCCAATAATCACAGCACTTTGGGAGGCAGAGGAGGGTGGATCACCTGAGGTCAGGAGTTTGAGACCAGCCAGGCCAACGTGGTGCAACTCCGTCTCTACTGAAAACACAAAAATTAGCCGGGTATGGTGGCACATGCCTATAATCCCAGCTACTCAGGAGGCTGAGGCAGAAAAATCACTTGAACCTGGGAGGCAGAGGTTGCAGTGAGCTGAGATCACGCTACTGCACTCCAGTCTGGGTAACAGAGCGAGACTCTATCTCAAATAAACAAATACATACATACATACATACATACATACATACATACATACATACATACATACATACATAAAATAAAACAAGTAATAATTTCAGTTGGGCTAGAATAGAATTCTCAGGTTAAAAACAGCTATTAAAAAATGAAGGGAAATCAGAAGATAGTCCATAAATTAAGAAACAAAAATATATTTTACATGTATTCATTTATAAACACAAATGCTTAGAAACAAAGATGTAATTAAAAATGCTTCCTAGAAACTCACATATTTCCATGTATCTACAAACACATTAAACTACAACTGCAAAATGGAAGAGTAATCTTCTTCCATAACTTTCCTGTGAATATACACTCATATTTCTACAAATAATACTTTGAATAAATGTAAATAAATGACACCTTCCTCGATCTGCTAATTTTTGCATTCATGAAATAACAGAAAATTAAATTTCATAGAACTAGCACTGCTTTTTCTGAGACAGTTTTTATTTCTATAGATGACTAACGGTCTTCTCAGCCAACCTCTCTATGAGCCACAGTAGTAATCCTCTAAAAACACCTGCATTTTTCACTCTTCTGTAAACTGACAGGTCTAATTTTTAAAATTATCATTACTGAATAGAGAAGAAAATTGTTTCTCCATTTCAAAGCTAATAATTCCAAAATAAAGGCAAGGCATATAGATACTTTCTTTTCAACTGCCCTTAAATTTGATGCTTATTTTATATTATTGCCTGGTAAATAAAGTGATATTTATTTAGTAGATAAATTGCTAGCCCCTGGATCACAGATAAAGTGGATAACAGTACGTACAGACATCATCATAGATAATGGCCTTGGTTATGGCACCAGCTGTGTTTGAATCATAAATAAAGAATTCTGAATTTAGAAGGTCCTAACTGCTCCTAATAAAAGACATGAACACATTCAACTCAATGCATTGTCTTAATACCTCCTATATACCTGGGCCCTGAAGTTCTGGGAACAAAGGGAGGTTATACCACAGGCTCTATCTTCTATTGCTCTGTCCTTCACCCCACTCATAACATCTATAATTATTAAGTATATAAAAGGTACTTTCCATGATCATACAGAATAATATACATATGTATAACATATATAATATGACTATATAAATATTTGTGTATATGGATACGTGTATGTATGTATCTGCCATTGTGAAATTCTGATTCTTCACCACTTATCATTCCTCTGGCCCCTGTTGCCATTGAAAATTCGGCTTCAGATGAGCTAAATCACATGTCATTTTCTAAAGTTCAACACTTTCTGTATATTCTGGCTTTGGGATGCGCCGCCTTTGGCGTGCGTTGGCTTTTAGTAGGAGCAGCAGCAACAACGGTGTTTACTGATGTACCTTCCCACACTCTCCCTGCTTCTCTCGGAACACTGATGCTTAAATCTTTGAATTCAACTAAGGTATAGGTTTTATGTTTGCCAAATGTGATTCTCAACCAGAAGCAAATCAGCCTCACTAAGAGGGCATATCAAAATTCAATATGCGTTTTTAGTTAGCCCAATGAGTGGGAAATGCTATTGCCATTTGTTAAGTATGAGGCAGTTGCTAATTGCATTGTACTGCTCTGAACAACAACAACAACAACAAAAACTTTCCCATCTAGAGTGCTAACCTGGTGCCTTTGAAAAGCCCTGAAGACTAGGAAAGGCCATTCACACTGAAGGACTGGCATCTGTCAGACCTATCTGGCGTTAAGACACCATAACATATTTATCCTGATGTGCTCTAATACCTAGCATGCAGTAGACTTTCACTGAATGCTTGCAGAACAAATAAGTGAACAAAGTAACTTCCTGGCTACCTTCCCTGGCCCCTTCAAAGTATGCTTGGTGTCCCTACACTGTACTCTGAAAGCTCCAGGCAGTTGCCCCTCAATTTATTATTATTTTTTTGAGTGCACTCAGATACTTATAGCATTTCTTTTATAGGTGGTATAAGGGTGCATGACAGAAGTATAGGTATGCATAGTGCTCCCGGGTCAAATAAATATCTATTTAGAGATACCTGTACTTTGTACTTTGTATCTTACATTCTGAAAATGTTTATTGAGCACTAATTTTGAGATAGGCACTTCTACTAAGTACTGAGAGAATCAATGGTAAATAAAACACATTGTGACATTAGTTTTCCTGCATATTGTGTGATTCCTGGGCAACTTGAATACTCGAATATTACTTCACCATACTACAAAGTCTCTAATTTTCTGGGATTTATTTGGATGCCTCAACTTAGTGTTCCAATAGCACCTTGTGCATCTTTCTGTCATAGAGTTTTATGTTGCTTTTAGCAGATTTTCTTCATTGGGTTTCTTCATCAAGTGAAATCTATTTGTACACCTTGCTGTGCGAAACCAAACTTCATACACTAGAAACAGTAGAAGAATCATGACAGGCTTTTTGTTTGTTGGTTGGTTGGTTTGTTTTTCACCGTATGCCAGGGACAAGGGGAGAGATGTTTGGACCCATCTTGAATAATTGCTACTGTACTGAAGATAATTTTACACTTATAAAGTCAATAAATATTTAGTGTCCAGCTAATAATATAAACTGAACTGGATTTTCCTGATAGACTTTCCAAAACCTTCCATAGTTATAAAAGAAATAATTGGATATCATTGTAATTTCAAGGACATTTCTGGATTAGTTGCTTTCAACTTTCTTTTTTTATTTTTCAACATTATTTTCATTTTACTTTTTTTTATTATTATACTCTAAGTTCTAGGGTACATGTGCACAACGTGCAGGTTTGTTACATATATATACATGTGCCATGTTGGTGTGCTGCACCCAGTAACTCATCATTTTGCATTAGGTTTATCTCCTAATGATATCCCTCCCCCTTCTCCCTACCACACAACAGGCCCCAGTGTGTGATGTTCCCCTTCTTGTGTCCATGTGTTCTCATTGCTCAATTCCCACCTATGAGTGAGAACATGCAGTGTCTGCTTTTTTTGTCCTTGCCATAGTTTGCTGAGAATGATGGTTTCCAGCTTCATTGATGTCCCTACAAAGGACATGAACTCATCATTTTTTATGGCTGCATAGTATTCCATGGTGTATATGTGCCACATTTTCTTAATTCAGTCTATCATTGTTGGACATTTGGGTTGGTTCCAAGTCTTTGCTATTGTGAATAGTGCCGCAATAAACATATGTGTGCATGTGTCTTTATAGCAGCATGATTTATAATCCTTTGAGTATATACCTAGGAATGGGATGGCTGGGTCAAATGGTATTTCTAGTTCTAGATCCCTGAGGAATCGCCACACTGACTTCCAAAATTGTTGAACTAGTTTATAATCCCACCAACAGTGTAAAAGTGTTCCTATTTCTCCACATCCTCTCCAGCACCTGTTGTTTCCTGACTTTTTAATGATCGCCATTCTAACTGGTGTGAGATGGTATCTCATTGCGGTTTTGATTTGCAATTCTCTGATGGCCAGTGATGATGAGCATTTTTTCATGTGTTTTTTGGCTGCATAAATGTCTTCTTTTGAGAAGTGTCTGTTTATATCCTTCACCCACTTTTTGATGGGGTTGTTTGTTTTTTTCTTGTAAATTTGTTTAAGTTCCTTGTAGATTCTGGATATTAGCCCTTTGTCAGATGAGTAGGTTGCAAAAATTTTCTCAACTTTCAAGTTAGAGTCAGACATACTTGGGTTGAATTATGATTCTGACATTGGCTTTGTGATCTTGAATATGTAATTCAATCAATTAATCTCTGTTCATTTATATATAAAAATGAAAGTCATGACTCATTGATATGGTTTGGTTGTATCCCCACCCAAATCTCATTTTGAGTTTGCACCTGTTGTGGGAGAGCCCCAGTAGGAGGTAATTGAATCATGGCGGCAAGTCTTTCCCATGCTGTTCTCATGATAGTGAATAAGTCTCATGAGATCTGATGGTTTTAAAAAGAGGAGTTCCCCTGCAGAAGTTCTCTTTCTACCTGCCGCCATCCATGTAAGATGTGACTTGCTCCTCCTTGCCTTCTGCCGTTATTGTAAGGCTTACCTAGCCACATGGAACTGTAAGTCCAATTAAACCTCTTTCTGTTGTAAATTGCTCAGTCCTGGGTATGTCTTTATGAGCAGCATGAAAATGGACTAATACACTCATCAACTACACTAGGTTGGAGGGAGGTCTCAGCTTTAGGTTGCAATAAAGCTGAGATTTCACAGAAAATACAAGCTTGTGTATTGATCTCTGACACACCACTCCCCTCTTAAGACTGTGATTTCTACATAGAAATAGCTGTGAGATCCCTTCAAACTTTAGAATGCATGTAATTCAATAACTTTATTCATGTTATATTTAAGCCATGCTGTGGATTAAGCACTGGAATAACCGGAATTTAAATATTTCCATATTTTTTTCTATGAAATATCACAACATCAGTTTCTTATATGCCTTTAAAATACACAATGGTCATAATTTGTAACTTTTCTGAACATTAGAGAGCATGTTTAATAGTAGATGACTATTAAAATATCATAGTACTTTAGCTAGCTTATTCCTTATGGAAAATGGCAATGCCTATCATTTCTAAAGAGTATTTGTATTTATCTGGACTCAGTCTGCACAAGATTGAACCAAGGCTCTATTTTATACTATCTTGAGAAAGTCATTTAATCTCTCTGTGCATCAGTTTCCCTCTATGCTGAATATACTAATAATAGTGGCTAAATCATAGTAGTGTTGCAAAAATTAAATGTAGAGTTCTTACAATAGCACTCGACACATAGTGGACGCTCATCACTTTCTAATGTGATATGGTTTGGCTGTATCCCCACCCAAATCTCAACTTGAGTTGTGTCTCCTAGAATTCCCACGTGTTGTGAGATGGACCCACTGGGAGGTAATTGAATCATGGAGGCCAGTCTCTCCCATGCTATTCTCATAATAGTGAACAAGTCTCATGAGATCTGATGGGTTTATCACAGGTTTCCACTTTTGCTTCTCCGTCATTTTTCTCTTGCCACTGCCATATAAGAAGTGCCTTTTACCTCCCGCCATGATTCTGAGGCCCACTCAGCCATGTGGAACTGTAAGTCCAATTAAACCTCTTTTTCTTTCCAGTCTCGGGTATGTCTTTATCAACAGTATGAAAACAAACTAATACATAATGCCATCTCATTTTGTGGTCTTTTGCAAATGTTCCACAATGACTCACAAATGACACCCTGGAAATCTATAATCCTTAGAGCTTTTGCTTTGAACTGCCCTGCTTTGGCTTGGGCTAGGTACAAGTAAATTGCACCAAAAACAAATAGTATACACTTTATTCGGGTGTTCTGAAGACCTAGTAAAAGCATGTTATTGCAAACTCCTATCAGTGATTTATACATAAAGAATATGACTTTTAAAAAAGAAGGAAAAAAGAAAGCGAAAGCAAGCAAAGAGAGAGACAGAAAGAAGAAAACCAATTCCCTCTTTCTTTTTTTCCCATATTTTTCTTGATCTCACTATTAAATGCTGGTTCATTTTTCTATTACTCATTTTTGATCATGTACTAATAGCAGATATTGGCGTCTTCTCTGTTTATTTTAAAAATGAGGCGGAGTTCAGGATATGGCTATGTTCGATAGCATGGCTGGATTGCTCCGAACCCCTGCCAGCATCAAGCTGTTTTTAGGAGAAAGTTTCCCTCCATTTACCCATTCAGTCTTAGTCTTCCTCAATAGAAATAAAAGAGGGAAAAACAAATAACAGGAACAGATAGAGAGTGGTTCTTCTGGCAAAATTGTGGTTTCACTTTGTTTCAGCTTTGGTTGAATTCCAGAGTTCAGGAATTAGAAATTCTTGGACCATTTTTTATTTAATTTTCCCATTAAAAATACACTGAATAACTTCACCTTTTTACTATGCCTAGCTACAAGACTGTGATGAGGAGTGAAATTGACTAAATGCAAAACTCTCCTACAAGCATATGCAAGTGCATATCTGACCTCAGAATAGAGAAACTGCATGATTGACTTCTCCTGGAATCTACTATGGTGGGGCAGTGGGTTAATGTGCTGTGATGGAATCAAGTAAAACATTTGTGATTTAGATAGGCAGACCTGTCAATGTGGAAAACTAGTTTGGAGAAATTTAATTGCTGTCAGGATTGAGTGAAAGATCAGATATGAGCAGGTGTCTCACTGGCTTAGAGAGACTGTTTTAAGTCACGCTGTCTTTACTGCCTGTTTTCTGGAAAAAGGAAAGTGGTTCTCATGGGTTAGTTGACTCCCTAATATATCAGCTGCTACCCCTGTCTATTTAATCACTACCCTTTTTGCATGAGTCCTGTGTTAGAGATAATTGAAGTGGACAAAGCAGGCACTTGAGAAAAACTAGAAAGAAGAATTTCAAGTCATGGCTGCTCCTTTTTCCAAATGATAGAAACCCAACCTGAATTAGTACAGGTAGAAGGTAAATTTTCTGTCTCACTGGTTCTGTGCTGGGCATCTTATATTTATTTACCCCTCTATATCTATTTCTGCCTGTATCTATCTGCTCTGTCCCCAGGACACTGACCCATACAAACTGTACCAATGGGACCTCTTGCTCTTTGTTCTCTTGTTTTGGCACTGGCAGGAGATTATAAAGATGAGGACAGTGAGGTCTGCACTTGCTTTGCATCCCTGGTTTTAGCTACCTTTCTTACAAAAGGTCAGATGTATAGTCATAAAGCTTTCTCTGTGGAATTTCCTCTCAGCCTTCCAGTCATCTTTCCCTTCCCCTCTTCCTTCAAGCTTAGAAAAGGCAGTGTCTCTCCCCTCTTGGTGCCCCATGTCTTCTGCTCTCATATTTGCAAATAGTCACTTGATTGAAATTTCCTCGATTACCTGGCTTGAATGAACCACGTCTTTCCTATTGGCATCTTGACTGATATTATCTTCAAGAACTGAACAGCTGTAACTATGGAAGTTCAGGGATGCAGTTGTGTTTTCAATAACTAGGACCACAACCAAAAGCTACCAATAATTGTTGCTCTGACTTGCATATGTTTTTATCCATCATATAGACTTAATTACTTCTTGTTGAAAAAAAATTAAACTATTACTGACTCCAGAAAGCAAGAAAAAAATAGTGTTAACCCCAGAGTCTCACAGTCCCATAGCTTCTTTTACTAATAGTGATGGATCTATTTCTGAGGTCCACTTTTTAAAAATATCCAAGGGACCTTGGGTGAAGTGGCTGTCCTACCTTCCCTGATTAATCAATTTTGGCAGGGGTCCAAGATACATGCAAATACGTAAGCCCTTACCAGAGCTAATGATTGAAATAGTGAAAAATGCAATTCTCCGAAGAAGAGAGACTTTTTTTTTACAGAAGAAACTAGAGACAGCATATAGAACACTATACCAAGGGTTCATACTTTACCTCTATTTAGATAAAAGGTCAAATATTTATAATCAATAAGCTTTATTATTAGGCAAAACATTTACTGGCAAAACTGTACTATGCTTCAAGCTGTAGGGTGTGGTTCAAATTCTTAATATTCATATACTTAATGACATATACCATGTACTTGTGTAGACGCACAGACAAAAGATCTGTCGTTATGAAATCCTAATCTGAAATGCATTCAAATGTGGATCCTGTAAACATAAATATTTCAAATTATGGTGTGGTCTTAGATCCCCTTCTAAAATTAAAAATAATAATAATAATAAAAAGGAAGTGACCCTTATCTACCCATTTCTATATCTGTTTAATAATGGCAAAGATGCAATGGAAACAACCAATATCAAAGTATTTTAAATGCCTAAAGCTCCGAATAAGTGACTTTACACTCTGTTTTTAAACCTTATAGCTATTAGAGAAGTAATTTTTTAAATTAGCCAATAAGAAGGTGGCTAAACATCATTTTGAGTGATTGTCTATCAGAGGTACAGAAAATATAAAGTAAGAGAACATAGATGCATTTTGTAATTCTCACCTGGACAACACAAAGTCTGAGTTTCCATCCTTGGCTATGGTTGCAGGACCATGTACTGTGTTTCTGACTGGTATAGCAAGAATAGCTATTGGAACTTGATGAGACCCAGGCAATATGCCAAAACCACACACTGGGATCCATGTTCACTGTTCACATACTGGTACTGTTATGAGAGCTAACATGTATCCTCTTCTATATGGAATAGTGAATGAGACATTAATATTTGCCTTTGACAAAACCATAAAGAAGAGAAGTGATCCCAACAAATCTGGTATAAAAGAAATATGGAGAATGAAAAGATGAAATCTGTACTGTAGAATAAGGATTGGCTACTTTACTAATACACATGTGCATTCTGAAATCTGTACTAAAACTGTGCCTTTTCATCCTGGTAAGTCCCTTCTACTAGGCCAGGTTCAGTTGCTAGACCTAGAAATATAAAAGAAAAGATAGATAATATTTACTGACAGACAACCTAATGTAAGTCCTTCTGCTGAGAACTTACATTCCATTTATTCCTTATAACAGCCTTACAATTTAAGCATCATTTTGTCTGTTTTCCATAGGGAGAAAAAGAAGCTCAGAAAAATTCAGTAAATTGTCAAGTTTAAATAGATGGTGGTCAGTCTGCTTTGAACTCATTTTTTTCTGATTATGGAACCTCTGTGCACTACACTATTTAATAGTTGTATTATCCAAAGGCTAACTATGGCTCATACAACACATGACAAAATTGTGTTAGGTGAATGGACTATATATCTATCTCTGCAAAGTGTCCCATTTACAAATGCATTACCTTTGTAAATCTACTACAATCCAATGTCTTCCTTATTTCTGTAGACTCAGAAATCTGGTTTTTCTCATTCACCGAGAGTAGATCCATTTCTCTTTATTATACTGATAACAAATAATGTCTTAGATTCTGTGACTGATGTATAAAATCAGAATGCCAATTCATTAACTTACAATAGAAAAGTATTATTTTACATGACCTTGAAGATATGCAGCCACACAGTAATCAAAAGATTAAAGTTGACTATTTCAATTAGAATAAAATTAATCATAATGAAAACAGAATGTTTGATTGTATCCAACTTAAATAGGGGGATGTATGTATTTACCCAGCAGGTCTGGCCTTTCCAATGGTAACCATAGTTCTAGGAGCCTACTGGACAGGTTTGGTCACTGTTTACTTTTATGGCTCTTTTTTCCATGTTTTTTAGTTAAACAATTTCTTGCTTTTGACCATGAAGGTGTTAAATTCTCAAAAAATACTAGCAAACTGAATTCAGCAATATTTTAAAAGAATTACAGACAATGATCAACTTAGATGTATTCCAGAAATACTAAAGTGGTTCAACATAAGAAAATCAATCAATGTAATACACTACATTAGTAGACTGAGAGAGAGGAAAGAAACTAAAACATGATCATTTCAATCAACAAAGGAAAGGCATTGGACAAAACTCAGCACTCAGAAATCTAGAAACAAAAGTCCTAACCCCAGGTACCTATGATTATGAACATTTTTGGAAACAGGATCTTTGAAGATAAATTAGTTAAGAAGAGATCATACTGTATTAGAGTGGGTCCTAAATCAGTGACTTGTATCCTTATAAAATCATGGGAAGACACAGAGAGGACCCACAGTGAAGAAGGTCATGTGATGGCAGAGGTAGAAACTGAGAGATCCAGCTGCAAGCCAAAGAATGCCAAGGATTGGCAGCAACCATTTGTTATGAGAAGAAGATAAGAAAGAACTTTTCCCTACAGTCTTCAGAAGAAGTATGGTCCTGCTGACAGCTTGATTTTGGACTTCTGGTCTCCATAACTATGAGAGAATAAATTTCTGGTGTTTTAAGGCACCCAGTTTGTGACATTTTGTTATGGTCCCCTAGGACATTAATACTTACAATGGCATATTATTTAACCATAAAAAGAATTAAGTAGTTATATATACTACAATGTGGATAAGCCTCAAAAACATTGCTCAAAGTGAAAGAAGCCAGAGACTAAAGGTATGATTTTATTTATATAAAGTATGCAGAATTGGAAAATACATAGATACAAAAACAAGACTGGCGGTGGTCAGGAGGTTGTGGGAAGAGAGCAATGGGAATAACTGTTTAATAGGTACAGAGTTTTATTTTGGCATTACAAAAATATTTAGAACTAGATAGAGGTGGTGTTGGCACAAAAATGTGAATGCAGTAAATGCCAGTGAGTGGTTTGGCTTAAAATGGTTAATTGATGTTAAGTAAATTTCATCTCAAAAAAGTGAAGGTGTTGGGCTTATATAAAATCTTAAAGAGTTTAAGAAGAATAAGCAAATTACAGACAAAATTTGGCTAATAGATGAGTTACTGGCTACATGAACAAGTTCTCCACTGCTTCTGTTTCCTGATGCTTCCCATGTGATTATATTTGTTTCTATTTTCATTTTGCACATACGAATAGGCATTTTTCTTTTTATTAAATACTTATATGAGTGGCAGGAGATAATAAAAGTTATTTCAAAGCTTTAATAAATATCTAGAGAGTGCTAAATCTTGTAAGTTTAGAGTTAACAAATTCCAACTGTACTTTTTGGTTAAATAGGTCAGATTTCAATACTGCATAAATTCTCAGCCTCCTGTTTATTATCTTTGCAGTCCGTGAGAAATGATTATTCTAGGTTTTTCTGTTGAATGCTTTCATAAATGAATATAATTCTTTGACACAGCTTAGAATTCTCCAAGTTCAGTTATGTTAATAACTGAGAGAAAATGTCTGTGTTTGCTTCAGCTCAAGAACTTACCCATGTGAATTGATTATTGATAAATTTTGGACAACTTAAATGAAAGATTTCATCTAGTAAAATAAACCCCAGCATATTTATTATGATTCATTTAATTATACTCAACAAGCTGTTTGTCTTTTCTCTTTTATTCCAACAGCAATTATTTGCAGTTGACAAGGACTCACTAGTAGCTTCATTTGCCATTAAGGGAATGGATGTTCAGAGATAGACATGGCCTTTCCTAATTCAAATGGTAGATGTAGTCCAGAAAAATCCTAGGCTTCTCACCAAGTTCACTTTCTTCTGAAGATTTGGCATTGCACGCACCCAACCTCAACAACCGAATATAAATGAAAAGATGATAAAACTTTAGAAAATTTGATGCTTTTGTCACATTTATTTTCAAGTAATTAAAAACAAATTTCTAGGTGGCTGGAAAAATGCTTCTGAACTGAAACAACATTTACTTTATATTTTCTGTAAAGGGAAAGAAAATTCCTCAAATAAACAATGATCACTTTTTATTTGAAATAGTAAAAAAAAATGCTATAGCGATTATATTAATCCCAAACAATTTAAAAACTCATCACATTGATGAACACTTCGATATTTAGTGATCTCACCTGTTTTCATCTATATATAATGTACCAGAGATGAGAACTACCAAGGGAATATTTTCTGGTTTGAGAGAATTAAATTCATTATCAAACAAAAGCCAATGAAACTGGAATAGAAAGTAGGCATAGGAAATTGAGGCCTGCTCTGCTGTTGCTGAGAGTATCATCAGGCTAGAGATCATCTAAAGGGAACTTGTTTTCTGGCTGTGTTTTGAAGCAAGTTCAGTTGGAAAGAATGTCTGTTTTCTCTGTCCTTGTTTTTTTTGCCTTACGTATCCGTCCTCGGAAAGATGTGTTTTTAAATTTAAAAAGATGACCTTTTAAACTATGGCATATTGTTTGGGAGTAGGGGTTGTTGAAATTATCCAATGAATTAAAACATAGGAAGCATTATGACTAGTAACAGCATAAAATATGCACCCAATAAATGTTAGTTATTTTTAATATTAACTTACCGAAATCTCATCCAGTGCTCTATGATCTGTAAGAAAATGTCTACATTCCTGAGTCTGATATTCAAAACTTTCCAATATCTGACCCAATCCTGTTTTTTTCAAAATATATTCCACAGATTAATTATAAGAGTTTATCTCATCAGCCATATTGGTTTATAAGAAACCATAAATACATAATATCTGTCCTTCCTCATAATCTAATTTTTGCCTACAACATTGGCTTTGCCTCTGTGGCCCTGCCTATTTCCTTCATCACTGCTTATTAAATTTTAGATATAGTCCCCAGACTAGGTCAAGCCCAACCCTTTCCTGGTCACTCTAGGTCACAGTATTCTCTATTCAGCTCAGTTTTTATAATGTTTGTTATCTGGATTAGTAAACTTGTACTAATATTACTCTAAATTATTTATCTTTTTTTAATCTGAAACTAGGTTTCTATTTATATTTTTCTCATGCTGTACTTTTTTCTAGAGAGTACACATTAGTGATTAATTAATAATTATTGAGTTTGAAAACTGATACATAACTTGGAAAATAGATACATGTAATAGAAAAGAAAAATTCTTACCTCAACCTTTCAAGTGTCTGGAACTACAGATGTGCGCCATCGTGCCTGGCTAAATTTTAAATTTTCTTTAGAGATAGGGTCTTCTTTGTTGCCCAGGCTGGTCTCAAACTCCTAGCTTCAAGAGATTCTCCCACCTCAGCCTCCCAAAGTGCTGGGATTACCGGCATGAACCACTGCGCCTTGCCCCTTCCTTTCTTTAATGGACTGTTTCTTTCTAGTCAACGGTAGCTTAACAGAACCTACGTAGATAATGTGCCGTGGAAACAAACAATAGTGTGTGTTTTCTTAAGGCTGTCCACCCAAATTGCTTGTGAACTATGTTGTATTTGCTTGCATCCTGTTTTTCCTCCTCCTACTGTACTGTGATTGCAATACTCTAAACTCCTCAGCATGAAGGACATACTTCAAGTTCTATTTTCTAGAGAGCCTGTTGGATGACTTTCTAGTCTATTACCAACATCGTTGGGACACGAAATGTAAAGACTGAAACAAGTAACTTTAATAGAGAATCTATAGCACTACAGTTTGTTTCAGGCATTTATAGAATTTAATGTTTACAGCAGTTATCTAAAACGTTATTGATTCTTAAGAATGAGAAACATGAATGTCAAAGAGTTAAGGAGATGTCCTCAAGGTGCAATGATTTAAACTCAAGACTCACAGACTCTTGATACACTGCATTGCAAACAGTTCTTCCAAGATTCAGATGATAAAAGTCTTACTATTTACACACCATCACTGGTGCTATTCTTAGGCACACAGTTCCTACATTCTGTTAGGGAAGGAAGCCTCCTGGATTAGTTTCTTTCCCAGAGGATTATGGAGCATCCTAGACCACCTTTCACAGCCTGTACATGCTTTCACCTTGTTCAGTGTTTGGTCAGGAGGAATGTCCTGGTGTTACATGGGACATGAGACTCCACAAGATTTTGGATGCTATCAGAAGCTGGTCAATCTATCTGCCTCATACATTTGAAGGCTTGCAGCAACTGGATATAATCTCGCTCATCATTTAAATATTATATCACCTCTCCCTTCCAAGCAGTTAAAAATTTCTAAATTTCATGGTCACACACAGCCATTTATGAAAGATCTCTGAGAAAGATGGCTTCAAGGGTCTCTCAGCAGATAATTCAGAGGCTAATATCCTCTCTAGTCAGTTTTTCGTGAAGTTGAAACTAAATATTTGCAACAGTGAAAACTCATTTCTCTTTAGCATTATTCTGAGACGTAACATAAACTTGCAAAGTATTATAATAAATTACCTGACAGATGAATTTCAAAAACACTAATAGTAACAGGCTCTTTAATAATAAGACCAAGAAAAAATAAGTACTTAAAGCAATAATCTATGAAAAGCTGCTAAGTGGAGTGCCCCAGAAGGCACTCACCAAAATGGAAAATGTGCAACATGAAGGAATGGTGTTGGGTGGGGCCTTGAAAGAGAGGGAAAATATTGCTACGAATCACAAGAGTCCACAGCAAAATCCATTGAATACCTGCTCTGGGACAGGGAGTGAAGATCATAGTAAGTAAATTGCCCAAGATTCCTCTGCTATTTAGATATAGAAACAATATACAAAACACTCAGCAAGCCCAAGGCAAGGCACTTCATAATGGTTATGCTCTTAGCAATTCACAATGATGAACTGGAAAAAGAAGGGAAATTAGGTCCATGAGAAATTTGTGGCCAACTTTTTACTTCTATAACATATTCCACCCCAGACAGCAACAGACCATGGCAGAACAGACACTGTTGGTTCTCTAATCAACAGGTATTCCCTTTCTTCTTTTGGAATAGAACCTTAATTGTTTTCCAGTATTGCCAGGAATAGGAATGTGTTTCAGGTGGGGCTGTGTCCATGCCCAGCCCCAGGAGGTAAATTTGGATTAATTTAAACCAGCCATGATCATTCTATCTTCCTTGACAGTGGAAGACTTGGAATTCAGTCCTGGCCAATAAGATATTAAGTGCAGTCCCCTGGATTAGTTTTATGAGGTTGTGATGACTGGAAAAGCAGCAGCCATCAAATTACCATGAGAATACAAACTTGAAAATTGTGCAAATAAGTTGAGTAGACAAGGTTAAAATATATGGCCATGCCTGCAGTTTATGAGTTAACTATACTGGGACTGCTAGGCTTCCCAACCGAGAAAGAACTGCATTAAATGTTGGATTTCTGGAAAGTGACTATGGTAAAGGGAGCAAATAAGAAATTTAGCTTATTTTTTCCCTCCCTCCCTCCCTCCCTCCCTTCCTTCCTTCCTTCCTTCCTTCCTTCATCCATCCTACTTTAGTGGTGGTGAAAGAAATAAGATAAAGAATCTGAATATTCTGTCAGCTTATCCATTCCAAAAATGTTTTCTAATCAAGGAGGTGAGAAAGAACAGTAGTGCTAACATGTGAAGCAACAACAGCAGCAAAAAGTTATCCTACAGCCGAGCACTAGCGGACTAGAAGTAAAGTGTCTGACTGAAAAGAACTCCTTTTATATGGTATTAAATGTCCACTGATATGGGAAATATGAGAACCTTTTAAAAACACAGAAAACCATGTCCAATGAGTTGAAAACATAATTCACTTATGAATCAATTTTTTTAGAAGAAAAGTGAGTAAGAAAAACAAACTAAGAGGAAGGAGGGATTGATCCTTGTCCCATGGCTCTCATGAATCATAGTATAAATTAGTGCAGAGCTTCCCCTATGCACACAGGGAAGGTAACACATGATCCATTCATTCTCGAAGTATTGTTGATACAATAAAATAATAAATGGTAAACTGCTTTGAAAAGCATGACATTAATATTAATCATCCTCATAATAGCATGTTATGACAAATGTATTTCATTTATGCAATGCTTAGTTCATCACATGTAAAACATATTACTTCAAAGAAAATATTACAAACACAATTTTTTAGATATGAAAACTAAGGCTTAGACATATTCTTATTCATCTAAATGTACATAGCTAATTAAATACAGAACTATTTATAACCCACAATTTCATATATATGCAAATTTAGTGAAGACTTTTCATCTTTCTTTCATTCCCTTTCTCCATTTACAATGGACCTGTCCCAATCTGTTATCTATTTTTTCCATATACAATAGGGTAGAGAATTGGCCTACAGGGTTTTTTCAACCTATCTCTTAACAAACTCAGGAGTGGTTGACTCTATGGAGGTTAATCATTGCCAAGTGAATCTTCCTTTATCCTTCAAACTCAAGGACAGTTTAGACCATTCAAACACACTGGACACATTTCATACCTAACTAGAGCATAGAGTGGTCTCCTGCACAAATTCCTCCATACACTTGTAGAAATGCAAGTCTGTTCATCATTAATCTTATGATATGGAAAATAGTTCATTTGTATGGAAATAGCTGAATTGGGATGATGTGTTTCTTGTTGAAAATGAAACACAGATTTCTGATTAAAAGCCAAATCTCGTTGTGAAAAGGTCAAAAACGATGGCTTCAAATAAAATTATTTCAGCTCTATTTTATGCAGGTCACTGATGAAATGCCCTGTCAAAATGTGAATGGTTTTCTGGTGTTTCTGTGTGATTGCAAATTAAAAAAAACCCCTGCCACTTAAAAGTTTTAAAAGTAGATACGTATTGAACACCTAGATACATTTTGGATGTATATAATTTGTGTTTTATAAATATGTAAATAAATTTGAAAGGCATTAGATAATAAAGTTGTATAAACATACATATAATTAGGATCCCAAATTATCCTTACTATTGCATATTGTGTAAATCAAGGTTATAGTGAGCATTATATACCTAGTAAAAATGAATATCAGGTATTTTATGACTCAGCACTTTTTCTCAAAATATATGGGTGTGTGTATAAAAAATGACTACATATACCCTTGAATACATGTGTAAAAAATGCATATGCAAGCACTATTCATAATAACAGAAATGGAAATAATTCAAATGTCCACTAGCAATAGAGTAGAAATATAAATCCATGTATATTCATAAATGATATAATACAGAGCTATGAAAGAAGCACACTATAGTAACATGCAAGACAATGGATGGATCTCACAGACAATATTGTACGAAACAAGTCAAACACAAGAGAAGGCATATGTATAATTTCATCCATGTAAAGTTTAAGAATAGACAAATTTTACCTATGGTGTTAGAAGTTAGAAAATGTCTCTTGGGGGCTTTGGAAATATGAATTGGGATGGGTTATGATGAAATGTCTGGGATGCTGGAAATGCTGCCTTTATTAATCTCTGTGCTGCACGTATTGGTAAAAATTCACAAGTTGCATACTCAGGAGTTGTGTGTGTTAGTGTAGTACTTGAATACCTAATTAAATTAATTTAATCACAGCTCCTAATTTTGTAATTCTATATTAGAGAGAATAATTCCGTAGATTTAGTGCTAACTTATGATTTTAAGAAGCCTGTGAATGGGCAATCCAGGGTAACCTAGTTTATATTTCCTATGACTAGCTCCACAGTAACTAGTAGATAGAACTAGGGTTTCCAGCTTTCCTGTAAACTATAATAGTTGGCTAGCAGTAAAGTTGAAACTAATTTTCATGCAGATTTATAATAATAAGATATTTTTGAATTTCATTCCAGTTATTACACTGTTGAAAGAAATTATATACTCACCACTGTCTTTATTAGAAAAGTACTGTTGAGTTATTTTAGTTAATACAGCTTTCTTCTATCTGGAATGGATTTTTAATCTACAATTATACTCCAACAATATTAATGATTAAAATATGACTATTTAGGTACAATTAACGTTGCATTGCGGGCTACTTTTTTAATTTTTACAGAAAGAATAATAAGAAGTTCTTTCTTATTGCATTTATGAAAACATTGACTTTTATGTAGGTTATTTTGTATTCAGTTTGTCATGCATGGTGTGCCCAGAGATCTTTGAACCAGGCAAGATTTCACAGTTCCCTTTAAATAGTGCTTTGAGGGATAATGGTTGTAGTTAGGAAGCTACTTTACATTATTCCTTTTATTTTCTCGCCAATGTCCTTAACTGTATTTTAATGATTTTGATTTCTAGATAATGATATTCATTCTCACAGACAAGGCAGCTCAAATTCCATCTAACTATTTTATGCATTCACTCTTTCTCATTACATTATCTTTTGATATAGGAAGGTTTTGTGATTTTTTTTCTCTGATTTTTGAAGTCAGAGGGCTTTGACTCTTGATTATCTAAGGGCTGTTTCAATTGAGTTAGCCCAGTTAACTGGAGTGTATCACTAATGAAGTCAAGTTTTAGGTTATAGCTATGGAAGGGGAAAGAGACCTTACCCATAAATCAGGTGAGCTGTCCTGTAAATATCTCCCAAGAGCCTGGAGACATAAGTGTTTGGGTCCCTCCCTTCAACAGTCAATATCAATGAATCAATAAAATTAAAGCACTTTCTCAACTGATGAGAGACTTAAGTACAAATATCTGACTTTTCAGAATTTCAATACCATTGATAACATGTAAAATGCATTGCAATATTTGTTATATACTCTTCAGTTTATTATTCCAAAAGGAAAGCTAAAATTAGGAGCCTAAGATATGGCGGGCTCTGTATAGTGCCTGAAATGTAGGGAAGAATATGACACAGTCCAACACCTCAGGTAATTTACACCTAATTGAGGAAAGGGGCTGTGTGTAAAGATGCATTGATCACAAATTACCATTTAGAGTGCATTACAAAAAATGATATGCAAGACAGAGATGGCAGAAAGGAGGAAGTGAATAACTATAAGAATGGTCACAGGTGGGTATGGAAATCATACAAAGTTTTTTGAGAAATCAAAATCTTTATGTAGCACACCTTCCAATTTCCCTTCTTATCTTTTCCACCTAGCTTTTCTTCCTGTCCTGTAGTATAAATGTTGTTGATAAGGTAGGATGGTTAGCTCCATGTGTCAACTTGACTGGGCTAGGGGAGAGCTGATGAAACATTATTTCTGGGTGTGTCTGCGTGGGTATTTCTAGAAAGGATTAGCATTTGAATCAGTGGACTGGGTAAAGAAGATCCACTGTCACCAACATGAGCATGCATCTTCCCATCCTTGGAGGGACTTCTCAGCCTTTATAACCTTGTGAGCCAAGGCCTATCATAAATGTCCTCTTACAGATTCACATATATCCTATTGGTTGTGTTTCTCTAGAGAACACTGACTAATACTTACCATCACCAATAAACTTCACTTTCAAATTAGTTTAAGTACTTTTTGTTTTTTTTTTGTTTTCTGAACCCCTCTGCTACTTTGCTAGTGATAGATCCTCTCTCCTCTTCAAAAAGTCCCTTCCTGTAGCTTCTGTGCCAAAACTCTCTGCTGGATTCTCTATTTCTGACAATTTTTTTAAAAAAATTTCTACTAAAGGTTTTTATTTTTGTTTCTCCATAAAAACTAGCAAAACTGTTTGGTTTCCGCACTTCTCTGTCTACAAATTCTTAACCTAATTACTATCTCTATGATTCCCTGAATTTTGTCTCCAACCTATACCTCTCCACGGATCTCCAGACCTACCTTGGAAAACGTGTTTAAAATGCATGCACACACACACACACACACATTTCATGAAGGAAAATTGAAACTAAGTTTTGAAAGGTAAATAAGTTGGCAAATAGAATGAGGACACATAAAAGTACTTGGCAGAGAAACAACATATGAAAATGGACTCAGGCCTGGAGGCACGAAATGACAGTTTGAGTTGTAGAACCACACTTTGCTCTTGGCTGTTGTACAAAATGCAACAGGCACATGGCAGGAAATAATATCATAAAGATAAGGAGAACCAAATTTAAACTAAAAGCTCAAACCAAAATGTATATAGTCTGCTTAAACATTGAGATTATTATTATTACTTTTATTATTTTTATTCCTACAGGAGACGCAGTGTGTGAATGGAGAATTTTAGGGAAGAAATGACAAGTAATGACAAGGTAGATGTACGTGTGTGATAGATGAAAATGAGATGGCTGGAAGGTGCTTTGCCTCCAACTCTATCATTTTCCTTCCATCAGCCTCCACCATGAGGACCATGGTGTTGTCCTCTGCATCTTTTATAACATCTCACTTAAGGCCCAGGCCTACTCAGGTGTCAGGCTTAGCAGTCTTTCACTATTTTCAGAATAGCCCAAAAATCCTCAGAAAAAAAGTGATGTTTAAAATTTTGAGTAGCACACTCTATCAGTAAAGCAAACAGAAAAACACAACTTTAGGGTATCCCAGTAAAGGCATATTCATTTATATAATATATGTATGTCCTGCTGCAGTAACATGCAATAAATCTTATAAAACACGCACTTGATAAATTTTAAAATTATTTTGAAAAGGTAAATGTAAGTACTTTTAAATAATCAATGTCTTTTAAAGATCTTTTTTATTACAATATGTATGTGTGTTGTCAGTATATACATTTTTTATATAAATATTTGAGTACTTCATAGATACAAAATTCATATATATGTGAGATAGATATATACATATGTGTTCTCTCCATATATATGTATGTGTATATATATAATATGATTGCTTATGCTTAATTACTTTTGAGAATATTGATTTATCACTTTTGTAACAGCATTTCAAAGAGCTGCTTCTGAGTTCAGTTTATTTTGGTATTGTTTTCGATAATTGTCATATATAAAAAACATACCCTCCACCATGAAACAATTTACAAAATATGCACTTAGGCATGCTGCTTATTAACAATGGTGGTAATGTATCTGTATTCACATTTTAAGCAGTTTTTTTTTATTATTACAGTTTTACTGTTGCTTTTTGTTACGTATGATTAGAGCCTCATTTATTTACCACTATGTTTCAAGCAAAGCATTTATACTAGAATTAGAAGTGTCAGCTCTGACAATTTTTATTGTTAGTTTAGCTTGCATTATTGATATTATCTTCATTTTATAATTTCCTTGCAGGTGTCTTTTGAAGTTCCATGTCTATTTTGTAAGAGTTACCTGAGTTGAAATTATACCAAATTGTAAATTCATTTATCCAGGCAGATAAAAGCTGCAATACATTGCAATATACTGAAAATAGATAGATAAATGAGGGCACCACTTTGACTCCTTTGAAACAGATAAAGCGAGGGGCTTGAAAGTATAATTTCAAAAATGAATTATAAACAGAGTGTTCTCCAAATACAAAATAAACACTTTTTAATAATTTTATTCATTTGTATATCTTCTTTTGAGAAATATCTATTCAGACCTTATGCCCATTTTTAATAGGGTTATTAGATTTTTTATTGAGTCCTTTGAGCTTCTTGTATATTCTGGTTATTAATCCCTTGTCAGATGGATAATTTGCAAATATGTTCTCCCATTCTGTGGGTTGTCTCTTCACTTTGTTGATTGTCAACTTTGCAGTGAAGACTTTTTAACTTAATGTGATCATATTTGTGCGTTTTCACTCTGCTTGCTTGTGCTTTTGAAATAAGCTAAGCGCAGAAAGACAAATTTCTCATGTTCTCACTCATTTGTAGAAGCTAAAAATTAAAACAATTGAACTCATGAAGACAGAGAGTAGAATGATGGTTGCCAGAGCCTCAGAAGGGTAGTAGGGGAGTGTAGAAAATGGGGGTGGTTAATGGGTACAAAATATCATTAGATACAATCTATAAGATTTAGTATTTTATGGCACAACAGGAGATTACAGACAGCAATAATTTGTTGTACATTTTAAAATAGCTGAGGGAGTACAGTTGGAATGTTTGTAACACAAAGACATGATGAGTGCTTGAGGTCATGGAAACCACATTTACCTTGATGTGATTTGTAAACACTGTGTACTTGTATTAAAACATCAAATGTACCACATAAATAAATACACCAACTATGTACCAATACAAATTGTAAAATACAAAAGAAATAAGTAACATTTTATTCAGCTAATTAATTAATTATGTAAATAGCAAGAGGGAAAAGATAGCTCAAAGAACTATTCAGGATGTGAGTATTTACAGGCCACTTAATAAAGGAATATTAGAATAAGATCACTTGGTTTTAATTCCTAGAGGCCAATAAAATATAATCCTCAGGATTAAATTTGTACTTGGCATTTCCATTTCTACTAGGAAAACTTTTACTAATTACCATGTGACTTCACTAGTCTGAGATTTTTAACAAGAAATGCATGGTGATTTGAACAAAGTACATTCCCTTATACAAAGTAATTTGTAAGTACGTATACCTGTGCCCTGTGCCAAACACCTTTTGTACAATTTCCCAATTAAAAATTGTTTTCCTTAACACTTTGAAATGTGCTGTTTTAATAGTAAGGATAAAATGGATGAACAAAATTGACCTAACTTGAGATACTAATGCATAATATGCTACAATCAAAATCTGTAATATTCCATTTTCAGTTTCTTTCTCTAGGGGTTGCTATTTGAATCATCAGGATCACAGAAGATATTCTGTTGCATGTACTCTTAAGACTGATAGAGAAATAAATGCATTGTGCAATTGTTTTTATACTATCACTGATAAGCTTTGACTGCGTGCCCACTGAAAGCCAACAGTTCTATCTTATGCATAGAAATAAACAGATAGCAGATAAATAACACAGCTTCATCCTTTAAGGGTTTTTAAGTCTCCAAAAGACAATGCAGAGAGCACAAAAAAGCCAATGGAATACATGGAAATCTCTTTTCATATTTTTATTATTTTCTCAACTAGTTATTGTGGACTTATATTGGGTTGTTTGGGAAATAGATTCCAATCTGCATTTTTTATAATATTATTTACATGAGGGGAGAGAGAAAGGGAGACACAATGAAGTATAGAAAAGCAACACAACAGAAGTCTGTAAGGTTACACTGTGACACAGAGTAGAATATGGCAAACCTTCCTGGAAGTGTGTTGGGAAGAAATTCAAAGAGAAAGTGATACTTTAAATCTTGAAAAATTGGAAAACCTTCTTGAGGTGGACAAACAAGATGAAGAAAAGCATGACAATTGAGATAGCAGTGAAACCCAATGTGAGATTTTAAACATCACTACACGTTTAGGGAAATGGATGTGGTTCTACGTGTGAAATAGAGCATGAGGAAAAGGAAGGCTGGAGAAATCCACAAAAGACAGAATAATGTGCGTCTTCTAAATCACACAAAATATTTTGGACTTTGTCAATGACGAACATCCTCTAACACACTGCAGGCCCTCTTCATGAAGAATGGAGATGCCAGTTCGGCTTTTTCAACATCAGAATCACTGATCGACTCCCATTATACTCTCCTGATTTCAATTGACTTTTGATACATAGGTCATTGCCAATGCTATTAGCTTAGCACCTTCTATCTTCCTATCAATTTTTATCAGTAATTATCTTCATTATTGCTATCTGCTGAGTGGGCAGGTTGAAAATAGATCTAAAGTTTATTAATCTTAAATCTTTAATCGTTTAAATATTGTTATCACATGGTGCCAAGGGTTTGCTATGGGGTAGTATGGAGAAAGCGGGTAGAGAATCATTGTTCAATTATCATACTGGATTCTACTAGACACTTTATCACTTTGGATGAATCGTGCCATCTCTGCTAGACTCAATTTCTTCACCAATAGAATGGAAATTAGCCGCTATAAGTGGAGAATGCCATTCAAATCCTCTCAGGGTTGCCTTTAAGAGTTAAACTCTAATGACTACACATATGCAAAAGATAAAGTGCCTGCTCAGGAAAAGAATGGAATGTGTAAAACTCAGCTATTTAGCTAAAAGCAAAAGCATTTCAAAATAAAAGAAATGGGCAAACAAAGACTAAGCCGATCTTTAATAGCCAGGTTGACAAGGGCCCCTCTAGGGATTTTTCAGAAGAGATGAGGTCCCCAGTGTGAGTAGAGTCATCATGTCTTCACAACTGACGTGAGCAAATATTTTAAACATTTAGCTTTGTTCCAAAGTGTTCCTTGCCTAGCACCTTTGAATTGCAATGCAATTTCTCAATTTTATTTCTACTCATGGAAGGGGAAAGTATGAGTGAAAGGATAAACTCTTACAATCCACAAATAGCTAATTTATAATGTGCAATGACAAAACTGGTAGTCTGAGTTAAAATCTTGGTTACTTATGAACTTACTCGTGGGTGTCCTTCTTCAAGTCTACGTTTATAAAACTACTGTCATCTTTCTTCATTAATGTGACTAAATCTTTTTGCCTGTTGCTGAAGATCATATTGCTCTTGATAAATGTACCACATGTGTTTTGTGGTGATTTGTTGTGGTGGCAGTCCTAGCCTAGAGACTACATACAATGTTTCTTTCATATTTCAGATGGAGCAATTACGTTTGTGTTAATCATTTCACAAGATTGATACGAGGCACCATAAAATTGAAAAGTAAGAAATAAAGGAGGCTAGATTACTGCCACTGTTTTTCAAATTTCACCAAAGAGATTATAATTAGTCCATTACAATTTGTGCATTTATAGCCTCTAACATCTAAATCACTATTATTCCAAAATGAAAAGAATGAGTGATTATTTTACTACTCTACTAGATATTTTTACTAAAGAATTTTCCTAAAAAATTAAATACTAATATTAAGAGAAATAAGTCTCTTAAAGAATTTTCACCACTATATTAGTGAATTGATGTAAGAAAAATAAATTACTCAGTTAAGAACTTCATTTATTTACATTTAACCCAGGTTTCATCCAAGCTCTGCAGTCTTTTAATACTGTGAAAGAATATATTATCTGAAGACCTTTCTGAGTAAACAGAAATTCATACCATCATCATTACTATTGGAAAATATTAATAATATTCTAAATATTCTTAAGAGCTTGGAATAGTCTAAATTTGTAAATAAGGTGATGATATTTAGGGATATGCCTTTAAAATATCACATGGTAGTGGTACCACTTAGCAGGCCTGACAGGAGTTTATTTCTCTAGAAGAATGAATTTAGGTTTGATGTTTTAATTTACTATTTGAGTAGAGCTCAGTATTGTGAAGTTGCATATTAACTTGTTAATTTATTTTCCGTAGTAAAGATAAGCCCCAGAAATAGATTTTGATTGCCTAATATAGGAGTAACTCATTTTAATCTAACCCTTCCTTCCCTTCCTTCCCTTCCCTCCCCTTCCCTCCCCTCCCCTCCCCTTTCCTTCTTCCTTCCTTCCTTCCTTCCTTGCTTCCTTCTTCCTTCCTTCCTCTCACTTTCTCTCTCTTCTCTTTCATGTGCTGCAAATCTGTCATTCCTCAAATGCTCTTGCTACTAGCTTACTATTTTTACTGGTCCCTGCACTGATGATTTTAATAAATCTTTGATCTTTGTCCTGTGCATTATTTTAGTTATTGGTACAGCTCATGTTTCAAAGTGTTATATGTGTATATATACACATATATATGTACACATGTGTGTTTATATATATATATAACCTATGTTAGTGTTTGGATCATGAAAAGCACACAAAAATATTAGCTATTAGTATTATTCTCTTGGTAGTATAACTCAGAGATTAAAGATATAGATTTTAGAATGAGGCACATTAGATTTAAATTCAAGCTTTGGGTCATATAAATTACGTAAATTTGAACAGATTCTTTAAACCTTTCTAAATTCCTATGATTAATACAGAGATACAGACAGTGACAGCAACCACCTCCTTTGATTGTTGTGAGGATTAAGTAACATTAAGCATTTTAAAGTTCTTGGCAAAATTCTGATACTTCCTAAATGTTTAATGTTACTATTAATCAAATAAAAGGAACTTGTTCTCAGAATGTGGATGTAATAAACAATGCCTATGATGGATTGTGCAGTACTATATCTACAAGAGAGTAGAAGGGCACTTATGCTTCTATAGCCATAATAACGAGAATAAAATTACCTGTGTTTTAGTAGATCTCCCATCAAATGCCAGTGAAGTTGGTAAAGAAACATTTCCCGTTTTCTTAATGTGCAAATTGCTGAAATGGATTTTCTTAAGTGAAAGATTTCTACTCCTAAATCCTTTTAAGTGTGTCCTAGTTCCCAGAAGAGAGGTTTAAAATTGCTCCCAGGCACCAGACACACATTTCAAAGTGCAATATTCAGTGAGCCCTTCAGAATCTGCTTAATAATGAACACATGTGTGTTGACACGAGGCTAATATAGTTGATATATTGATTATAGTCCCTCTGAAATATGAACTTTTTCTGCCTAACCAAGTGTCCTCAAGAAAGAAATGCAGAATCTCTGTCTGGACCAATTAGAAGGTACACAAATTTGACTTGTCCTACAACATCACAGACCTCATATTAATAAAATAACTGAATTGAATTTTCCTCTTTTTGTTTTTCCCTTGTGCAAATTAAGTAAAGAATAACTGGCCAAGGGCCAGGAGGCGTGCCTGTGATTAACTAATGAGGAATCCTTACAAGGACGGTGTCAATCAGAGTGTGTGGGGGGGGAACAGAGTTCCAATAAATGGGTTTTGATTTGAGCTAGAAAAAAGAGCACGGCTAAGATGAGAGGCAGAAACAAGTAAAGAGCAGTCTCATTCCTCAAACAGTCTGCCATAATCATGTTTGGAAACAATTTTAAACATAAAATGGTTTTCATCTACCACCCAACTTCCTCGTAGGCATCCTCTCTTACTGCCAGCTTTCGTGTGTATAATATTACGCTAACACAAGTGCAATTAGGAAGCTAGCCTACTACCAAACATGTTTACCCATGTAGGAGTGAGATCACATGCTATTAAGCATTCTCTGATCAAGAAAGTGTTGGTGGGTAACATTTTTAAAAGACGAATGTGGTTTTGTAGGAGACAAGCTCTATGTTTACACTGTTGTGCTGTCACATATGCTCTGTGTGACCTTGGGGAACTTCCTTAAGCAATCTAGGCTTAGTTTTCTCATCGGTGAAATGTTAATAATATGACCAGAACTTGAAAGAATGCTGTTAAGACTAAACAAGAGCAGAAATGTTGAGATGATTCACTGAGATGATGGATGTGAAAACACAGTTCCTGACATTTAGTATATAGCAAATTGATGTTAGTTTTCTTTTGTTAATCTGTTATGGCTCCCCACTAATTAATCTTAATTAATCCACATTATTGTTCCTTAGTAATTAGCATAGACCTTACTGCAGTCTTTGCTTGCATATTTGTTTCCTGAGAGAGGTCTCTCAAGATGTGTGGCTATCTCAAACATCAAATTCTGCCCTCTTTGAAAGTTGCTGGGCAAGGGAATATTTTGTAAGGCAATAGTGTGTCTCTCTATGCTGATGCATACATGACTGATCCAAAACAGACTCTTTCCTGAAGCACCATCATCACAGTTTCTTTATAATCCATTACCCAGATGGGTATAGTTTTTACTTTCGAGAAAAACTTGTAAGCTGAGTGTTACATAATGAGCTGGGAGTCTAAGTAGAATAAAACAATGGGGACTTACCCCACCATGGAAATCATGTGGTTTTATATAAGCAAAAAGCCAGGTCACTGAACTACCCAGTGTGTATCTGCTTTATAATATAGACAGAAAGGTCTGTGGTCAGATATTTTAAAGAATCTACTTCTGCTTTCCAAGTCCCTTCATCTCCATTGGTTGAATCAACTGTGGGTCCCAGAGGAATTTACTTGAATCCTAAAAGCATGTGTTCTGCCATGTTTCCAGAATTTCTCCATATTTTAACCTGATAGCTTTGTCTGTTAAATCCAGGATGTGCCCACCATCTTGCACCTGACATTGTAGTAGTCATTACCTGTGTATATGTATTCTTTTAAATATGGTAGTTCTTTATTTACTTATATGTATTGTCTGACTCTTGTGGAATATTCTGGTTTACTTTTTCTCATTACCTTAAGAATCTAGACATTTGTAAAGTACAACGAGTTGGTTAAATTTCCCTAAATCAGAGTTAAATTGTGATGTATCTGACCTAATAGCCAATGTCTGAGAGAACAAGTTTTGTTGTTGTTGTTTTTTGTTTTGATTTTTTTTCGGGGGGGGTGGGGGGATACAGTCTCACTGTGTTGCCCAGGCTGGAGTGCAGTGGGTGATCTTGGCTCACTGCAACCTCCACTTGCCAGGTTCAAGCAATTCTTCTGTCTCAGCCTGCCGAGTAGCTGGGATTACAGGCATGCACCACCATGCTCAGCTAATTTTTTGAATTTTAGTAGAGACGGAGTTTCACCATATTTCCCAGGCTGGTCTTAAACTCCTGACCTCAAATGATTCACTCGCCTTGGCCTCCCAAAGTGCTGAGATTACAAGCGTGAGCCACCGGGCACTGATCAGATGGTGAAGATGACCCATCTTATGGACATTTACTGGCTTTTTCTTTCTAACATCCTGTTGCTTGCTGACAGCATACACGAAAAATTTCAGATGCAAGGCATCTGAAATTGAGTCTTCTGTGAGCTCAACAACTTGAAATTCCATGACCTGGAGTTGATGTGACAGTCACAACTGCTGGGTGCCCAAACTGAGCCCCTCGTTGGTGTCATTTTACCAAGGGGACATACAAGACATTTCACAGGAGTTTGATTACTTTGTGCCTTTTGTTTATGGAGAAGATATTTATTTGTCTTTAGGGAAATATGAGCTTATTCTGGAAAGTGATTTGTGTTTCTACCACACAGGACTCTAGCCAGCACAAACATTCTGCCTCATAAATTGGCATGGAATTTCACATATGATCACCTCTTACCAAGATACTCATTTTATGGATAAAGAAGCCTGACAATGGGCTCAGACTTAGGAAACTCTCTGATATTTCCTTATTATAATCACATCATTGGACCCAAAGCCAATTAGAAGACAATACCCTAACAGGTTAATGACCGTTCCTTCAAAATGCAATATAAATCTCAAACTAGCTATCCAGGATCTGCTACAATTTCCCCATAGCTAGAATACCAAAGAGATGGTAGGTGGAGCTCTATGTCTCATTATTACATCAGATACAATGTGTAAGAAACTTTTGTTCCTTATCCTCTCAATCATGGCTTCATGAGTTCAAAAGTCCTGATGGCCGAGATGGCTCCCACCGTGAAACACATTTGTGGTTTTAAAAACTGAATTTTGAAACTGAGATCTCACCATTTGGGGTACTTCATGCCACTGAATCAAAAAGCAGGGCAGGGGTCAACTGAAGAGGCTGGTGTGATTGATTATAAATATGATGGAGAAACTGGATGAGTGTTACACAGTGGGTGCAAAAAGGAATATGTGCATATCCTGCAGGATTTATCCCAACACCTTGGAATGTTTTTATTTTCAATAATAAAAGTCAGTTGGACATCATGGCAACCAAAATACAATAAGCAAACAAAAATTATCACTGTTTCTAACAAATTGTTGATTTTCTGAAAATTGAGTCATTGGGAAAAATTTCTGAGGTGCCAAGGATGTAGAAGAGGGCAACAGGAACACAGACTAGCAAGAGAGAAAAGATAGCTACAATTATTAGTTGGGCTTCAAGACCAGCTACACAATCAGGGACTTTAGTGATGATGCTTGGGTTATTTTTTTTTTTTTTTTTTTTTGCTACTGTATATGAAGAACACTGGTGATTGTCAACATCAGTCAGACACCAATATGAGGAACGGAATGTGTTGGAATTAATTCCACCATAATATTGATTGGATTTGTTTCACATGCTTTGAAGTTATGCTTTATGCTTTTACTTCCAAAGAAAGGACAAGATCAATGCTACAGGACAAAATAAATGGTCTCTACTATTTATTCTCTGTTGTGCCCATACATACATTCTCCATCCTTCTCTGCTCGGCTTTGTGCTCTGGAAGAAACACAGCTGTTGGCTGGTTATTCTAGGCATCTTGTCTTCTGTCTTCCACACTCAGAGGATGGCACAGCCATCTTATTCCCACAGTCTCTTCTCTACAAATTGGCAATGGCCATGGTTTTCTATCCTCTCAGGTCATCAGTCAACCTTTCTATTAGACCTACTATCTTTTGAGTTTCCAATATGATTTAGGGCTCCTAACAGCTTCTTTCTCATTCTTACAATGCCCTGAGTGCTACACACATCTTCTTGGTATTTTTAACACTGTTCAGACCTATGGAAATAGTCCATTTTTTAAATCTTCACTTAAGTAAACCCTCTGAGTGTGCCATCTGTTTCTTTAAGGGATCCTCTGGAGACCCAAATATTTGGTGAATTTTATCTATCAATGTTTTAAGATATTTCCATTTGCAGCTGTAAGTGACATTAATCTATTGTTTTCTTTGTGTGCAATTTTATCAGATTGTGCTACTACTCTGCTGCTACATCCTGTCATGTATCTCACTGAGTTTTATAACTCTCTATTTTAAACTTAAGATTTCACAAAAACCTGCAAAGACAGGATAGACAATGTCCATCTAGGCTTCACCCATACTTATCCATATTATTTGATTTTTAAAATTTACTGATTGGTTTTATCCAACTTTATTGTTTTTACTTGCAAACTTGGCTATTTTTTCCATGATACTTTGCCCTTTTTCTTATACCAAGCCTATTTTTATAGCACTTATGTTTTAAATGTGTAATTTTTTTAAGTTTTGTGGTATTCAGCATCAACTTTTGTATGTTTTATGATCCTTATGCTTGGTAGATTACTTGGTCATATCATCTGTAATTTCTGTGCATGCATATGAAGCCATATTTACACATGGCTTCTTCTTTAGTCGATCTTTCCCTTGGCTATGATAGTGTTTCTGTTACCAGTGATGAAAACATATGAGGCTGCAGCAAACTTCATCCTTGACTCCTCAAAGAAAAGAATTCAGCCGAGGGGCAGAAGTAGGTTTAAAGCAGAGGGAGAGACTGAGACAAGTTTTAGATCAGGAGTGAGAGTTTACTTAAAAGTTTTAGAGCAGGAGTGAAAGGAAGCAAAGTATACTTGGAAGAGGGCCAAGAGTGGGTACTTGAGAGATAGGAGTGTGCCACTCAGCCCTTGACTTGGGGTTTTATACATTGGCATGATCCAAGGTTTTCTTTTCTCCTCCCTTGATCCTTCCCTTGGGATGGGCTATTGCTCAGCTTCCACATTCACAGTGTTGGTCAGCACTCGGGAGGGTGACCGCATGTGTATTGTGTTTACTAAGGTTGTGTGCATGCTCTTTTGGGGGCTATTTTATTTTACTGGTTGAACACCCTCAAAGAAAGGTCATACATCTGCCATTTTTCCTCTTAGTGCATATGCTTGAGCCTGCTGGCCTAACTCCTGAGATCTTATCCGGAAGCTACTGATCACTAGCTGCAGGTATTTTCTATCTGTTGAGCAGCTGTTTTCCCTTGGCACCAGCTGTGATCAATTATCATTTCAGAGAGACAGTTTAACAACCGCCTGACCATCACCGGATGATCACCTGTCATTTCTGGGATTGTTCTCTGCTTCCCTGTTCATGTCTGCCTAACTACCTACTCTAACATTTCTAGAGCATGGATGTTGAAAGCCTCTCTTGGGTTCCCTGGGTGATCACTGTTCTGAGGCTAGTTTTTAAATTAATATCTCAGCTTGTGTGACCCAAATGCAAAGTTTGATTTTATCCACTTGGAGTTTGTATTTCTCAAGGGAGATTTCTTTCACCACTCATTTACCTGATGCAGGGCAAAACTTCCTCAGGGCTTCCCTGTAGTAGTGAACTCATTTTTAGGCTTTCTATCCCCAAGAGGGCACTTTTTTCTGGTTTCAGATTTCTGCTGAGATTTTAGTTTCAGATCCCCACTTCACATGTATCTAAGGCCAAATTTTCTCCCCTTGTATGTATGTTAATTTACTAGATCAACAACAATTTTCATGTCATTCTTAGCCTTGTTCTATGTTAGTTTGGAAGCTGACTGTGTTGTCTTCAAGTTTTGCTTTGTCTGATACCTGGAAGTATTTTCTCTTTCTTTTAAACTCAGCTAAAAATTACACCTTAAAGATATGCTATCTATCATTTATATGGTGTTTGCATAATTATGTATACTTTCTTATACATAATTTCTTAGTATAATTTTTAGAATTTAAAAAGTATCTTTCCATGAAATCACACTAGAGATTATTCAATTTAATTCAAATACTGTATTATTAGATACTTATCTATATTCTGTGTGCTTACATCAAAAAGACTGACCTGACTCTGTGTGAATGTGTAAGAGTTTTCTTTGAAAATCGTTAAGTGAAAATACTTCTCTTTCTTTGTAGTACTGTCTACAGTCCTGAGGGAAATTCTGTCTCCAGTTACTAACATTTAAAGAAAAGGTAACTCTCCTCTCCTCATTTCCTAAGACAGTCTGGTTACTCTCAATTATTAAACACATATTGGACATCTCTCTGTTTATACCACTCTACTGAGCAATACTAAGAGAGGAAAAAAAGCAATAGGGCAATACTTTCTCTTCAAGTCATTAGGAAAAAGAAATGATTCAGGCGATCCATTGTAATAGAAGATACAATTTGTTAAGAGTTGTAGTAGAGATAAGAAATGCTTTACCTTGGCAAAGATGATATTTTCCTAAAACAGTTATTACTAGACTTCATGGCAGTATCCAAGAAACATCATGAGAAAGGAAAGAAATGGAAAACAAGCCTAGGAGAGAGAAGAGCAAACCAAAGCTCAGAAGTGGGAAAGGGCAATCAGTAGCCCAGGAATGGGGAGGAGCCCGTAGTCTGAATCTGTGGAGTTGGGTAGAGGACATAAGTGACTGTAGGTCTTGGTGGAGTTTGTGCATCAAGAGAATGGTTTGGAAGTTATTGTAGAGTCAGAGCTGCAAAGAGAAAATAGAAGCAATCGTGGAAATATAAAATCATCCGAGTAAATCCCGAAAGTTTGAAGATTCATTGCTGTTGGCTTTCTTCAGACAATGTGTGTACAGTAATAAAAACTAGTTTTCCACTCTTCTGGTTGGCTCTTGACATGCAACCTAGGAAAACACAATTATCTATTCTATTATGACTGTGAATTCACAAAGGCGGGGGTCGGGGGGTATTTACCAAAACCTGCCTTCTAAAATTCTAGTGTTCAAAAGCAATTACAAGTATTATGGTTATTTTGCATTTATATAGCTGTATTTTATTTACAAGAGCTTTTACAACTGTGTGTATATTCGTGATATTTATTTGCTTTCTCTTTCTGCAGTCCTGTGAAGTGTGTCAGGGTTATTGGCCTTATTGTGCAGATTAAACATCTGAGGCAATTAAGATTTGAAGGGAGTTTCAATTTATTTTTGGCTTTGGAAGAACAGTTCACAGGTAACAAGAAGTCCATTTAAAAATGCAAAAGATGGGCTTGCAGAAGATAGCAATAAAAGAAAAACAAATATATTTTGCTTCTAGTAAATTAAGATAAGCCCCATTTCACATTAAAAGCATTTTTAAACTCCAAAGCCTCCCTTTCCATTAATCAGGAGAATATAATGTACTTGCTTAGACCAAAGGATTTTGATGCTGAGACTAAACTAAAAGAGAAAGGCACTCTGCAGCCTTGGCAGGAAACGGAAAAAAGGAGGCAACTGGTAGAAATTAAAGGATGTGCAAACAACAAAACTCACCAAGCCCATCATTCCTCAAAAAGAAAAAAAAAGTTGTACAGTAAATAAACTGTACTTCACAGTTCCAATGCAAAAGGATGGAGTTTGGGTAAAACAATGATAAGCCATGGATACATTGCATTTTTTTTGTCCCAATGTCTATGAAAACAAACAGAAAAGGACAGGCAAAAATCTATAAATAGCACCCGATGCTGAGGAAGAAAAAATAAAATAGGGACTAAAGTTTTCAACTAATGAAAATACAACCCCCAACACCAGCTACAAAACAAAGTTTTTAAAAATTAAATATTATCAGGCATTTGAAGATATTGAAGAACATCCAAATCTAGAAAATTTAAAAACTCAGAATAGAAATGAACAAATGGAAAGAAAGTGTTAAACCAAAATTAATGGACCAAGAAAATTGAAGAAGACACAACCACATGGGACATGAAAGCTGAATCCCAAAATGATAAAGGAAGGATAGATTTGACTGAGAAAGACTGAGAGGGTACTTCAAAATATGCAAAGGTTTTAGAACTTGAATGTACAATGGGTAGTAAACATCAAAAGAGTTTAAAGGATAGAGAAAGTAAGCAAAAACACCCAGAAATATATAAAAATACCTGGAGAAGAACAGTGAAACAATATACTGCTTAGTAACAGTATAAAGTTGGCTTTCCACATCTGTGGGTCCCATGTCAGAAATTCAACCAACTGTGGAAGAGAAATATTCAGGAAAAAATATATAAAAAATAAGTACATAATAATAAAAAAATACATAAAACCAATAAGTATAACAGCTGTTTACATGATATTTACATTGAATTAAGTATTATAACTAATCTGGAGATAATGTAAAGCATACAAGAGGATGTGTGTAGAGTGTATGCAAATACCATGGCATTTTATATCAGGGACTACTACATCTTCAGATTTTGGTATGAGGGGGCGTGAAGGTTAGGGAGGTGTCCTGCAACCAATGCCTTGTAGCTACTAAGGGATGACTTTATATAGAACTGCTATTTAAAATTATAATACAGGGTGGGCCTGGTGGCTCATGCCTGTAATCCCAGCATTTTAGGAGACCAAAGTAGATGGATCACTTGAGCCCAGGAGTTCAAGACCAGTTGAAAACATCGTATCTACAAGAAATACAAAGATTAGCCAGGTGTGGTGTCATGTGCCTGTAGCTCTAGCTTCTTGGGAGGCTGAGGTGGAAGGATCACTTGAGCCCGGGAGGCAGAGGTTTCAGTGAGCCAGGATCACGCTACTGCACTCCAACCTGGGCAACAGAATGAGACCCCATAATATACACATATTTGTATCATCCACTGCAATGTGTCTTGTAGTTCTCTGTGGAATAAGTGGTTCTTGTATCTTAATAGAACTAATAGGCAATGAAGATACAAATAATTATCTAGGCCCTCATGCAGAGCAAATGAGTTATACAACAGTGAAAGAAAACAGGAAGGAGTAGATTGATTTTGGAAGAGCATCATGGAATGCAAGGCAACAGCAGAAAAACAACTTCAAGAAACTCAAATATGTGAGCCGAAGAGCACATTGACCTAGAAATTAGAGCAAAAGTATCATGAATTTCTCCACCAAGTCGTTTGTCCCCACGAAAGTAAACTATCTTGATTTCCGTCCTCAGAGACCAATTTGGCCTTTATCTGAGCTTCATATAAATGGAATCGTACAACATGTGATCTTTTATTTCAGGCTTCTTTTGCTCAACTGCATATTTGTGAGATTCATAGCATATTGCTGTTTCATTTTCATTGCTATATGGTTACAGAACACTTTATTTCTACATTTTGTCGTTTGTAAATATTTAGATGATTCTGTTTTGGCTATTAGGAACAGTGCGATTATTTGTGTACATGTCTTTTGTTGACCATGTGAACCCATTTCTGCTTGAATATACTTAAGAGTTGAGGTGTGTTGAGAGTGAAACGGCTGGGTCACAGGAGATTCTGCCAAATTATTTTCCTAGGGAATTTGACCATGGGCACTTCCACAATGTCACGTGAAAGTTCTAATTTTCCCACAACTTTGCCTTCTGTCTTCTCTGTAGCCATTTGGCAGGTATGCCGGTGAGACCTCATTCAGGTTTTCCTTTGCATCTTCCCAATGTAACTAAGAAGATTGAGCACTATTTAACACATTTACGTGTTATTTTGATTTCCTCTATTGTGTTTGTAACTTTTTCTCATTTTCAACTTTGTTTTTGGCCTTTTTTTTAAAAGTTATGAGTCATTTATATAATCTATACATGAAATACTGCAAAAATATTTAGCATAGATATATTTATTTTCAAAACACCTGCAAATAGAAGTAATTCAGCAGTTTGAATTACAGTCTTGCCAGTCTGTAGCTTGGCTTTTCACAATCTTAATGATTTTTTTTTAATGATCATATGGTTCCTAATTCTAGTAAAGTTAACTTTTTCATTCACTTCTCCTTCATGGTTAGTGTCCCTTTAAGAAAATTCCCTTAACCCGTGGCCATGAGGATATTCTCCTATGTTTACATTTAAGAGATTTATTATCTTATCCTTCACTGATATTTAGATCTCCAAACCATCTGAAAAGGATTTTTCTTCATGGTGTAAGGTAGGGAAATTTTTCTGTCAGTGCTAAATCTCTCTTATTTCCAGCATTTAAAAAAAATCCAATATTTGTTCACTAAACTGAAGTGGACGCTTGTTGAAAATCACATCACCATAGTTGCAAGGATCTGTTTCTATACTCTGTTCCATTGATTTCATCTGTCTTTGTAAGTACAGTGTTGAATATCTTGATTTGAGGGGTGGAGGGAGTTTGTATCTGCAATTTCAAGTGCTTTAAAAATGTTGACACAATTCAAATTATTAATTTTTTTGATATAGTAGACTTTTTCCTTATTTCTATTTACATTTTTTAAAATTTTTATTCACTTTAATTTTATTTTGAGACAGGGTCTCACTCTGTCCCCCAGGCAGAAGTCCAGTGGCAGGATCACAACTCACTGCAGCCTCCACCTCCTGGGCACAAAGGATCCTTCCATCTCTGAGCCCCCAAATGGCTGGGAATATGGATGGGCACCACCATGCCTAGCTATTTATTTATTTATTTATTTGTATAGATGGTGTCTCGTTATGTTGCCTAGGCTAGTATTGTACATGTCTTGTGATGAACATTTACTTAAATTTTAAAATTGTTGGCACAAATGTGACATTATATCTGCCAATTTTTTTACCATCTGTAGGAACTGTAATACAGTAAACTTACATTCCTGGTGTTGGACACTTGTACCTTTTCTTCAATTTTGTTCTCAGGTAATCAGACTTGATGGAGTATATCAATTTTATAAATTTATGAAATAAAAAATTTATGGCTTATTACTAACAAATCTACTTTTGTTATCCACTCTGAATTTTCACCCTCCATTTTTATTTATTTAATTATTTGAGACAGAGTCTCACTGTGTTGCCCAGGCTGGAGTGCAGTAGCATGATCTCAGCTCACTGCAACCTCTGCCTCCTGGATTCAAGTGATTTTCCTGTCTCAGCCTCCCAAGTAGCTGGGATTATAGGCACGCACCACCATGCCTGGCTAGTTTTTGTATTTTTAGTAGAGACGGGGTTTTACGATGTTGGCCATGCTGGTCTCAAACTCCTGACCTCAGGTGATCCTCCCAGGATCACACGTGTAATCCCAGCACTTCTGGAGGCTGGGGCAGGTGGATCACCACTTGAGATCAGGAGTTGGAGACCAGCCTGGTCAACATGGAAAAACCCCGTCTCTACTAAAAATACAAAAATTAGCTGGGCGTGGTGGTGCACCCCTGTAAATACCAGCTAATCTGGAGGCTAAGGCAGGAGAATCGCTTGAACCTGGGAGGTGGAGGTTGCAGTGAGGATTGTGCCACTGTACTCCAGCCTGGGTGAGCAGTGAGACTCCATATCAAAAAAAGAAAAAGAAAAAAAAGAAAAGGAGACTATCTATTAGACAACTGATCTATCTTCAATGTTCAATGTCATGAAAAACAAACAAAAAAGCCCATAAGGCTTTTTTTATGGCTAGATTAGGTAGCATTTCTAGATTAGGATAAACAAAGAACATAACAAAATGAGAAACGTAGAAATTGATTGGATTGTGGATCCTCAATTTTCAGCCCGTGACCCCAAAAAATAGGAGAAACAAGGCAGGGCGTGGTGGCTCATGCTTTTAATCCCAGCACTTTGGGAGACCCAGGAGGGCAGATCACCTGGGGTCAGAGGTCAAGTGTTCGAGACTAGTCTGGCCAACATGGTGAAACCCGTCTCTACCAAAAATACAAAAATTAGCTGGGTGTTGGGAATGGCGCCTGTAATCCTAGCTACTCAGGAGGCTGAGTCAGGAGAATTGCTTGAACCCGGGAGGCAGAGGTTGTAGTGAGCCGAGATCACACCACTGCACTCCAGCCTGGGTGACAAGAGTGAAACTCTCTCTCAAAAACAAAATGAGAAACAGCTTGTGGAAATTTGAACACGACCATTTATAAGATAATATCATGAAAATATTATTAATTTTCTTAGGTGTGTTAAAGAGATTGTGATGTTATAGGAAAACATCTTTATAGAAGAAATACAGTTAAATATTTAGTGGTTTATTACTATGATGTCTTAAACTTATATTTAAGTGGTTTTGCAAAAAAAAATATGTAGTATATATACCTATGTCTTCATGTATGTGCATATATATATGCATATGTGTGTGTGTATATATATATATATATGGAGAGAGAGAGAAAGAAAGAATTATTGTATCATTTTTTCCAGTTTTCATGTTTTAAATAAATGTTATGGTACATGCTAATTGAGAGATGTTGATACATACCTTTACTTGTCTAGCAAGTATCTGAGACCATTTTTGCATGTGAAACATATTTTTACTTTATTTTTTCTAATTTCTGACATTCAGTACTACCTTATTACTGACTGTTGCTGATTACTTCCTTACTAATAATAAATGTAATAGATATAAGAATTGATATTAGATTGCGCAGTTTTATCTAAAAGTCAACTTTTAAAAAGATAATTAATAAGTAATTTGCAAATATTACTTGTTTTACAATATGAAAGATGCTTTTATATGCCACTTTTACAATAGACATGCTAGAAAAACCATAAACTTGTGTAAAGAAAATCCTGAAAAGCCATGTAGTAAAATGTAAGAAAGGCATCGTATGATGGTATACTTCTTAATTTTACTTAAGAAAATCTGTCCTTAGGAAATATTTAGAGATAATTTATTTACATCTTTTAAAGGATGCCCTCTATGGAAACACTTAAATCTTTAGGATATAGAATTTTAAAAAATGCATATTCGAAGGATGAATTCTAAAGAAGTATTAAAATCTTTGTTTAAAAGAGCATCCAATGAAATGGGGAAATACTTCATATATTATTAATAATTTATATATATAATGGGAAAAATTACATTTCTCACATTTTCTAAAATGGTGTATAATATTCTATTTCTATATCTGCATATTTAGTACAAAATTATACTAAAAAATTAACAGTGACAAATACGGGCTAGTGGGATTTTGGGTTAAATGGATTGATTCTAAAGATATTTTTATTGTTTGTATATTCTAGAATGAAATGTTTTACTTAAATAACCAGGAGATTAAACATTCTGCACATGAAACTCATTTACAGGATCTTTAGTTAAAGCAATCTTAGGGCTTTGCCAGTGTTTTAAAATACAATCACACTCTTTTCTCCATTTCTTTCAAGAGAATGTTTGTTTTCAGCACATTCTTCTTTATTCTCCGTAACTTTTCTAGAAAACGTAGTCAGTTATTAAAAGTTTAAATGGAAATGGACTTTGGATATCATCCAAGATAATTTCTTCATTTTACCACAAAGGCTCTGTCTCTGGGTCAAGGGCTGATCACACCTTTACAGAATTCAGAAAACTGAGAGACAAGGTTTCCAAGAGGATGAATGGAAATAAAGTCATCTCCAGTCAGGTCACAGAATGTCAGGCTCTGAATTACCCATTAAGTTTTTAACTCAGACTAGAATATGCCTGTCTGACATTGAATATAGCTACCAACTCTGATCACTATAAAGTTTAGATTACTTTTCTACACAATTTATACTAGAGGGTCATGAGGAAATTACATTTCCAATCACATTAACGGTTAAGTCCTTAAAAGAAAGTTTATATCACAGTAGGTTCTATATACATCTTTGGTAGATGAACCATGTGGCCCCATTCTGATGTATGGAAATAAACTTCAAATACATAAAATAAAGTAACTTCAGCCAGAACAATAAATTATTCCTTTCCTCTCTGTAGATATTGCTTGTCCCCATGACTCATATTGAAGGCTAGAATGCTGGTTAGTGCTTCATCCGGTCTGCAGCATTTGCAAATGAGGAAAATAATCCCAAAGAGCAACTTGTCCAATTATATCAGCATATCATTGAAAGGTAAATGTGATTATTATGTTTTTGGTATAATGTATAAAGTACAGCAGCTGACCCACTGTATGCCTTTTTCCTTATATTAACCGAAGACATTTGTACTAACTGCATTTGGGTCTGCAGAATGGAGACTTTTCTTTAATCATATTTATCAAAATGCAAGTGCTTTAAAGAAGATAATTCAGGAAGATTTTTGGCTGGTTCATATAATTATCTGGCACTGTCTTATGTTTGTTATTATTGCCTACCTAATTATTAGGTGCTGAGTTCTTGTACAAAAGTCTGTTGAAAATATTATATGACTTTAAGTAGTGGTGTTTAGACTGACGTTGTCATTGATTCTGCTTTATGTACTATTTGATACTTCATTAAGGAATATTAACGGGTTAACAACAAAAGTATCATAACGTTAATTTGAGAATTCTCAACTCTTAGATGAGCAAGTATAATAACCAAAGTTTGCACACAAATAAATTCAGTCATTTTTGATGAATTCTTGAGGAGAGATAAAACTAGAGGATTTCTAAGGAACCTATAAATTTACAAATTTATTTAAGTTCATAATTTTGAAACCTTTCTGAAAAGATGCTACACAACATAGAATTACCATGACATATCAGTTCTACTCTAAAGTGTACCCCAAATAATTAAAAATAGAGACTCAAAGAGATATTTGCATACCAACGTTGATATTAGTATTATTTACAATAGCCAAAAGCTGGAAACAATTTAAGTGTCAATCAACAAATGACTGAATAAACAAAACATGATACATATCATGCAATGGGACATCACTCAGCCATAAAAATGAATGAAGTTCTGATGCATGCTATAACATGTAGGAACCTTGAAAATATTATGATAAGTGAAATAAGCCTGACACAAAGGACAGATATTGTATGACCCTACTGATATGAAATATCTAGAATAGAAAATTCACAGAGGCAGAAAGCAGATCCGAGGCACCAGGGATGAGAGAGAATAGACAGTTACTGCTTAAGAGATACAGAGTTTCTGTCTGGAGTGAATAAAAGCTTTTGAAAATAGATAGTGGTGATGGTTAAAAACCATTATGAATAAAATTAATGCTATTGAGTTATACCTATATGGTTAAGTGGTGATTTAAATATAATGTATACATTCTGATGCAAACACAGAAACATAGAAACATCCAATAAATGACTGTGGGCTTTGAAAATATAACCAGGGGTTTATCTCAACACTGATATGTTCAACATTTAGCAGATAATAAAATGGGTATTGTCAATTCCACTTTTAAAAATAATTTCTAATAGTTAATGTATTTATAATTTGTAAGCCTCCAAATACTCTGATTAAAATGGTTATAGTTTTATATATGAGATGAAAATATAAAATAATAAGTAAAAAACACATAATACCATACCTATCATGTAGCAAATGTTCAGTAAATTTTAGTTTCTTCATTTTTCCTTCACATAGTACTGTGTAGGATAAACACTTAAGATTGAATAAAATGTCTTTAAATCATCTTAGAAGTTCTATGTCTTCCTGACATAGCTTTAATTTGTTATTGTTTCCAAAAATAATGAATTCCAAGAAGCGGTGATTAAGAAGTGTTTCTATAATCATTTATTGAAGGTGTTTAAAACATTATCAAGCATCTTGGAAATCTAGTTTTCATAGTTTGGATTTTACCAGTAATAAATATATGTTTGTTGTACACACTCTATAGAAAGTCAGTATCTCACCCCCCAAAAATTTGAAATTATTAACACTTTACAACTGCTCAAAGAAATTTCATTTGGGCAAATATTACTTAACAAAATTGAAATGTAGATAAAATAACAACCTTATTTTGTAACTCTCTTTGAGTTAGTAATATGATTAACTGAATTATGCTATCTTTAAAAATTGAGAAAGGAGGCAGAAAAAGACGGCAGAGTGAAAGCCTCCACAATAGAAGTCTTCCTAACAAGGACAAAAATTTCACAACTATCTAACCAAAAAAGCAACTTCATAGGAAACAAAAATTAGTTGAGCACTCATAATACCTGGTTTTAACTTTGTATCACTAGAAGAGGCACTGAGGAGGTAGGAGAAACAGTCTTGAGTCTCGAAAGCCACCCTTTCACCATCCTTGGCAGTGACAGCATGTTCAGGGAAAGAATCGGAGTTCTTAGGGGAGGGAAAGTGCAGTAATTGTGAGTCATTGCATTGAACTCAGTGCTGCGCTGTTAGAGCAGAAAGCAAAACAGGAACAAACTCAGCTGATGCCCACCCATGGAGAAAGCATTTAAATCAGTCTTAGCCAGAGGGGAATAACCTTTCCCAATGGTTGGAATGTTAGCTCCTGAAAACCTCACCCTCATGGGCTAAAGTGCTCTGAGATCCTAAATAACCTTGAAAGGCAGTCTAAGCCAAAAGTGCTGCAACATTTAGGTGAATCCTAGTGCTTGATTAAGAGCCAGTGGACAGGGGAGCATGCAACGTACTGAGACACCAACTAGGATGGCTAAGGTAGTGCTAGGACCATATCTCCCTTAACCCCAGGCTGCGCAGCTCACAGCCACAAAAGAGACCCCTTCCTTCCACTTGAGGAGAAGAGAGAGAAGAGTGTGAAGAACTTTGTCTGCATCTTGAATACCATCTCAGGCACAGTAGAACAGGGCATGAATCAGTCATGAGGCTCCCATTACAGGTCCTAGCTCATGGATGACATTTCTAGACACACCCTAGGCGAGAAGAGAACCCAATTTCTTGAAGGAGTAAGTCCAGGATTTATCACCTGCTAACTGACAATCCCTTGGCCCCTAAATAATAATAAGCAATATCCAGCTAGTATTGTGTGGGACTTTGGTGAGACTTGCTGACTTCAGTTAATACTCAGCACATTCTCAGCTATGGTGGCTAAGAGGAGAGACTTCTGCTTGAGAAAAGCAGGGCAAAAAGTAAAAGGGACTTAGTCTTGCACTTTAGGTACTAGCTTGTCCACAGGGAGGTTAGAGCACCAAGTAGGCTCTTGGAGTCTCCAATTTCAGGCCTTGGCTCTTGAACAGCATTTCTGGAGCTGCCCTGGGCCAGAGGGGAGCCCACTGCCATGAAAGATGAGTCTCAGGCTAGAAAGCATTTACAACAAGCTCATTGAAGAGCCCTTGGGCTTTAAGTGAACATTGGTGTTAACCTGGCATGACTCCCCATGGGGCTGTGGTAGTGGTGGCCATGGGGTGAAGCCCCTCTGCCAGTGGAAAGGGAAGAGAAGAGTGGGAGAATGGAATCTTTTGGTTTAAGTACCAGTTCAGTTTTAGTACAACAGAACACAAAATAGACTTCTAAGGTTTTTGACTTCAGTTCCTGGCTCCTGAACAGCACCTCTGGACCCATCTGAAGCCTGAGGAAACTTGCTGCCCTGAAAAGAAGGACACAAGGCTGGCTGGCTTCACCACCAGCTGATTGTAGAGCCCTAGGGACTTGAGTGAACATAACTGCTACCTTTGTAGTTGTTACAGTGAGTCTTGGGTGAGACCTAGTGCTATCCTGACTGCAGGTCTCTCTCAGGGCAGTTTCTATGGTGGTGGCCACACAGGTGCTTGTTTCACTCCAGCTCAATGTCCAGGTGGGTCAGAACAAAGAGAAAGTTTGGGAAGTTTGTTTGGGAGAAAGTAAGGGAAGAGAACAAGAGTCTTTGCCTAGTAATCTAGAGAATTCTTTCAGATCTTGTCCAAGGCAATCAAGGCGATATATCCATGTGATTCTGCAAGAGCCACACTATTACTGGCTTGGGGTGCCCCCTAAAGCAGATACAGCTTATATCGCAACACCCATGTCCTTTTGAATATCTGGAAAACTTTCCCAAAGTGGACAGGCACAAAAAAGCCCAGACTATGAAGACTATAATATTAATACATGTGTAACTCTTCAATGCCCAGACACAGACAAATATTCACGAGTATCAAGACCATCCAGGAAAACATGACCTCACCAAATGAACTAAATAAGACACCAGAGATCAATCCTAGAGAAACAGATATGTGACCTTTTAGATAGAAAATTCAAAATAGCTGTTTTGAGGAAATTCAAAGAAATTCGAGATCACACAGAGAAGAAATGCAGAATTCTATCAGATAAATTTAGCAAAGAGATTGAAATAACTAAAAGAAATCAAGCAGAAATTCTAGAGCTAAATAATGTAATTGACACACTGAAAAATGCATCAGAGGCCTTTAGACAAAAAAGAAGAGTTTTTAGAAAAAAAGAGAAGATCAAATAAATAAAATCAGAGATAAGAAGGAGACCATACAACTGATACTGCAGAAATTCAAAGGATCATTAGTGACTACTATGAGGAACTACATGCCAATAAAATAGAAAATCTAGAAGAAATGGACAAATTTCTATACACATAAAACCTACCAAGATTAAACTGTGACTATATTATTAAACACCGGAATGGATCAACAACAAGTAACAAGTAACAAGACTGAAATGGTAATAAAAAATCTTCCAGCAAAGAAAAGCCCAGGATCTGATGACTTCACTGCTGAATTCAATCAAACATTTAATGCAGATCTATTACCAATTATACTCAAACTGTTCTAGAAAACAGAGGAAGAGGGAGTACTTTGAAACTCATTCTGTGAAACCAGTTTAACCTGCTATGAAAACAAGACAAGAACACACACACCCACACACAAAGAAAACTGCAGGACAATATCTCTGATGAATATTGATGCAAAAATCCTCAACAAAATACTAGCAAACCAAATTCAACAACACATTAGAAAGATTATTAACCACGAACAATGGTATTTATCTAAGGAATGCAAGGATCATTCAACATAAGCATATCAGTCAATGAAATACAACAATATCAACAGAATGAAGGACAAAAGCCATACGATTATTTCAATTTCTGCTGAAAAAAAGCATTTGATAAAATTTGATATCTATTCATGATAAAAAAATAAAACAACTAGTTATAGAAAAAACATACAACACAAAAATAGTAAAGTTATTCTATGTTCATGGCTTGGAAGAATTGATATTGTTAAGATGTACATACTACCTAAACCAATTTACAGATTCAATGCAATACCTATCAAAATACCTCTGACAGTCTTCACAGAATTAGAAAAAAAAAACTATCCTAAAATTTATATGGAATCATAAATGTCCCAGAATAGCTAAAACTATCCAAAGCAAATAGAAAAAAACTGGAGGAATTAAATTACCTGACCTCAAATTATATTACAGAGCTATAGTAACCAAAATAGCATATTATTGCCATTAAAAACAGATATATGGACCAGTGGAACAGAATAGAGAACTAAGAAATGAATCCATACATCCACAGTGAACTAATTTTCAACAAAGTGGGGTGCCAAAAACATACATTGGGGAAAGGAGAGTCTCTTCAATAAATGTTGCTGGGAATCTGGATATTTCTATACTGAAGAACGAAACTACACCACTATCTCTCACCATATACAAGAGTCAAATCAAAATGGATTAAAGACTTAAATGTAAGACCTCAAACTATGAAACTACTAAACAAAAACTTTTGGAAAACTCTCCAGGACATTGGAGTGGGCAAAGACTTCTTGAGCAATATCCCACAAGCACAGCAACCAAAGTAAAAATGGACAAATGATATCACATCAACTTTGAAAGCTTTTGCACAGCAAAGGAAATAATCAACAAAGTCAAGAGACAGCCCATGGAATGGGACAAAATATTTGCACACTACCCATCTGACAAGGGATTAATAACCAGAATATATAAGGAGCACAAACAACTCTAGAAGAAAAAAATCTAATAACCTGACTGAAAATATGGAAAATATTTGAATAGACATTTCTCAAAAGAAGATATACAAATGGCAAACAGGCCTATGAAAAGGAGGTCAACATAACTGATCTTCAGAGAAAAGCAAATCAAACCTACAATGAGGTATCATCTCACTCCAGTTAAAATGGCTTTTATCCAAAAGACAGGCAGTAACAAATGTTAACAATGATGTGGGAAAAAGAGAATGCTTGTATACTGCCGGTGGGAATGTAAATTAGTGCAACCACTATGGAGAACAGTTTAGAGGTTTCTCAAACAACTAAAAATAGAGCTAACATATGACCCAGCAATCCCACTCATAGATATATACCCAAAAGAAAGGATATTAGTGTATTGAAGAGATATCTCCACTTCCATGTTTATTGCAGCACTATTCATAATAGAGAGTGAAGGTTTGGAAGCAACCTAATCGTTCATCAATAGATGAATGGAAAAAGAGAATGTGGTACATATACACAGTGGAATACTATGAAGCTATAAAAAAGAATGAGATCGTGTCATTTACAGCAACATAGAGGAAACTGAAGGACATTATGTTAAATGAAATAAGCCAGTCTCAGAAAGACAAACATTGCATTTTCTCACTTATCTGTGGATGTTAAAAATTAAACCACTTTAACTCATGAAGATAGAGTGGAAGAATGCTTTTCAGAGGCTGGTAAGGGTAGGCAGGGGTTGGGGGAGGAAGGGAGGAAGTCTAATGGGTACGAAAGATAGTTAGAAAGAATAAATAAGACCTAGTATTTCCTACACAATAGAGTGTGTATAGGCAAAAGTAATTTAATTGTACATTTTAATTAACTAAAAGTGTGTAACTGGATTTTTTGAAACAAAGTATGAATTATTAAGGTGATGAATGCCTTGCTTATGCTGTGATTATTACACATTGCATGCCTATATCAACATACCTCACATAACCTATAAACATCAACAACTATTATGTACCTACAGAAACTGAAGATAAAAAAAGTTTAAAACTGAAGATTATGAGATTATGATGAATGAAATGAATAAAAAGAAGTCACATGATCTCAGATGTAACTCAGAAAAAGTGAATATTAAAAATGTGAAAGGGGACTAACTTCTTAATGACAGTGAAATGTAATGAGAAGCTGTAATATGTATAACTTATTTAATGGGCATATAGTATTATATGCCAGACATGTTAATGAAGATGAACTTAAATTGTAAAAGCAACATTAAATATTTTCTGCACAGCAAAGAAAACAACAAAAAGAAAAGACAAGCCACAGAATGGGAGAAAATATTTGCAAACTATATATCTGATAAGGGACTAATATCTGAAGTATATAAGTAACTCTTACAACTAAATGGCATAAAAACAAAGTCTAATTAAAAATTAGAAAATCATCTGAATAGAAATTTATTCAAAGACAGAGAAATGACCAGCAGGTATATGAAAGGATGCTCGATATCATTAATGACCACTGAAGGGCAAATCAAAACCACAATGAGATTATCACCATCTGTTACGATGCTATTGTGAAAAACTCAAAAGTTGTTTTTTGTTTTGTTTTGTTTTTTTTGAGACGCAGTTTTTCATTCTTTTTGCCCAGGCTGGAGTGCAATGGTGCGATCTCGGCTCACTGCAACCTCCACCTCCCAGGTTCAAGCGATTCTCCTGCCTCAGATACAGTATCTGGTATTACAGGCATATGCTACCACGCCTGGCTAATTTTTGTACTTTTAGTAGAGATGGGGTTTCACCACGTCGGACAGGCTGGTCTCAATCTCCTGACCTTAGGTGATCCACCCACCTCGGCCTCCCAAAAAGTGTTGGGATTACAGGCGTGAGCCACTGCGCCTGGCAAGGTGTGTATTCTTATATTCATTTTATTTATGAAGAGGCTAAAACTTGCAGAAGTTAATTAAATTGCCAAGTCCGTATGGATCGGAATTGGCAAAGCAATAATTCCAGCAGGGTCTGACTGTTCCACATGGGTATTTTTTTACACTTTGCCTCACAGACATCCATGTCTAAAATTTGAAAAAACAAAAAGATAACTCTAGTTTTAATTTTAAAAAATGAATATGCTCATATCAAACTATTATTTTAAAAAGAACCATAACTTCTACTTACGGGAAGATGGACTATACATATATTCCTTATTCTTTTCAATAATTACAACTTAAAACCCTGAGCACTGTATATAACACAAAAATAAGAAAATTCTGAAAAGTAGGAAGAAAAAGCATGTGTTAAACACATAAGGAGCTGAAAATTTCACCGCTTCTGGCAGTAATGAGGTGCCCTTTTTTTCCCAGATGGCGTGGTATTAGAGGAAATGTAGTGACAGCTTTGACGACACCCAGTGGTAACAAGGCCACCCACTCCACTATGTCAGTGAAGACCACATGAAGGACCAATGCTCCACAAAATCATGGCAAAAATAATAATATGTGCTGCCCATCAGACCTTCAAAATATATGAAGCAAAACCTGAGAGAACTAAAAGGACAAATAAAACACTGAAAAGAAAAAAAAAAGTCAAAATTACATCTAGAGCCTTCAACATCCCTTCCTCAATTACTGATGTAGAAAGTCATCAAGGAGACAGAAGTGAAAATACCATTCACCAACAGGATCTCATCAACATTTATGAAACACTCCATACAACAACAGCCCACACGTTTTCAAGTGCCCACAGAACACATGATAGACCATAGCCTGGGTCATAAAAGAACCTCAACAAATAAAAAAAAATTGAAAACCATAGACAGAGTCTTTAGTGAACAAAATGAAATTAAATGATAGACTAGTGACAGCAAAAACAAATAAACACTTCAAAATGAACAGCACATCTCTAAATAATTCACTGATCAAAAAGCAGGTCTCCAGGGAAATAAAAAAAAAAAATACACTGACCTGAATGAAAATGAAAATACAACATACCTACACTATGGAAAACATACCAATGAGTTCTGAGAGAGAAATTCATGGCAATGACTACGAAAGAGGCTGTGTTAAATGAACAATTTTACATATTCCACCAAATACAGAAAAGAAAGAGCAAATTATTCCCAAAACAACAAAATGGAGAAAATAATAATAATTAAGAGCATGCATCAGTGAAAATGAAAACAGAAAATAATAAAGAAAATCAAAGAAACAAATAGCTGGTTCTTAGAAAAGATTAATAAAATTCATGAATCTTTGGCATAGCTGACAAAATAATTAAATAAGACACATTAACAAGATAGACATCAAAAAAATAAAAGAATACCATAACCTATATATACATAATTTAAAAACTACGATTTAATGAACCAATTCATTAAAAAACACAAGCTACAACAACTAATCAAATATAAAATAGATAATTGAGTATACACAGTATCTTTGAGAAAACTGAATTAGTAAATTAAATACTCTGAGAAAAAAAAATTATGTCCAGATGGTTTCACTGTAGAATTCTAGTAAATGTTTAAAGAATTTATCCCAATTCTATACATCTTCCAGAAAATACAAGAGAAGAAATACTTTCTGATTTATTTTATAATGCTAGTATTATTTGATATCAAACTACAAAAAGAAAGTACAGTACAGGCCGGGCACGGTGGCTCACGCCTGTAATCCCAGCACTTTGGGAGGCCGAGGCGGGCGGATCACGAGGTCAGGAGATCGAGACCATCTCGGCTAAAACGGTGAAACCCCGTCTCTACTAAAAATACAAAAAATTAGCTGGGCGTAGTGGCGGGCGCCTGTAGTCCCAGCTACTCTGGAGGTTGAGGCAGGAGAATGGCGTGAACCCGGGAGGCGGAGCTTGCAGTGAGCCGAGATCCCGCCACTGCACTCCAGCCTGGGCGACAGAGCGAGACTCCGTCTCAAAAAAAAAAAAAAAAAAGAAAAAGAAAGTACAGTACAATAAATGTAAGAAGGAATGCTATGGACTAATATAACTGACAAAGATGCAAAAATCCTTTAAAATAGTAGTAAATAGAATTCAACAATAAATAAAAATAATTATTTAACAAAGCCAAGTGGAATTTATTCCAGGTAAGCAAGGCTGGCTCAATATTAAAAACTCAATTATTGTAATACATCATATCAACAGGCTGAAGAAAAAAATTATATGATTATATCAATCGATTTGGAAATACATCTGACCAACCATTTATGACAAAAATTCTCTGAAAAAAGTAGAGAATAGAGAGCAACTTCCTCTATAGCTACCACAAAGTATCTACAAAAGTTCTACACTCAAGATTGTAACATTATACTTAAAGGTAAAAGAATAAATACTTTTCTGCTGAAATTAGGATCAAAAATGTTCAATCTCAACACTCTTATTCAACATAATTCTATAAGTTTTAGTCCTTACAATTAGGACAAAAAAAGAAAAAAATACATACATATTAAAAGAAAAACCTGTTCCTTTTTGCATATAATGTAATTGTTTATGTGAAAAATTCTGGCCTGGGCACAATGGCTCAAGCCTGTAATCCCAGCACTTTGTGAGGCCAGGGTAGGAGGATCATTTGAGCCCAGGAGTTGGAGGTTTTAGTGAGCTATGATCATGCCACTGTGCTCCAGCCTGGGTAACAAGTAAGACCCTGTCCCTAAAAATATGTTAATTAATTATTAATAAAAAAAACCAAGGAATCTGTCAAATAACAATAAACAAACAGAAAACAGCTCCTCCAACTAATTAATGAGTGCAGCCAGGTTGCAGAATTTTAGATTAACATACAAAAAGCAATTGCAGTTTCATATAGGAGCAATGAATATGTGGTTACCAAAAGTAAAAATATGAAAATGTTTACAATCACTGAAAGAAAACACATAAGTCAGCCTAAATCTAACAAGCTTTGTACAAGACTTGTATGCTAAATACTGTGTAATGACATGACAAAAATAAAAGAAAATCTAAATAAATTGGAAGACACTGTAGACACTTAAAGACAGCATAGTAAAAATGTCAGTTGTTCTGAAGTTGGTATAATGGTTTGACGCAATTCAAAGAATACACTTTATATAAACAATATTATTCTAAAATTTACATAGATAGACAAATAAACTAAAATATTAAAAACAGTTTTGTAAAATAAGAATAAAGCGAGAGGAATGGATTTACTTTAAGATCACCACTACACTGCTATAGGAATCAATACTGTGTGGTATGAGTGGAGATCAGAAATGAACAAAACAGAATAGAGAATTGTTAACAATAGTTAATAGTGAAGCACACTGATTTTTTCATAAGTTTACAAAAGCAATTCAATATAGAAAGACAGATTTTTTAACAAATGATGCTGGAGCAATTTTACCATAAGTAAGAAACCTTGACCTAAATGTTGCATGTTAAAAAAGGAACTCAAAATGAATCATCTTTAAATGTAAAACTAAAAAACTTTTAGAAAACAAATTAGAAGAAAAAAAAAGTTTCACATCTAGGGCCAGGGAAATAATTATCACACTTGTCACCAAAATCTCAATCCAATAAAGAAATAAATTTTATCAACATTAAAAACTGTCATTCTACAACATATTTTGCTTAAAGGAGAAAAAGGACAAGTTACAAAATGGGAGAAAGTATTTGCAAGCCATGTATCATAAAAAAGAATATTATTTAATATATAAGGAACTCTCATAAGTCAAAAAACAAAATGTCTAACTACAAAGAGGGCAAAACACATTAATAAACATTTCCTCAAAATGAATATACAGCTGGTAAATCATCGCATGATCATTCAACATCATTTGTTACTAGGGACATGTATACCATAACCACAATGAGAGCACTATACACTTATCAGAATGGTCAAAATAAAAAATAGCGACACCAGGGAAACAGTATTACCCATAGCATTTCTAGTATGAATTTGAAATGTTTTACCACTCTGTAAAACAGTTTTACAATTTCTTAAAACAGTAGGCATGCCGCTATTGTACTCCTCAACAACCGCACTCTTAGGTGATTCATCTGGATAAATGAAGACTGATATTCACACTAAAACCTCCGCTTGAATGTGTATAGCAACTTTATTCATAGTATCCCCAAACTGAATATCACTCAATGATCATGGTTAATCACGGGTGAATGATTAAACAAATTGCAGTGCATCCATACTGTGAACTATTATTTAGCAACAAATAGGGATGAACTATTGATACATGCCACGACTTGGCAAACTGATAATTATTCTAACTGAAACAAGCCAGGATCAAGATATTACATACTGTATGATTCAATTTACATAAAACTGAAATGGCAAAACTATAGAGATACAGTCCTGATTGGTGGTTGCCATAGATTGAGGAGGAAGAGTAGGAGACAAAAGAGTAGTGGGTGTGGCCATAAAAAAGCAGCATGACAATTCCTTTTGGGGATACAAATGTTGTGCATATTGGACACAACCATGCCAGCATTCTGTTTGTGATAATGTACTATAGTTTTATAAGATATTAGCATTGGCCGGGCGCTGTGTAATCCCAGCACTTTGGGAGGCCGAGGAGGGCGGATCATGAGGTCAGGAGATCAAGACCATCCTGGCTAACACGGTGAAACCCCATCTCTACCAAAAATTCAAAAACAAAATTAGCAAGGCGTGGTGTCGGGCGCCTGTAGTCCCGGCTATTCGGGAGGCTGAGGCAGGAGAATGGCGTGAACCCGGGAGGCAGAGCTTGCAGTGAGCTGAGATCGCGCCACTGCACTCCAGCCTGGGCGGAAGAGGGAGACTCCGTCTCAAAAAAAACAAACAAACAAACAAAAAAAAAACAAACAACAACAACAAAAAAACAGTGTTAGCATTGAGGTGACTGGGTAAGGAATACATAGGATTTGTTTGCAATATTTCTCACAATTATAAGTGAGTCTATGATTATACCAAAGTTTATATCAAAATCTATGATTATATCAATAGTTTAGAAAGTTTCCTTAGACAAAAAAAAAAAAAAAAAGGAAAATAAAAACAAAAGAAAGAGTAATAAATTGAAACAGGATAATTGCTGAGCCAAGAAAGCTTGAGAGGATAACATCACTGGAGGGGGCAAGACTTCTAACCAACATGTCACTAACACAGAGAAAAATCATCATATCCCCAAAATCCCAAACTTAAGTAAAGGTGAAGACAATGGAAATTCATTGCAACTAGAGTTGCAGTTAATCTCCCTTCACCAAATGGTACCAGGTATACTATGGCAAATGTACAGAGAAAGCAGTTTCCTTGGATTCCGCTCACTCTTTATGCTATTTAATTGACAAATGGAACTGATCTTTTATGTGGCCATAGTAATGAGATCATAACTCCAAAAACTCTCAGCAAAGAAGGAAGTTCTGGATGTAAGCATCAACTTTAACTAGTCACTAATAACTTCAGCTCTGAAACTCAATTATATTGCACATGTTCAACAGAGAACACAACCATATCCTCCATAATAAAACATGAAATTACTTATAAAAGGTAAAATTCTTGATGTGTATGATCTTTCACATGCAGAGATTACTGAAGTATTAAAGCAATGTGATGTATTACCATAAACGCCAAAATTTTTCAATGGATATTTCTTTCGTCTTCTTATTCTTTTTGGCTGTGTTTCTGTAGGATGATGGTGTTATAATAATTGAAAAGATTAATTATTGTATTTGCACCTGAACCTATTTTATTTAACATTACTGTGACAATTGAGAGCAAATTGTATTGACAGGCCCTTCTTAAACATAATTATGCAAAAAACTACCATCCAGAATCAATTAAGGTTGGATATCACATTTAATTTTATGGAAATTCAGAGCTCAGAAAAACACGAATCCAAGATACTCAGAGTATAAAGGTAGTGGTAGTCACTGACGATGTTTTCTTGCTTGCTCATATTGATGGCTAAAGGGAGAAAGCTTGTAAAGATTTGAAGATTGTTTGTGGAGTATTTAAAGCCGTGGAATTATTAATCACAACTGCGTGTGTGTGTGTGTGTGTGTGTGTGTGTGACTAGTAATTGAATTCAGGTATTTCATCCAACATTTACAGTGATGTGTAGATGTTTATTCACTCATCCATGTTGCTGATTGTCATAGGACCATCAAACTGAGGAATATCTGGTTATGAATACTGGGATATAACAAATTGTTTTTGAAACATGTTAATAGTTGCATACAGCATGCATATTTTGACAAATTTATGTAGCAGCTCTAAATACCAAACTGAAATGCCAGAATTTTTTGTTTGTAACATACACACAAAACACCCCATAAAAATAAAAACATTATCATATATAAAAAACATGGCATGAAACCCCATACCAGTCTCAAAGGCCAAATTCAAATGCCTATTATGGATGTTTGCATGTAGGCATTAATTAATTCAGGAATGTAAAAACATAAACTCTATTCTTAGATATAAAATCCCTCATTAGTAAGTACAGACAAATTCTCATATTCCAATTATTGCTATTTACTGTGACTTCATGATGACTTGTTTCTATTCATATTTTGAATAATTAAATTTATACCGTTTACTCTAATCCTCTGAATCTAATCTTCTGCATCCTAAACTTCATCTGTTTCTACATGATTGGAAATTAAGTATTTCTATGATAGCTAGGATTAACAAGCAAGGGTTTTCTACTTTGCACTCTAATACTCTCAATGGAAATTTGGGAGAATAAGATTTGTTTGGGTTTAATTGTTTGGGTTTTCTGTTTCAAGATTCCTTATAAGTAAAACGTTATTATAAGATTATTTGGGTGTATATAGGAGCATGAGGAAATAACTATATATATGTATTTATATATTTATACATTTGTATGTATATGTATTTATATATGTATTATGTATAAATATATATGTATTTATGTGTATATACATGTGTATGTGTGTGATATATATATCACACACTATATATCACACATATATACTATATATGTGTGATATATATAAGTATATCACACACTATATATATCACATATATACCATATATGTGATATATATGTATATCATACATGCAATATATATCACATATATATCATATATATCACACTATATACATATATATATCACACACACAAATGTCTCCACTTCCTCTTTCTGAGCTTTAGAAGTCACAGACAACATTTTAATTCTATTTCTACTATCTTTAGTTTAGCTTATATCTCTGCCTCCAGTTTCTTAACATTTCTAGTCATATCTTTTAAGTGACAATAGTCATTTTCCTTAAACCCTCTCTTCAGAATGACAACCTTATGTCTAAAGGCCCTAGTGCTTCCACTGCCTTAAAAAAAAGCCTCAAATGCTAACCTAGAAATTAGTACTATTTTAATCTCACATATTTCCAATGTGGAGGAAATTTTTATTAATCCATGGGTTCATATTTGTTTTCTAAAATTTCTCTGCTGAAATTGAAAACAGATATTTTCCCAAATATTTCTGCTAATCAAGGTCTTGTTTGAACTGGAATCCAAGTTCCAGTTCAAGTCAGAAATCTTCCACAAGGCTTGTCTCAGTTTTTGAGACAGAGTCTTGCTCTGTCACCCAGGCTGGAGTGCAGTGGCGTCATCTCTGCTCACTGCAAGCTCTGCCTCCTGGGTTCATGCCATTCTCCTGCCTCAGCCTCCCGAGTAGCTGGGACTACAGGCGCTCACCACCATGCCCAGCTAATTTTTTGTATTTTTTTAGTAGAGACGGGGTTTCACCCTGTTAGCCAGGATGGTCTTGATATCCTGACCTCGAGATTCGCCCGCCTTGGCCTCCCAAAACGCTGGGATTACAGGCGTGAGCCACCGTGCTCAGTCTCATCTCAGTTTTAAATAATCTTTGCCGTGCCCATTCTGTCATTGTCTTTGCACCTTTATTATAATGGTTGTTAAACTATGTTGGGGTATATCAACTAGTGTTTGTTACTTTTTTAAAATCAATTTTTATGTTATTAGGTCTTGAAAGGCAGCTCATGTCTGATACATTTAGGTAACTTTTGGAATATAAGATAGTTAATGGCTAACATATTTGACTCTGCCTCACCTAGTTCAACTCCAAAGCCCACAAGGTACCAAGGAGATAGCTCAAATAATTCTTGCCTCACTCTTTGCAAGGAAGGTGAATCCATTTCCATTTGGAAGGAAGGTTATTATATCAGCTCTAGTGAAAAAAAAAACACTCTGCAAAAGTGAAAAATGTAGATTGTAAAGAATCTTGAGTAGGAAAAGACAACTGCTATAATTTGTAGGTGTTAGGACACCACTGACTTGAATGGCAGGTGCAAAGGCACATAAATATTGGTTCTCAAACTAATTGTCTTCTCTTGGGGGTCTTGTAAGACCCACTTGAAGCAGTATAGTGAATTCTTATAATTTTATGTTGCCTTGGCATGCATTTTGAATATAGGGTTAACTTTCTCAGACCAGAGGCAGGGCTTAGGCAACTTTGACAGCTTCCAGTTCTCTACCTCTTCCCAGTGCCTCAATGTGGTTGATCCAGATATCTGCCCTATACAACCTCCTCTTGTGCCTTCATCCCTGTGGGACAGCTAGATACAACCTATTTGACTCATCCCACTGTCTTACTGCTTTTGTGTTGCTACAAAGGAATATCTGAATCTGGGTAATTTATGAAGAAAACAGGTTTATTTGGCTCATGGTCTACAGGCTGTACAGAGAGCATGGCACCAGCATCTGTATCTGGTGAGGGTCTCAAGCTGCTTTCATTCATGGCAGAAAGAGAAGAGGAGCCTCCAAGTGCAGATATCACATGAGTGAGAGAGGAAGCCAGAGAGAGACGGGGAGATTCCAGGCTCTTTTTAACAACCAACTCCTGTGGAAAATAATAGAGCAAGAATTCACTCATTAACACTATCACGACATGAAGCCATTCATGACCCAAACACCTACCATTAGGCCCCATCTCCAAAATTGGAGATCAGATTTCAACATGAGTTTTGGAGGGTCAAATATACAAACTATAGAACCAACTGATTTGTATGCCCTACATGTGCTGCACAGATATACCACAGTGACCATCTCTCAATCACAGGTGTTACTTTACAGAACTTATGTCTGCATGTTCTAAGTTCACCAATTAGAACTTTCCAGGGAATATCTGCTTGACCAACACTCTGGACCCCAGTAATGGCTTAGGCCCACAGGTTCCTTATTCTCTCTTTCTTCAATCCACCTGCTGGTTGTGGTGTGGATATGCTGTGTTTTGGATATGATTCATCCCCACCAACATTCATGTTGAAATTTCATCCATAGTGTAGCAGTGTTGGTGGGTGGAGTCTGGCGGAAGGTTTCTGGGTCTTGGGGGTATATTACTGTTCTCACAGTAGTGAGTGAGTTCTCATGAGTTCTAGGAATGAATTAGTTCTCACCAGCATGAGTGGTAAAGCCTGGACTCCCCTTGCATTTGGCCAGTTCACACGTACCTGCTTCCTCTTTGACCTACTTCCATGTTTTGACCCAGCACAAAAGCTCTCACCAGAAGCTGAGCAGATGCCAGCATCATCCTTCTTGAACTGTCCATCTTGCAAAACCATTAAGCTAAATAAACCTATTTTCTTTACAATTTACAGTCTTAGGTATTCTGTTATAGCAACAAAAATGGACTAAAAGAGTGTCCCAGACTGCTGCCCACTTCCCACTGGCTCTGAGAGGCATGCTGCCCGCTTCCCTATAAGTTCTCTAAGTAATGCACTGCTTTTGTTATTTCACATGCTTTACTGATTTGCCTGCTCTGTGTCTCCCCTGACTGACACACCTGAACCTAACTTCTTTTCTGGTCAGAGTTCTTTGACATAGTAGCTATCTTGGTGGGAATGAACTAGATATAAGTCAGACATGAGCCTTAGGAGTATCTGCCTTTATAAACAAGTTTCCTGTGAAAGGAAGACTTGGTTACCAGGTCAGACACTTAGCCATTAGGCCATCCTCCAGGATAAGGAAGTATCCTGTAAAAGGTACATTGTAAATGTCGAAGGCTGAATCCCCTGCAGCCCTATCAAGGCAGGGCTCATGTTTATAGTCACAGTACTGAGAGAGATGTCAAGACTAAAATGAAAAGAAAACAATACAACAAACAAATGAGGAAATAGCTCTCGTGTGACTTAGAGTCAAGGACCAGCCATTTATGATTGGATAACATTAAGTGGCAATATCTCACCTGATGTGTAGTGGTCTGTGTAAGCCTTTATCAATAATTTAAAACAGTGGTTTGAATATTATGGCTTTAAATAATGTGACTGTGTAAGATTTCATGTGGGCACTATATTTTACTGAGTAAGGGGTCACAGTGCTTGCCAGAGAAGAGGTCCTCAAAAATATTAAATGTGATTAATATTTGGATTTATAAATATACCAAGCATCTATTTTTAGCTAAACTTATCACATAAACAGAAAAATACAATACGACAGAAACTGCACTAAAGACTTTTGACCTATTAGTTACATGCCCTAAATTAACATATCACATTTTGCTTGTCAGTTTTTATAATATATACAGCAATTGTGAAATAATTATTTTGAATATGCAAGTTATTATTCCCTTTCTAAAAGTGAAAAAACTGTCCCAGTGTTATATACTTTGTCCTTTATCAATGCCAAGATTCAGTAGAATTGTTTTCTCATTCCGAATTATATCTTATTTCCTACTCAGCTCCTTCAAAATACTTAGAGTTAGAAGAATATTTAATGATATTCTTAATATTATGCCTTCTTTTTGAAAACTTTTATTTATTTGAATTTACTCCTATATTTTAGCAAATTAGAATTGTGTTATGTAAGAATAATGAGTTACTTTTTATTATACCATAATGTAATATTGGGCTTTCTAACTCTTCAAATCAAAAAAGATATTGAGAATTTCAATTAAGAACAAGAAAGTAGAAAATGTGCTTGCGCAATGCATATTATCTCCAACAGAGCACAGCACATTTATAAGCATCGCGGGGTCTAGTGAAGTTTTTATCAAGTAAAAGATTGTAATTTGCAGTATTCCCTATTACTAATCCGAGATTTGTAAGCATCTATGCAATTACCTAGATGTTGTTGTCTTTGTTGATTTATTTAATGAGCATTAAACAACAATGAAAACATTCATAAGATCACTACTGACTAATGATCATTCTACTTATTTGCTTTATCTAATTTTAAGATTCTCATTCATCAGAGGAGTATCATAACTACATTTTAAGTGAGAATAACTTATTTCCAAAATGGTAGACATGGCCTGGAAGAAATATTTGCAAAACTTGACTCACAGTTTTACATATTTGAATTTTTTTTACTACTAATAATTTGTAATTTACTAATTCTTTCCTCTATTTTTACCCCCAAAATATGTTTTTTGGAAATATGTCAGTAGAATCTTGCTTTTTGTTCCTTAGTGGTAGGTTCATTTGTTTACATTTGTTATTTTCCTCTATTTACATCCAGCTTTAAAAATACAAATGTAAATTAGAAAAATTTTAATATAGTTATAATATTGTATATTTTCTGACAAAAATATTCAGATAATAAAAGTAAAACAAATTTTTAAAATATTTATCATGTTTGTGCCTTTAACAACCCTTGTTTGGCATTTCTTAATTCATCCTGACAAATCAACATATATGACATTTTCTCTGAGTAAAGAATCTGATTGTTGTGGCTGAAGGCTAAGTATTGGAACAGCTGATATGAAACAGTTGAAATCCTCTCTGAAAGGTAAATGATTCATGAAAGCAACAAAATAACAAGAGCAATAAACTATGCCTAAGTTACTTTGACCACCCATCAAATACAAAATTAGTCCTCATATATTTTTCTTAATTATGTAAAAGCCTGTTTTTCCCAAATCACACCAGCCTGGAAGTAAAACTAGTGTCGTAAGAACAGTTTTTTAAAAATTATATTTATTAAAAAAGAAGAATTATGTAATAAAAAACTCTTAAGAAGTAATAGGAAAAGGAAGAAGACTGGGCATATGATATAAGCAATTAATTCATAAGAGCAATGCAAATGTTTAATAAATATATTTAAATCATTTCCAACCTCATTGATAATTATATAAATAACAAAGTTATGTACTCTCATAGTGCAAAAATGATATTGGAATTTCATTGAAAGTTCGGGAAACTAAATTTCATAAATGACTGGTGGCAATTAGAAAACAGGAATCATTCCTCAGGGATCTAGAACTAGAAATACCATTTGACCCAGCCGTCCCATTACTGGGTATATACCCAAAGGACTATAAATCATGCTGCTATAAAGACACATGCACACTTATGTTTATTGCGGCATTATTCACAATAGCAAAGACTTGGAACCAACCCAAATGTCCAACAATGATAGACTGGCTTAAGAAAATGTGGCAATATACACCATGGAATACTATGCAGCCATAAAAAATGATGAGTTCATGTCCTTTGTAGGGACATGGATGAAATTGGAAATCATCATTCTCAGTAAACTATCGCAAGAACTAAAAACCAAACACCGCATATTCTCACTCATAGCTGGGAACTGAACAATGAGAACACATGGACACAGGAGGGGGAACATCACACTCTGGGGACTGTTGTGGGGTGGGGGGAGCGGGGAGGGATAGCATTAGGAGATATACCTAATGCTAGATGACGAGTTAGTGGGTGCAGAGCACCAGCATGGCACATGTATACATATGTAACTAACCTGCACATTGTGCACATGTACCCTAAAACTTAAAGTATAATAATAATAAATAAATAAATAAACAAAGAGAAAAAAAAGAGAAAACAGGAATCATAAGTATAAACTTTTCACACTCTGAATTTGTTATTACTTTTTTGATACATATTATGGGGAGTCATCATAGATGTACACAAAAATTATTCATAATCATAAATATGCTATTTTAATTTATGACTATGACAATTTGAGAAAACGTTTCTAAATTCCCAACAGCAGAAGACTGGCTATGTAAATTATGGTACATACATATTATAAGGTAATTAAACCTGTTTGCAAAGGAATATTTATCGACATATTGAAATATTTTCAATTTATTGCTAATTTTAAAAATAAGGCCACAGATATATAGTACAGCATTTCCTATTAACAGACTTAATGAGGTTTGGGGAAGTGACTATGACAATAGTCAATTCTAAATTTGACAAAAACTAAATGTAGCACTTCCATAAAAATTTCAATGACTTTCAAGATACACCTTTTATTTTACAACAGTTTAGAATTACAGAAAAATTGCAAAGATGGGATAGAGATTTGAACCATACCCCACATCCAATTTCTAGGATTATTGACAGCTTAGATTATCATGAACTCAACTCCAGGGCATTTTCCAGATTTTTCTGTTACACAACCTAATTCTGGACACCACGTCACATTTAGTTGTCATGTCTCCTTCGGCTCCTCTTGGCTGTAACGAGTTCTCAAATTTACCTTGTTTTTTATGGCCTTGACAGTTTTAAGGAATACTTATCAGAAATTGTGTGGATTAGGATTTGTCTGATGTTCTCATGATTAACCTGTGTTATCAATTTCTGGGAATAGTTCACAGAGCGAAGTTTTCATCACATCATATAAAAGGTATATAGTACATGTTGATCTTTCTCTCCTGGCTGAGATAAATTTTGTTAGGTACTATAACATATCTTGCTTTTTTTCCTTTGTATACTGTACACTTTGGAAGAAAGTCACTATAGTCTATACTTGAAGAGTGGATAGTTATGTCTCTTCTACTTGTACATATCTCCAGCAGAATACGCATTTTTGTTTTGCTTTTTAAATGTATTTCCTTCCCGAGTCCTAGAATCAGGCATTTACTTACAGATCTTTGGTTCTTTTCATTGGAGAATGATACCAGAAGCCAAGATCTGAGACCTAGGTGTGTTTGTCGTTACTGAGGAATCACTGCTTCCAGCCCCTCCCTGCTGACAGAACAAAGATATATATGTGTGTATCCTAACTCATGAAATTACACATAGCTATACATATTTTTACATATAAATATATTTATCTAAATTATGCAAAACGTGTCCATATTGATGTTTCTAACATGAATCCATTACAATATATTTCATTCTAGCCTCTGTCCCTTACTTACCTGTAAACTCCAACTCCAACGGTAAGACAACTGACTCCCTCCACCCCACCCTGTCCATTTACCTGATTGTTCCATTCCAGTATATATGTGTAGTGGTATCATAAGTGGTATCACTTTATAGCAAGTGATTTCATCAACTACTACAGTACAGTGGCTATGTATGTTTTTCTTTTTCTTTTTTTCTTTCTTTTTTTTCCCCCTTAGGCTTACAGGCTCTACTCACTTTCTAAGTTACTCAAGTCACCACTTCCTCAATGAAATTCCATTACACATTTGTAATATCGTTACATTGTTTTGTCACATTTTGCATTTCATCATGGAATCCTCTGACTTTTAAAATATTGCTTACATTAATTTTTACTCATTGTACTGTAAATTTCTCTGGGTTTTGAAAAATGCTTAACCAATGGACAATTACAAGATTATACAGAATAGTTTCACCATCCATACAGAATAGTCTCACCAAAATTACCACTGAAGTATTTTATCAGCTGCCCACTATTCTATAGCTGTAGCAGCTTCTGCTGCAGATCAGTTGGCCTCCGCTGTGACTGTCTGGATTTCCCTGCCATTCCAGATTCCAGGGTGGCGGTTTGTCCTGAAACTTCACTTTTCTCATTGTTCCAAGAAAAATTATTGGTTTGGGGTTTGTGCAGCTTTATCTTTTTGTAAGGAGGGAACGAAGATGAATAAGCTCGTTACATGTTGAAGCAAAAACCAGAATTTTTCAGGGGGTTTTCAGATATTTAAGTATAAATATTCAGAGTTAGTAAAATCTATGTTTGGATTTGGAACTTTATGAAGCTAGCTGGGTGACTAGTATGTTTGTGTGTCCTTTGTACAGGGTAATTAAAACTAATGTCATGGATGAGATGGCCTTGGTTATGACTGTAGGCTATGAAAGGAATAGAAACTAGAATCAAGCCTGACAAGTCAGCCTTGAACAGCCACGTAGAAGATGAACCAGCAAAGTTGCTGGGGCATCAAGAGCATTAGAAGGAAATACAGACACTTTGATAACACCAAGAGTGTTTTCAGGAAGAAGCATTCAACACCATTGAAGGTTTCTGTGAGGAAAATGAGATGAGGACTAAAGGATATATTTATCTGACGAGTAGCATAGTACTGTTTGTGGCAATAGTAGAGCCATAGCAGTAGAGTAATGTCCGGAGCTAGGTAGTTTTAAATGGTTAATAAAACAGTGAGAAACTGTAAGCAATGACATTGTTAAAATAGATAATATTTGAAAGATTCAAGATACTTTGTATATTTAAATTTGTTTAAAAGATGTAGTTTGGAAATAAAAGTATGATAATATAAAAGAAGAAGATTTCAAAAATGTAAGTGCTGGGAAAACTATTTGTGAAATTAGGCCTTTGAAATTACAAATGATCCTGGAGAAATATTTATCTGAAAATAAGCAAAAGTATTAACAGATATTATTCCTGGTTGGTGAAATTATCTGAATTTTTTTCTGGTTAAGTCTTTCATCCAAACTGGCACTCATTATATTCCAGTTTGTAGTTAGAAGGGAAAAAATTATAAAAACACCAACAGCAACAAAAAAAATATTTAACAATGAAGACTCATCTCTTGCTTTTCTCTGGTTTAAGATGACGTGAGTAATAGTCCCAGTCCCAACCTTAATGTACTTTATATATTAGAAGAGGAAAAGGTAAAATGCCTAGAGAATCTCGGTGAAAGGGGATAAACACTAAGGGAGGTTTACATATGAGGCTTTGAAAACACTATAATTCAAATAAAATAATTTGGGGCATAATTTAAAGTTTCCATTTACTCCAATAGAGTAGCATAATTTATTTTGGTAGGTTTTTTTTTGTTTGTTTTTGTTTTTGTTTTTAGTGTAACTCCTTATTTAGTTTGCTGTACATGGAATGAGACAGCACATTGGCCACTGATTTGTTCCTCACACATCTCAAGCTTGCTACTGACTGATGAGAGGACCAATGAGAATCTAAACACTCTAAGGGAACTACTATAATTGTTATTTTTTTTAAATTTGTTTTGATTTTTAATTTTTGTGGGTACATAGTAGGTATATATATATATGTATTTATGGGTTACATGATATATATTGATGTGAGCATGCAGTGATAATAATCATATTATGAAAAATGGGGTATCCCTCACCCTAAATACTTTTCCTCTGTATTACAAACAATCCAATTATATTCTTTTGGCTATTTTAAAATGTACAATTAAATTATTTTTTACTATAGTGACTCTGTTGTGCTAGCAAATGCTATGTTTTACTCACATTTTCTAACTATTTTTTTGTACCCATTAACCATTTCTATGTCTCCCAGCCTCCCTCCTCCACTACTCTTCCCAGTCCCTGATAACCATCCTTCAACTCTCTGCTCCATGAATTCAGTTATTTTAATTTTTAGTTTCCTCAAATAAGTGAGAATATGTGAAGTTTGTCATTTATTTCCTGGCTTATTTCACTTAATATAATGACCTCCAGTTCCACCTATGTTGTTGCAAATTACATAATCTTATTCTTTTTTATGGCTGAATAGTATTCCATTGTGTATATGTACCACATTTTCTTTATCCATTCATCTGTTGATGAACAATCAAGTTGCTTACAAATTCCAGCTATTGTAAATAGTGCTGCAATAAAGATAGAAGTGCAGATATCTGTACAATACACTGATTTTCTTTCTTTTGGGTGTATACCAGGGAGTGGGATTGCTAGATCATATGTCAGCTCTACTTTTAGTTTTTTGAGGAACCTTTAAACTGTTCTCCATAGTGAATGTACTAATTTACATTTCTACCAAGAGTTTATGAGGTTTTACTTTTCTCCACATCCTTACCTGCCTTTGCTATTGCCTGACTTTAGATAAAAGTCATTCTAACTGGGGTGCAATGATATCTCATTGTGGTTTTGATTTGTATTTCTCTGATGATCAATGATGTTGAGCATCTTTCTATATACCTGTTTGCCATTAGTATGTGTTCTTTTGAGGAATGTCTATTGAGGTGTTTTGCCCATTTTAAAACCAGATTATTAGATTTTACCCACAAAGTTGTTTGAGCTCCTTATTTATTCTGAACTAATCTCTTGTCATATGGATAGTTTGCAAATATTTGTTCTCATTCTGTGGGTTGTCTCTTCAGTTTGTTGACTGTTTCCTTTGCTGTGCAGAGACTTTTTAACTTGATGTAATCTCACTATTCATTTTTGCTTTGTTCTCTTGTACTTGTTGGGTATTATTCAGAAAATCTTTGCCCAGTCCAATATCCTGAAGAGATTCCCAAACATTTTCTTTTAGTAGTTTCATAGTATGAGGTCTTAGATTTAAGTATTTGACTTGATTCTTGTACATGGGGAGAGATACTGGTCTAGTTTTATTTTGTGTGCATATGGATATCCAGTTTCCCCAGCACCATTTATTGAAGACTGTCCTTTCTCCAGCGTATGTTCTTGGCATGTTTATCAAAAGTGAGTTCACTGTAGGTGTGTGAATTTGTTTTTGAGTTCTCTATCCTCTCCCATTCTTTTATGTGTCTGTTTTTTATGGCAGTACCACACTGTTTTGATTAATATAGCTCTTTAGTATAATTTGAAGTAAGGTAATGTGATTCCTCCAGTTTAGTTATTTTTGCTTAGGAGAGCTTTGGCTATTCTGGGTCTTTGGTGGTTTCGTATAAATTTTTTCTATTTCTGTGAAACATGTCATTGGTATGTTCTTAGGGATTGCATTGAATCTACAGATTGCTTTGTGTAGTATGGACAGTTTAACAGTATTTTTTCATAGCATAAACATGGCTATCGTATGTGTGTGTGTGTGTGTGTGTGTCTGTGTGTGTGTGTGTCTGTGTGTCTTTTTCAATTTATTTCACGAATGTTTTATAATCTTTTAGAAATCGTTCACTTCTTTGGTTACCTTAATTCCCAGATATTTCATTTTATTTGCAGCTATTGTAAGTGGGATTACATTCTTGATTTCTTTTTCAGATTGCTGTTGGCATATAGAAATGCTACTGATTTTGTATGCTGATTTTGCATCTTACAACTTTACTGAATGTGCTTATCAGTTCTAATAGCTTTTTGGAGGAGTCTGTAGTTTTTTCCAAATATAAGATCATATCATCTGCAAACAAGAATAGTTTGACTTCTTCCTTTCCAATTTGGATGCCCTTTGTTTCTTTCTGTTCTCTGATTGCTCTAGCTGGAATTCCCAGCACTATGTTGAATAACAGTGGTGACAGTGGGCATCTTTGTCATTTTCCCAATATTAGAGGAAAGGCTTTCAGTTTTTCCCCATTCAGTATGGTACTAGCTATGATTCTGTCATATATGGCTTTTATTAGGTTATGTTTCTTCTATCCCCAGTGTTTTTAGAGTTTTTACCATGAAGAGATGTTGAATTTTATCAAATGCTTTTTCAGCATCAATGGAAATGATCATGTGTTTTTGTCCTTCATTCTGTTGATAGGATATATCATATTTATTGATTTGCATATGTTGAACAGTCTTTGCATGTCAAGGATAAATCCCACCTGGTTACAATGAACTATCTTTTTAATGTGTTTTTGAATTTAATTTGCTTTTATTTTGTTGATGATTTTTGCGTCTATATATATCCATTATATTATCCTGTAGTTTTCTTTGTCTGGTTTTGAAATCAGGGTAATATAGTCCTCTTAGAATGAATTTGGAAGTATTCCCTCCTCTAGTTTTCAGAGTAGTTTGAGTAGGGTAAGCATTATTTCTTCTTTAAAAGTTTCATCAAATTCAGCAGTGAAGGCATTAGGTCTTGGGCTTTTCTTTGCTAACAGACTTGTTATTATGGCTCCTATCTCATTACTTTTTATTAGTCTGTTCAGATTTCAGATTTCTTTATTGTTCAAACTTGAGAGTTGTTTTTTTCTAGAAATTTATTCATTTATTCTGGATTTTCCAATATATTGGCATATAGTTGCTCATAGTAGCCACTAATGATCCTCTGAATTTCTGCAGTATTAGTTGTAATGTCTCTTCTTTCATCTTTGATTTTGTGTATTTGGGTATTCTCTTTTTTTTCCATAAGTCTGAAAAAAGTGAATAGTCAATTGTATTTATCTTTCCAAAAGATAAACTTTTTGTTTCATTAATTTTTTGTATTTGTATTGTTATTTTAATTAACAAATGAAATTAATTTTATTTATTTATGCTCTGATCTTAATTTTTGTCTTCTATAAATTTGGGGTTTGGTTTTCTCTTGCTTTCCTAGTTAATATGTATCATTATGTTCTTTATTTGAACATTTTTTTAATTTTATGTAGGCATTTATAGCTATAAAATTTCTCTTAGTAATGGTTTTACTGTATCCTATAGGGTTTGGTATGTTGTATTTCCATTTTCATTTGTTTCAGAAAATTTTTTAATTTCCTTCTTAATTTCTTTATCTACCCTCTGGTTATTCAGGAGCATATTGTTTAATTTCCATGTGTTTATATAGTTTCCAAATTCCTGTTGTTACACATTTCTAGTTTTATTCCATTGTGCTCATAGAAGATGCTTGGCATTCTTTCAACTTTTTTGAATGATTTAAGATACCTAATACATGATTAAACCCAGAGAATGATCCATGTATTAGAAAAAGAATGTGTATTCTGCAGCTGTTGAACAACATGTTCTTTAAATATCTGTTAGATTCATTTGGTTTATAGAGCAGATTAAGTCTAGTCTTTCTTTGTTGATTTTCCATCTGAAAGATCTGTTCAATGCTGAAAGTAACGTGTTGAAATCTCTAGCTATCATTGTGTCTCCCTGGCAAGAGTACTTCCAGGCTACTGCCTATATTCCTTTCAAGCCCAAGGGCTTTTCAGTCAGCTTGCAGTGAATGCTGCCTGGCCTGGGCACTGGGCTCACCCTTCAGGAAACTGGGCTCCCTCTGGCTCAGGGTAGGTCCAGAAATGCCATCCAAGGGTCAAAGCCTGAATCAGGAACCCAAGAGGCCCACTTATTTCTTTACCCCACCCCCACCATGGCTGAACTGGCACCTAAGATGCAAGAAGAGGTCCCCTTTATTTTCCTTCTGTTTTTCTCAAGAAGAGGGAGTTTCTCACTATAGCCACCACAGTTGGGAATGTGCTGAGTCTCACTTAAAGCCATCAAGTCTGAGTCTCATCCAAAACCCACATTGTATTACCTGGCTATTGCTGCTGGTTATTCAGGGCTCAAGAGCTTTTTAGTCAGCAGCTGCTGGGTCCTCCCAAGCCTAGGTCATTCCCTTCAAGCCAGAAAGTTTCCTCTGGCCCAGGATGTATCTACTAGAAATTTCGTTCAGAAGCTATGGCCTAGAAAGAGAGGTCTCATGACTCTGACCAGTGCCCTATCCTGCTGTGGCTGAGCTAGTATTCAAGATGCAAAACAAAGTCCTCCCCACTCTTCCCTCTCCTTTGTTCAAGCAGAAAGAGGGGTCTCTTTTGGAGCCACAAGCTGTGCATCTGAGGAGGGATGGCATAAGCACTCCCTTTGCTTCCCTGGCTGTTATCTCAGTAGGTCATATGCCCCCCAAGTCCACTGTCTCCCAGCCCAGTTCTCCACTAGGAGTCACCTAGGTGTTGTAGTCTTTGTGGCCTAGACTGCCCTTTAAACTTGCTTAGAAGCCCAGAGTACTTTAGCCCACGGTGGCAAGGCTTGCTGGAGCTCAGATTCTGACCACTGGGATGTGCGAGCCCCGTCTCTTGGAACCTTTTCTGAGTTCAGCAAAACAGAGCTGGACTCAGCTGATGCCTCCCCACAAAGGGAGTACTTAGGGCTGGTTTAAATATTCCTTTCGTTGGCAGGTGTCAGCTGAATTCAGCCAGGTTTTGCTTTCTGCTGTGACAGGGCAGCATTGAGTTCAACGCAAAGTTTCACGATTGCTGCACTCGCTCTCTCACAAAAGCACAGATGCTCCCTGCCATGCAACCCTTGCCAGGGGGTATGGAGGAGGAATGGCATCAGTGATTCAAGACTCTTTCCTACCTTCTACGGTGCCTCTTTCAGCGATGTGAGGTTGAAACCAGGTACTGTAAGGGAGCACTTCATTTTTGTTTCTTATAAAAGTGACTTTTTTGGTTAGATAGTGATTAAATTGATGTCCTCATTGGGGGGACGGTAGGTGGAACTTTCTATTTGTCCATTTTATTCCACCACCTATAATGAATTTTTATGAACTGAGTTCATGGCAGTAGAAATGCTGATTTTATTCATAGTTATTTACCTACATTGCCATTCAGTCATAAGCTCTGCCTGCCTGTTCTTTTCCTCTTTCTACTTGTGTTCTCTTTCTTCCTCAGAAGACGAAGTTATGACACCATGAGATGAGTATTTTTTTCCCTTTTACTCACAGGCAAAAGCATAAATAAACACATTTTTTGTCATATAAAATAGTTTTAGTATACATGACTTTAATAAAAATGTTTGCTACTCTTCCTTTGACATTTGATTTAATTTAAATATTCACTAAGAGGTAAACTGTATGTAACAAACAAATGATAATGTCCAGAAATGTGGTTTTTTCCTTATTTTTGGACACATTTATGCCTATAGGAAGCATATTTTTCACTTTTAAATTATTTTCTAACACATTTACGTATGTATTCCAGTTATATTTTAATTGGTAGCAGTTAGTATTGAAATGTAGACAAATGGTTTTCAAACACAAATATTGCCCACTGGCAACAAAGAAAGTGCTATGTTCAAGGTGGCCCTGTTGACATATTTGTATGTGAATATATGAATAGACTGATGATTAAACTCTTTTCAGTTTGACCTCTTATTTCCAAAATAAGCTTGAAATAAAAAATTCTTTGCAAATTGCTTAGAAATTTTTACCCCAGCATTGTTTATCACCATTTCCTTCATGTGATATTAACACCAAATTGAACTCAATCTCAGGCCCTATGGGAATTATCACACATATTGTGATTAAAAGGTTACAATCAATGTGATTTTAATACATCATCAAAGGAGGCCTGAATCTCAGGATTCAAGCCATCTCAGTTTCATCCCCAAAATAATTGCAAACAGAGTGAGTCTGCAGCAGGAAGCTCAAACAACTTTATTTATCAGTACCATCTCCGTTTAATTCACTGTTAAGTGTCTTTGTTAAATAACATTGCCTCTCTGGTGCTCATCATGATCTTGGATGATTAAAAAGCATTTGGATAATATCTGTAATAAAACTAAGCTCACTGAGCTATGTATACTACTGAGTTCCGGGGACCAAATGAGACAAAAGTTTCCAACTGTCAAATTAAGTAGAGTAAGTTAAAGGAAATTAAAATGGAACTTCTCCAGAGAGGCAATAGTTGCATTCCATTGTCATTTTCTTTTCTTTATTTTATCTTTGAAGACAGATGCTGACAGCAGTTTGTGAATAAGCATTGAAAGGTGTCTTTGGAGTAGAAATGTAGAGTACAAACACAAATCAATGTGCAGTTTTTGTTCTTATGAATTTCATCAAAAATCAATTCCCAAGCTAACTGAACTAGAGTCAACTTAATATTTTTCTTTGTTTCTGTATTTTTTTTAGCTTCAAAACAATCAATATTTACCATGTAGGTGTTTACATTGTTGAATTTATAGTATTTAATAAATATGTTATAACCCCCCTCTTTTTTGTTGTTGTTGTTGTTGTTTTATTTTTATTTTTTGAGACAGAGTCTTGTGCTGTCGCCCAGGCTGGAGTGCAGCGGTGCGATCTCAGCTCACTGCAAGCTCCACCTCCCAAGTTCATGCCATTCTCCTGCCTCAGCCTCCCGAGTAGCTGGGGTTACAGGTGTGCACCACCACATCTGACTAATTTTTGTTTTTTAAGTAGAGACAGGGTTTCGCCATATTGGTCAGGCTGGTCTTCAACTCCTGACCTCAGGTGATGATCTGCCTGCCTCAGCCTCCCAAAGTGCTGGGATTGCAGGAGTGAGCCACCGTGCCTGGCCTTTTTTGAAAGAGTAGGTATTAATTTCACTGCATGGTGTTCAGAAGGGAACATGCTTGTTTAGCCTAGAAATTCTCTAAAATCATCTTCCTAGGACTTTAGTTGAAAGACCAGAGTTTAAAACAAGTAAAGTATTTTATTCTTCTTCAGAAAAGTAAGAATAAGATGCCAGATAAATTTTATACTTCTACTACTACTAATAGTAATAATAACAAAGAAAGACTTAAAGCAATCTCAGCAAAATTTTCCTTGCTTTACAATGTCACATTTCCCTAGAACCTGAAGGTGAGGAAGAGCAGGGTCCTAAAACAAAGTATCTTAAGATTTATGAGGGGTCTCATTTTAGAGATGGCCATTTTCTTGGAGACTGGACATGTGGGGTTATTGTATGGCAAACACAAATTATGTCATGGCAAGAACACAAACTTGAAGTCAGACCTGTTTGATATATTAATTATTTGTTAATTTTGAAAGCACTGAAGGACAGATCCAAATCCCAGCATGACTTTAGACTATCTTTCTGTATATGGAAAAAAATTGCTTAAACTCTCTGAGCATTTTTTTTCATTCGTGAAAAACAAGTGGGAAAATAATTCTACCCGAGGGAGTTATTTGAAGAGTAATGAACTAATTGAATAAATAAATAATAAAAATTAAATAAAAAAACACACAAACACAAAGAAGAGTAATGAACTAATGATCTTAAGACCCCTAGGATATTCCCTGAGTAGGCTCATAGCAGATATCATTTTCTTTATCATCTCCTTTTTCTGTACTTTTTTCTTTTATTCATTTTAAATTGCGTTCCTCATGCTCCAATGAAGATTAAATTTTTGTCCTTAGATCTTCTGTATCAAACAAATCAAAATGTGTATGTGATACTGCTTTACAGTGTAACATTCTATGTTGTAAAGAATTTTGAAGCAATCCTATTATTAAATAATGCAGGTGGAGAAAAGATCTAAATCAACTCAAAGATATTGCTGGGTTTGGGTCATAATTCTTTAGCACAGATTATGATGTGTGTTTGGCAAATGTCTGCATATTTTATTTTATTTTTTTATCTCCACTCATTCTCCTATCATCAGAACCCACAGTCCATCTGCCTCTGCCGTTGAGGAGCCTAAGGCAATAGCTACAGCAATTACCTCTCGTCTCATTATTGCCTTCTGCAATGCCACTTGGGGGACTATTTTCATGTTGGCACTGGCAGAATAGACATTTGCTTACCAAAATTTACCCAAGATATCTTCCTTATTTGTATTCCCAAGTGTCAGTGCTTTTATTTTTGACATTAAAAAAATGCCAGTATTTCTGGAAGAAATATAAATTAAACTGATAATTTTTTCTTAGCATAAATTCATCTATTCACAATAGGGAAGTTCATTTGAAATACATGACTTTCATGGGGAGAGGAGAGGTCTGTAACATGGAACCTGACATATATACATATGCATAACTCTTATTTAAATACATAATATACGGGCCGGGTGTAGTGGCTAATATCTATAATCACAGTAATTTGGAGGACTGAGACAGGAGAATTCCTTGAGGCCAGAAGTTCAAGACCAGCCTGGGCAACATAACAAGAACCCATCTCTAAAAATAATTTAAAAATTAGCCGGGCAGGGTGGTGCATTCCTGTAGTCTCAGATGGAGTGCTGCAGTAGGAAGATCACTGAGCTCAGGAGCTCCAGGTTGCAGTGAGCCAAATTATAATTTCACCACTGCACTCCAGCCTGGGTGACTGAGCAAGACCATATGGCTAAAAAAACTTTTCTTAATATATGATATACAAGGATGCATGTGTATACATATGTTGTGAATATATATATAATATACAGTATATATTCAGCATAATATATTCTATCATCTATGTATCCACCTATTCATCACCTATCCGTGTGTCTCCCATTTATGTATCATCATAATGAGTATGCAAGGAAAGAACTTGTTCTAGGTCACACAGCAAGTGACCAGCAAAGGGTAGATTCTACCCTGGTTCTATTTATCTCCAAAACCTGGGATTGATACATGGTAATTCTATATTTTTTTTCAGGAAACTTTTCCATAGTTTTTGCTTGATATATAAAACCTCAGTCTTTATAAGAGAGAGTATGAAATAAAGAGGCATTTTAATATACTCAAGTGTGGGAGTTTCCCTTCAAGTTTTAAAAGACAAGAAAGAACAAGAAACCTGGCCACAGAAGTTTATTTCCAGATGTTTGCTCTAATCTCACAACTCAAAAATAAATTTGCTTTCAGTGCCTTGGTACTGCATGATGAGCTACGTAAGACCAACTAGTTATTTTTATTGAATGTTTTCTTTAAATAAAAATGTTAAGTTTGTACATCCAAGCTGTCTTTATTTGAGTCTCTTCAACTGTTTATAAGCCACAGAACTTTTTTTTTAACTTTTTCATTACAAGAGAAAAATAATATTCAAGCAGCATTTAAAGAATACACAACTGGACAAATGCAACTGAAGAGTTTCCAATTATTTTCTATAAGATGATGATTCCAAGTGATGTATACTGTCAATATAAGGGCTTATGACAGTCACTAAATCTAGTTGTTTTATAAAAGATCTCACTAAAATTTCAACTACTTGTCGAAAGTATTTTCCATCTAATCATGAAAATGCGCTGACTATGGAAGAGAAAAGAAATGTGGAACTTCACAAATATTATTATCTGAAAGATGCCAACTGGGTCAACTCTACAGTTTTTTTTTTTTAATTCTAGAGTTTGCCTTCTGTCTGCATTGCAGAGTATATAGAGATGCATAAGTAATATAAATTCACACTTTGGTTTTATAGACCTTTGTTTAAATCCTCTCAGTGTTCCATAAGTCTGTTTTTTTTTTATCAGTTCGTCTATATAGTATTGCAGTTATAATTCAGTGGAATAATCCTTACAGAGACCTTTGCACAGAATCTGATACTTAGTACTCAACAACATTTATTGGTGATAATGGTGATGATGATGATAAATGATAGAGGATAATAATGATGGCAGCTACTTTGGAGTTGGTTGTAATCTAGGGCCAGAGCCCAGTAAGATTACAATCCCTATATTTACAGTGACTCTAGTTTATTGTTTCTTAAAGAGGGATAATTCAAGGCAGATGTCTACCTTGAGTGTTTTAGATTAAATCCAGGACTGCAACTGGCCATAGATGGGAATCAGTAAAGACCCACCAGTTTTGACTGTAAAAATTGAACTGATTTTAATTTTCATTGCCCAAGTCAGATATGTGTTCAAATCAGGTTTAGAAACTCCATTTAAAATACTTCATACATGTAAAGCCTCATTCCAGGCATTATAAATATAAACTAAAACAACAGCTATTGACTTTGAAGAGATTCTGCCTAGATCAACAAACTAAAACTTACAAGGAGGTGTTTTCAATTGTTCCACATGAGAACACTTAAAGGTTAGAAATGATAAACAGTTCGACTTTGAATATGAGAAAAATCCAAACAGCCAATAAAAATTTGAATTTGCTTTTACAAACTAATAAAATATGTTAGGAATTTGTGATATTTGCCATTTCTAGTGCTGGCTATTCAAACTGTGAGTTTGACCTCCTTGACTCAACCAGTTTCAACTTCTTGACATCTTCCATTATTTAAAATACACTGAGCACATTTTTCATCCATAAAAAATTATCTTAGAAAATAAAAATCATTGATTTGTTCCTTAAATACATTCTGATCTTCTTTTCTTTGTGGAATTATTATTCCAAATGGTTTTAATAATGTGGAAGATGCATGTAACGCTCAATCCTAGGAGAATTTTGAGTATCGGTATTGAGACTGGCGGATGGAGTCAAACACAGCCTGACAACACGGAAAGAGAAAAGAAGTTACAACCTGAAGCTTCTGGAATATTAAGCATATTTTCATCTTATTTGGAATGAAATATAAGCCTAGCTCTTCTATTAGATAAATTTGCCTCCTTAATCCTTGTAGCTTTCATATGATACCGAAATTTAATTTAAAATTATAATGGCAGAATTTTATTGGCCATTTCAAAGCAATCTCAAATTAGTTCCCTTAAACCACAATAGAACTTCAAGAACACTTATCCTTAAACACCTTACTATTCTATCCTTTGATACCAATAGTGTAATCACCCAATTATCCAATATCATAGTATTATCTAATGACAGCCATCTCTGAAGGTTTTGGTATTCTTCACAAATCTGTTACTATGAACTACCTCAGACTTAGGAACAAATTGTTTCATCCCATCTGGCATTGTTTTCCTTTACTGCAGAAAAAAATACAATTAACCTCATTCGTATTGTTTTACCTGTAATGTTAAAAGCATTCTACATATTATAATTCCAAAACATGTGCTTAATTACTTAATTAGAGACTTGAGAACTGCAGTAGTTAGTTAACAGGAAGGCAAAGAGAGAAAAAAGCATGAGAAGATGAGAAGGTTCAGTGAAATATTCCCACACTTGTGTGAAATTATTTTGCATTATCTTTTTTTGTCAAGTAGTTTACTTACATGAGAGAGAAATGAGAATTTGACTGTAGTTAAAGTAGGAATAAAAAAACTCCACCACTACTAGAATTTTAAAGCATGTGTAAATGACTTGTGGTTTATCTGACATGATACCAGGTAAGATGTCTGGCCCTCCAGCCTTGTAGAAGGCAAGTTTCAAAGGTAGGATTTCAAAAGGGAATGATAATTCAACACGGAAATACAAAACAGTGTTTACAATTAGGTAAAGTTTTTTTTTTGGTAGTTTTTTTTGTATTATTATGAAGCTTGTAAGTAAATATTACTCTGTTCAGGACATATGGAGACACTTGCCACTCTGCACATGCTCAGAGCAACAAAGAATCAGTGTTACCTGGAGTTTATAGGAGATTCAGGCTCTTCAACACCACTTAGAATTACTCAAGCCCACATTTTAATAAGCTAATTAGTTTACATATTAACAATTAAGAGCACTTGAGTGAACTTTGTATCTCCTTCCCAATTTATTTGTTTTTGGATTAAGATGTCACACATATTGCAAAATGATTAAATAATTAACATTCCAGCACTACAGCATAACATTTATGACATTTATTTTTCTTGCTAATAAGGAGCTCTCCTTACTATCCCAAACCAAACAAACTCATTTGTTTTATTTCACTGTAGAAGAGAAGAAATGAAATGGAATAAAATCACTAAGTTGAGTGTTCATAAGCTAGATACTTCACAGTAAATGAAAAAGTATAACATCAAAGGGAAAAATATAAATTTTCATTTAAATTAACTCATTTATTTGTTTGTTTATTCAGAATGTTCTTAAATTTCTTATTATCTTTTTGGATATTTTTTTCTCTTCATATGAATTTTTTAGTAAATCTTTTAGCACAGGTTTGAGTCACATGTCCTCATGCTTTATTTTTCAAAAGAATTACTAACATTCTTGAATGATAGTTTACGTGGATATATTTTCTGAATCAGTTTAAGAATATGTTCCCATTATCTATCAAATGCTTTGGAGTTATTGAAAGAGCAATTTAGTTATTCTTCCCTTTGGGGAAACATATCTTTCCTCTTTAAAAAAAAGTTTTAGCTAGGCACTGTGTCTCAGGCCTGTAATCTCAGCAATTTAGGAGTCCAAGGCAGGCAGATCACTTGAGGTCAGGAGTTCAAGATCAGCCTGGCCAACATGGAGACACCCTTTCTCTACTAAAATTACAAAAATTAGCCAGGCGTGGTGGCTCTTGCCTGCAATCCTAGCTACTCAGCAGGCTGAGGCAGGAGAATCGCTTGAACCCAGGAGGTGGGGGTTGCAGGAAGGTCATGCCACTTTACTCCAGCCTGGGTGACATTTGGGATGAGCTTATCCTGTTCCCCTCCTCTCCAGACCTGCAAGAGAATGCACCATCACTGTATATAAGCACACAGCTAAAAATACCACAAGGCAAATATACACACACCATATCAGAAAAATGAATAAAGCAGGTAGATGAGATCTACTGAAGACATCATTGGAGAAAACAAATCACTCTTAATGTTTGCATAACTACTCAGTTCTTCCATTGAGCTTTAATCATTTAAAGATGCACATTCTAAAAAGAAAAAACACATTAGCAGATAGTAGTAATGAATGACCTGACAAAAGAGGTGACCAATATTGAAAGAATGACATGATAAAATCAAAGACCCACACAAGAGTGTGTGCAAAATATGAACTATAAGAGGAATAACCTAGACAGGTCCAGATTATAGAACATGTTTTCTGGCTAAATATTAAAGCAAGTAAACAAACATTAAAGGGTTAATATCAATTATAAATAACATGTTATAGATTTCAGTGCTGTAGATTTATAGATTACAATTTGTTGATCAACAGTATATAAAATAAATTTAATTTACTTAAAGTATTTTTTGTTTATCAATTCTTCAGTTGAAAAAAAATCCCCAATAATGTTTTAGATATATGTATGTGTGTGGGGGGGTTTGTGCATGCCCATGCATGCACAGGTGCATGTGTGTATGCAGGTGAGTGTGTGTGGGGGGGTGGTCTGTGCAAACCATACCTTTTTCAGCAAAGATAATAGTGAATAAAGGGAACATCAGTTTATATCAAATATTTCAATGTGTTATCTTGTCAGGGCTTATTATATCTTGTCCTTAGGCATGTTACGTTCTGTAGTCACTAGGTTTAAGTCATGACATCCATATTTAGCGAATATGTGCATGCCATAATAAAGATGTTCAGTGAACCTAAGAGTAACATACAGTAGGAGCAGTTGGTAAGGAATGGAGAAGAAAATTTATCATTCAAACTTGAGCAACAAAATTCTGAGACATCGGTGAAAATTAAACTAAACTGTTAGTACAATGCAGAAAGTTTTTAACTAAGATCTCTGCATAAAGTATCTATACTTAGATTAATATAAATTGGAAAATTATTTAACAAAGAGATATAAAACTGTAATTTTCTCTTAAAGATCACCTTTAACTGTTAGATAAATATCACCTCTGTCACAAGAAGCAGATGAGTTTTCAAACTGATGAGGTATCAAGGAATTTGCAAATTTAAGAGAAGAAAGGTGCGATGTAATTGTCAACCTTAGTTAATGGAAAGCTACTACTTTTCTAGGCAGCAGCCTTAACACTGTGTTCTGTTATTAATGGTAGAAAAGGGCCTTCGTATGTATTTTATTATTGAAGAACTACAGAAAACATAGACCTTAATTATTCAGCAGCCTTAGGGGCAACCTCCAATGTTAAGATAAAAGTAAACTTCTATCCACTGCAAGCCTGAATCCAGCAAAATGAGGGAACAAATCATATCTTTATTTCATTTGTATGTTGCAAAATGTGCCTGGGAAAGGATCTAAGAAAGAGCATTATAGTCAGAACCTTGCTGTAGGGTGATTTTCAATGAAGGAACAAATTAGACTTTAATGTATCACATGACATTGTACTAAGGCTTAAAAGTGCCACTTAGGACTTGATTCCCTCACTGGGTCTATCCCAAGGGAATTTGTTAAAACAGGTTCCGAATAGGAATCAATGTAAGGTACATATGAGCCAATCTTGCCTCAAGAATCCTAACAGACAGAACATTTCCAATTATTATCTTTTTTCATTTCTTCAGCATAAGGAAGTCAATTTGTGAGATTACCAGGACAGAAAATGGTGATTCTACTATAGAACATTTGCAATAAAGATAGACCTCCGTAGGCACTTGAATGCCTAGAATTTGGTTTCTTCTCAAGCCACAATGTACAGATGTAGTTAACGTGATAGTTAACATGACCTGAAAATCAGAGAAACTGACTTTTATTCCCTATTTGTTACTGGATACATATGTGGCTTTGGGCCACTGTTATCAAACAGAAATAAAATGTGAGCCACAAAGGCAAACTTCTATATAGTTTTAAATTTTCTAATAAACATATATAACAAGTAAGTAGAAAGAGTTGAAATTAATTTCAATACTATATTTGATTTAAGTCAATTTATCCAAAATATTATTTATCATGTAATCTACACAAAAATTTTGAGATATTTTACATCTTTTTATTAATCATCTGAAATTAAATATTTTTTTATTTACAGAGCATCAGATTTCTAACTAGCCACATTTTAATTGCTCAATAGCAATATGTGGCTACTATCTTCTGTAGTAGACAGCTTAGTTTCAGACAAATATTTTCAGGGGGTTTGTTATGTCTTAGTCATAAACAACATTGAAATAAATAACAGTATAGACATTTTCTCAAGTCATATGGTTGAATAATCAAAACAAGAGTAGGAGACAGTACTGAGAGAGAAAGAGAGAGAAAAAAACACAATATTTGAATGAACAGTTATTCCCAGTATAAACTTGAGCTTATAATGTGGAAGTGAGGTAGAACAGATTTGGAATGGCAATTGACTGACGTTCCAATGTATTAAGAAGAAAATTTTAAAAAATCAAACAAACGAAAAACTGGAACACATTAAGTAGCAAGTGGCCATGATAGTGCAAAAATTATATTATGGAACAAAATGGAAGGCACTAGCAACATTTAACCTGTAGAGAAAAATGTAATTAGGAGAAGCAATAACTGTCTTTAAATAAAGATTGGAAAGACAGTTGCAGATAAAAGTTGAGCTTTTTCTAGATAAACTGAAAAGACATAAGTGTAAGGTAGAACTGACAGACCAAAAAGACATAACTGAAAGATATAACTGACAGGCCAAATATGGTCATTTTATTTGTACATTAATTCAACAAGCACATATTGAACATCTAGTATGTACAACTCAACATGCAGACTGCTATGGTGCAAATATGAATAAGACAGAGAAGTAAATTAAAATAAAATTATTAATCTCATGAATGTATGATTCTAGTTCATCAAGAGAAATTTTTGTGTTGGATAGAGTCAAAATCTATCTGAAGGCAAATAAATTTATTATGTTACTTCTCCCTTTCCTACATTATCTAGCCTTCAATCATAGAAAGAAATTTAAAATAGCTTGTAAAATATACTTTTCACAGATCTATGATGACTGTTCCATGGCACTGATGCTTTACTACAAGGATATATATACATTGATGGATATTTTCAAGAGGGTTATCCTAAAATATGTATATTATAATTGTAAATTTTGTCGCCTTACATCTCTAGCAAAAGATTATCCTCTTCAAACACTTGTAATAAGCTACTATATAACTGGATTCTCAAGAAAGACTTTATACACATTGGGCAGTGGTGGAGATGTGGAAGGTGAACTTGTAGTATGGAATTTTCTAGATTTATGGTCTGACATGAGCTAGAAAGCTTCAAAGATGTTGTATCATCAACTTTTTTATATTTCAACAACTAACAATAAAATGAAGACTACTACAGGGCAGTGTAGTATTATTTGATGATATAAGACAATAAACTATACTGGACATCTCTTTTCCAATAATTTCTGAACTACTCTAATTTTTATCATTGTAAAGTAAGATTTTCAACTTATGATATCTATTGGCATTCCATGTGTTTTGACAAGTTTATTTATACTAAGTCATATTCCTAATGCATTTCTTAAAGAATTGGATTTATTTTTTAATCTGCATTGGATAACATTCTCATTACTGGCATATTCTTGTTCGCATTCTTAATCAAATTATTTATAGGTTCAAGGTAGCTGGACAAATTATTTTTTAATGTTGGTGTTATTAAATATCAACCTGAAAAACTATCCAATTGAACTGTGAACTACAACCTTTCCACTCCACCTACCCAAACCTAGATAAGTGCATTAATAGTATCCAAAGGAGGGGCAAAGCAAGATAGAAGAATAGAATCATCCCCCCATTCAAGGAGAATATCTACACACAAAAAAGTACTTTTATAAGAGCCAAAAATCAGGTGGGCACACACAGTACCTGGTATTAACTTCATATTGTTCATATCGCTAAAATAGACACTGAAGAGGTAGAAAAAACAGTTTTGAATCACTGAAGCCACCCCTCCCCCATCCCTTGATAGTGACAGCATGGTGCAGAGAGTGATTCTGAATGCTGAGGTGAGGGAAAGCCAACAATTATGAGGCATTATTCTCAGGGCTGCCCTTGTTATAGCAGAAAGCAAAACTGGACTAAACTCAGCTGATGCTTGCCCACAGAGGGAGCATTTAAACCAGCCCTAGCCAGAGGGCAAACACCATTCCCAGCAGTCAGAACTTGAGTTCTTGAAAGCCTTGCTACCATGTACTAATGTGCTCTGGGGCCCCAAGTGAAGTTGAAAAGCAGTCTTGGCCACAAGGACTGCAAATCCTAGGCAAGTCCTAGTGCTAAACTGGTCCCAGAGCCAGTGGACTGGGGGCCACGTGACCTATGGAGATACAAGCAGAAGCAGCTAAGGGAGTGCTGGCATCAACTCTCCCCTAACCCCAGGCTGCAGATCTCATGGTCCCAAAAGAGATCTCTTCCTTCTTCTTGAGGAGAGGAGATAGAAGATTTGGAAGGACTTTGCCTCGCTGCTTGGACACCAACTCAGCTGTAGTAGAAATAGGGCACTGGTCAGAGCCATGGGAAACCACTATCCAGGCACTAGCTAACAGACAACTTTTCTAGACTCATAGTGGGCCAGAGGGGAACCACATACCTTCGATAGAAGAACCCAGTTTGGCAAGGCTTCATCACCTGCTAGCTGAAGATCCCTTGGTCCCTCAATAACAAGCAGTGATCCCAGGTACAACATCAAGAGCCTTGGGTGAGACTATGAGATTTCCTGGCTTCAGGTGAGACTCAGCACATTCCCAACTGCAGTGGTTGCAGTGAGAGACTCCTGCTTCAGAAAAGTGGAGGGAAAAGTAAAGGGGAATTTGTCTTACACCTTGTGGACCACCTCAGCCACAGGGGTGCAGAGCACCACATGGGGTCTTTGGGTCTCCAATTCCAGGCCTTGACTCTTGGACAACATTTCTGGATGTGGCCTTTCCAGAGGCGAGCCCTCTGCCCCGACAGGTGAGACACAGAACAGGCAGCCTTCACTACAGGCTGACTGAAGAATCCTTGGGTCTCAAGGGAACATTGGTGGTAGTCGGGCTGTACTCTCCCATGGATCTTAACAGGCAGCAGTCAAGGAGTGCAGGAAAGACTGGGAAGGACTGCATCTTGTGGTTTGAATGCTAGCTCAGCTGCAGTACAATAGAGCACCAGGTAGACTTCTAAGGTTTATTACTCTAGTCCCTGGCTCCCAGACAGCACCTCTGGACCTGCCTGGGGACTGTGGGAACTTGCTGCCCTGAAGCAAAGGACATAGGCCTGGCTGGCTTTGCCACTTCCTGATTATAGAGCTGCATGGTTTTGAGCAACATAGGTGGTAGCCAGAAAGTGGTTAGAGCAGGCCCTGAGCCAGACCCAGTACTGTGTTGGTCTGACCCTCTGCAGTCTTAGAGGTGGTAGCCACAGGGGTGCTTGTGTCAGTCCAACCCTAGCTCCAGGTAGCTTAGAACAGAGAGAGAGAGAGAGAGAGAGAGAGAGAGAGAGAGAGAGAGAGGCCCCTCTTGTTTGAGAAACAGTAAGGGAAGAAAACAAGTTTCTGCCTGGCAATCCAGATAATTCTTCCATATCTTGTTGAAGACCATCAAGGCGGTTCATCTATGAGTATTCAAAAAGCACAGGCTTACTGGGCTTGGGGTCCCTGGTAAAGAAGATACAGCTTAGATCACAACACTCAAGTTTTTTGAATACACAAAAAGTCTTCCCAAGAGTGATGGGTACTAACAGGCCCAGACTGTGAAGACTACAATAAATACTCTTTAATGCCTATACACAGATGAACTTCTATAAGTATTAAGACCATCCAAGAAAACATAACCTTACCAAATGAACTAAATAAGGAACCAGGTACCAATCCTGGAGAAACAGAGGTATGTGACTTTTCAGATAGAGAATTCAAAATAGCTGTTTTGAGGAAACTCAAAGAAATTCAAAGTAAAACAGAGAAGGAATTCAGAATTCTATCAAATAAATGTAAGAAAGGCATTGAAATAATTTAAAAGAATTAAGCACAAGTTCTAGAGCTAAAAAATATAATTGGCATACTGAAGAATGCATCGGAGTCATCTAACAGCCAAAATGATCAAGAGGAAGAAATAGTGAGCTTGAAGATGGGCTATTTGAAAATGCATAATCAGAGACCAGGCATAGTGGCTCATGCCTGTAATCTCAGCACTTTGGGAGGTCAAGGTGGGCAGATCTCTTGAGCCCAACAGTTTGAGATCAGCCTGAGCATCATGGTGAGACCCTGTCTCTAGTAAAATTACAAAAAAAAAAAAAAATGAGTTTGGCTTGGTGGCATGCACCTGTAATCCCAGCTATTCAGGAGGCTGAGGTGGGAGAATCACCTGAGCCAAGGAGGTCAAGGATACAATGAGCCATGATTATGCCATTGCACTCTAGCCTGAGCAATGTGAGTGAGACATTGTCTCGGGAAACAAACAAACAAAAACAAAATAAATAGAAATACACGGTCAGAGGAGACTGAATGAAACACACTCACGAGATCTAGAAAATAGCCTCAAAAGGGTGAATCTAGGAGTTAACCTTAAAGAAGAGATAGAGAAAGAGATATGGAAGAGAGTTTATTCAAATAAATAATAACTTTTCAAACACAGTAAAATATATCAATATCCAAATATAAGAAGGTTATAAAACACCAAGCAGAGTTAACTCAGAGAAGACTACTTCAAGGAATTTAATAATTAAACTTCCAAAAGTCCAGGATGAAGAAAGGACCCTGAAAGCAGCAAGAGGAAAGAAGTTAATTACATACAATGGAGCTCCAATATGTCTGACAGTAGACTTTTCAGTGGAAATCTTATAGGCCAGGAAATAGTGGCATGACATATTTAAAGTGCTGAAGAACATAGACTAGTATATCTGGTAAAAAAAAATTCTTAGAAAAGAAGCAGAAATAAAAACTTCTGCAGACAAACAAAGGCTGAGGGATATCAACACCAGATCTTTCTTACAAGAAATGCTACAGGGAGTACTTACATTAGGAAAATGTAGAACATTAATTAGTAGTAAAATATCATGTTATGGTACAAAACTCACTGGTAATAGTAAGTACACAGAAAAACACAGAATATTATAGCACTGTAAATGCAGTATGTATACTACTCTTGTCTTGAGTAGAAAGAATAAATGATGAACCATTCAAAAATAACAACTGCAACCACCATTCAAGAGATGGACAGTACAATAAGATATAAACAAAATGTTAAAAAGTCAAGGGGACAAAATTAAGGCATACAGCCTTTATTAGGTTTATTTTGCTTATTTGTTTGCTTGTTTTGTTTATGAAGTGTTTAGATGATATCAAATTAATGTAATGGGTTTTAAGATAGTATTTGCAAGCCTCCTGGTAACCTCAAACCAGAGAACATACAATGGATACATACACACAAAAAAAGCAAGAGACCCATTCATCTCAGCAGGGAAAACCACCTTTACTAAAATAAAAAACAGGAAGAAAAAAAGAAGGAAGAGAACACCACAAAACAAGCAGAAAACAAATGATAAAATGTCAGAAGTAAGTAATAGTTTATCAATAATAATATTGAATGTAAATGGACTAAACTCTCTATTATGAAGACACACACAGACTGAAAATAAAGGGATGAAATAAGATATCCCATGCCAATAAAAGCTAAAAAAGAGCACGAGTGGCTATACTCATGTTAGACAAAAGAGATTTCAAGACAAAAACTATAAGAAAAAACAAAGAGGCTCGCAATGCAATGATGAAGCTGTCAACTCAGTAAGTGGATATAACAATTTTAAAAATACTTACACCCAACACTGGAGCACCAAGATATGTAAAGCAAATATTACTAGAGCTAAAGAGAGAGATCCCAGTACAATAATAGCTCAATATTTCACTCCAGTTTGAGGAATGTATAGTTCTTCAAGACAGAAAATCAACAAAGAAACATCAGACTTAATCTGCATTATAGACCAAATGGACCAAATAAATATTTATAGAACATTTCATCCAATGGCTGTAGAACGCACATTTTTTTTCCTCAGCACATGGATCATTTGCAAGGACAGACCACATGTTATGTCACAAACAATTATTAAATCATTGAAAGAAATTGAAATGCTATCAAGCATCTTCTCTGGCCACAATGGAATAAAACTAGAAATCAATAACAAGAGGTATTTTTGAAACTATACAAATACATGGAAATTAAACAATATGCTTTTGAGTAACCAGAGGGTCAATGAAGAAGTTAAAAAGGAGACTTAAATATTTTTTGAAACAAATGATAACAGAAAAAGAACATATCAAAACCTGAGATACAGCAAAAGCAGTAATCAGAGGGAAGTTTATAGCTGCAAGTGCCTACTTTAAAAAAGAAGAAAAACTTTAAAAAACAACCTAATAATCCATATTTTTATTCTGTTCTCATGCTGCTAATAAAGACATACCTGAGACTGGGTAATTTATAGAGAAAAGAGGTTTAATAGACTCACACTTCCATATGACTGGGGAGGTCTCACAATTATGGTGGAAGGCATAGGAGAAGCAAAGGCACATCTTACATGGCACCAGGCAATACAATACATGGTATGCAGGGGAAACTCCCATTTATAAAACCATCAGATTTTGTGAAACTTATTCACTACCATGAGAACAGCATGGGAGAAACTGTTCCTATGATTCAATTATCTCCACCTTGCCTGGTCCCTGACACCTGGGGATTATTATAATTCAAAGTAAGATTTAAGTAGGGACACAGCCAAATCATATCATTCCACCCCTGCCCCTTCCAAATCTTATGTTTTCATGTTTCAAAACCAATCATGCCTTCTCAGCAGTCCCCCAAAATCTTAACTCATTTCAGCATTAACTCAAAAGCCCACAGTACAGTCTCATCTGAGACAAGGTAAGTCCCTTCTGCCTATAAGCCTATAAAATCAAAAGCAAGTTAGTTACTTCCTATATACAATGTGGGTACAGGCATTGGTTAAATACACCCATTCCAAATAGGAAAATTTGGCCAAAATTAAGGGACTACAGGCTCCATGCAAGTCTGAAATCCAACGAGGCAGTCAAACCTTAAAGCTCTGAAATAATCTCCTTTGATTCCATGTCTCACATTCAGATAATGTTGATACAAGAGGTTGGCTCCCATAGCCTTGGGCATCTTTTCCCCTGTGGCTTTGCAGGGTACAGGCCTCCTTCTGGCTGCTTTCACATGCTGGCATTGAGTGCCTGTGGCTTTTCCAGGTGGACAATGAAAGCTATTGGTGGATCTACCAATCTGCAATCTAGAGCATGATGGCCCTCTTTTTACAGCTCCACTAGGCAGTTCCCCAGTGTGAACTCTAGTGGGGGCACTGACTCCACATATCCCTTCTGCACTGCTCTAACAGTGGTTCTCCTTGAAGTCTCCACCCTTGCAGCATAATTCTGCCTGGACATCCAGGAATTTTCATACATCCTCTGAAATCTAGGTGGAGGTTCCCAAAACTCAATTCTTGACTTCTGTGCACCCACAGGCCCAACACCATGTGGAAGCTGCCAAGGCTTGGGGCTTGCAGCCTCTGAACCAACGGCCTGAGCTCTATGTTGGCCCCTTTTAGCCATGGCTGGGATGCAGGGCACCAAGTCCTGAGACTTCACAAAGCAACAAGGCCCTTGGCCTGGCCTATGAAGCAATTTGTTCCTTCTAAGCCTCCAGGCCTGTGATGGGAGGGGCTGCCCTGAAGACCTCTGACATGCCCTGAATAAACTTTCCCCACTTTCTTGGGAATTAAAATTTGGCTCCTCATTACTTATGCAAATTCTACAGCCAGCTTGAATTTCTCCTCAGAAATGGATGGGTTTTTCATTTCTATAGCATCATCAGACTGCAATTTTTCTCAGTTTTTACGCTCTGCTTCCCTTTCAAACGTAAGTTCCAATGCCAAATCTTACATTTGTGAATACATAAAACTTAATGCTTTTAACAGCATCCAAGTTACCTTTACTACTTTAAACTTTTTTCTGCCAGGTGCCCCAAATCATCTTCTTTCTCAAGTTCAAACTTGAACAAATCTCCAGGGCTAGGGCAAAATGCCACCAGTCTTTTTGCTAAAACATAGCAAGAGTAATTTTTATTCTAGTTCCCAACAAGTTCCTCATCTCCATCTGAAACCACCTCATCCTTGATTTCATTGTCCATATTACTATCACCATTTTGATCAAAGCCATTCAACAAGTCTCTAGGAAGTTCCAAACATTCCCACATCTTCCTGTCCTCTTCTGAGCTCTCCAAACGGTTCCAATTTCTGCCTGTTACCCAGTTCCAAAGTCATTTTCACATTTTCAGGTATCTTTAGAGCAGCGCCCCACTCAACTGGTACCAATTTACTGTATTAGTCTGTTCTCACGCTGCTAATAAAGACATACCTGAGACTGGGTAACTTATAAAGGAAAGAGATGTGATGGACTTACACTTCCACATGGCTGGGTAGGCCTCACAATTATGGCAGAAGACAAAAGAAGAGCAAAGGCATGTCTCACATATCAGCAGGAAATACAATACATGGCATGCAGGAGAACTCCCATTTATAATATTATCAGACCTCATGAAACTTATTCACTACCCTGAAAACAGTATGAGACAAACCACCCCCTTGATTCAGTTATCTCCTCTTGGCCCCCCATCTTAACACATGGGATTATTATAATTCAAGGTGATATTTGGCTGGGGACACAGCCAAGCCATATCAATTTTAAAGAATAGAAAAGCAAGAGTGAAACAAACCCATAATTAGTAGAAGAAAATAATAGTAAAGAACAGAAATAAATGAAATTGAAATAAGAAAACAATCCAAAAATCAATAAGAAGTTTTTTTGAAAAGTTGAACAAAATTAACAAAACTTTAGCCAGAATGAGAAAAAAAGAGAAATAATTGAAGTTAATAAAATCAGAGATAAAAAAGGAGAAATTACTACTGATGCTGCAGAAATTTAAAAGATCATCAGTGGCTACTATAAACACCTATATGCCAATAATTTGGAAAATCTGGAAGGAATGACAATTCTAAGACACATAAAACCTACCAAGATCAAAGCATGAAGAAATCCAAAAACCTGGAAAGACCTATAACAAGTAATAAGATCAAAGCCATAATAATGTCTCTTAGTGAAGAAAAGCACAGGACCTAATGGCTTCACTGCTGAATTCTAACACACATTTAAGGAAGCACTAACACTAACTCTATTCAAACTACTCAGAAAAGTAGAGGTGAAGGGAATAACCATATGATCATTTCAATTTATGTTGAAAAAGCCATTTGATAAAATTCAACATCCTTCATAATAAAAATCCTCAAAAAACTTGGTATAGAAAGATGATACCTCAATCTGATAAAAACTATGTAGGGCAGGCCCACAGCTATTATCATACTGAATGGGGAAAAAATGAAAGCTTGTTTTCTAAGATTTGGAATATGAAAATGATGCCTACTGTCACCACTGTTCTTCATTCAATATAAAATAGGAAGTCCTAGCTACAGCAATTAGACAAGAGACTGATATACAGGACATCCAAACTGGAAAGAAGTTAAATAACCCTTGTTTGCAGATGGTAGTTTCCTATATTTGGAAAAAACTAAAGACTCCACACACACACACACACAAAAAACTATTAGAACTGATATATTCAGTAAAGTTGCAGGATACAAAATCAACATACAAAAATCAGTAGCATATACATATGCTCACAATAAATAAACTGAAAAAGAAATTAAAAAGTAATGCCATTTACAATAGGCACAAATAAAATAGTCATGAAATGATTCATGTATCTCTACATACATGGCTAAGTCATATTAACTGATATATATTTATATATGGATATATATATCTGGATATATATTTATATATGGATATATATATCCGGATATATATATTTATAATTATTTATTCTGATAGCATATAATATCTAATTATGGTTTTAGCTTACATGTATTTAATAGCTAATGATGTTTATTATTACACCTATCTCAGATGCATAATTTCCAAACATTTTCTCCAATTGTGTAGGTTGTCTTTAACTCAGCTGATAGCTTCTTTTGCTTTGCAGAAGCTTTTTAGTTTAGTTAGGGGACTATTGTCAATCATAATGGTTTTTTGGTAATTATTTTGGTGTCTTTGTCATGAAATCTTTGCCAGGCCTATGTGCAGAATAGTAGTTCCTAGGTTGTCTTTCACGATTTTAATAGTATTAGGTTTTACATTTAAGTATTTAATTCATCCTGAGTTGATTTTTGTATATGGTGTAAGAAAGGGGTCCAACTTCAATTTCTGACTATGGCAGCCAGTTATTCCAGGACTATTTATTAAATAAGAATTCCCTTCCCCATTGCTTATTGTTTTCAACTTTGTCAAATATCAGTTGGTTGTACATGTGTGACTTTATTTCTGTGTTCTCTATTCTGTTCCGTTGGTCTACGTGTCTGTTTTTGGAGCAGTACCATGCTGATTTGGTTACTGCAGCTTTGTGGTATAGTTTGAAGTTGGGAGACATGATGACATCAGCTTTTATCCTTTTGCTTAGGATTGCCTTGGCTGCTCAAGTTCTTTTTTGGTTTTATATGGATTTTAAAATAATTTTTTCTAATTCTATGAAGAATGCATTGGTTTGATAATAACATCATTGAATCTGTAAATTGCTTTGCAATATGGCCGTATTAACAATATTGATCATTTTATCCATGAGTATGAAATGTTTTTCCATTTGTTCTTGTCATGGCAGATTTCTTTGAGCTGTGTTTTGTACTTCTTATTGTACTTTGTATTGTACTTCTTATTGTAGATTTTTTTATCTGTTAGCTGTATTTATAAATATTTTATTCTTTTGTGGCTATCGTGAATGGAATTGCATTTTTGATATGGCTCTTTCCTTGGACATTGTTGGGGTATAGAAATGCTACTGACGTTTATACACTGACTTTGCATCCTGAAACTTTGCTGATGTTGTTTATCAGAGGTAGGACATTTTGGGCAAAGACAATTGAGCTTTCTAGGTATAGAATTACATCATCTGCAAACACACATTTTTTGACTTCTCTTCCAATTTTGGATCTCTCACTCTCTCTCTCCTGATTTCTGTAGCTAGGACCTCCAGAGATATGTTAAATTGGGGTGGTGAGAGTGGGCATCTTTTCTTCCCTTTTTCTAGGTCTCGAGAAGAATGCTTTCAGCTTGTGCCCATTCAGTATAATGTAGGCTATGGATTGGTCATAGATGGCCCTTATTTTAAAGTATGTTCCCCTAATGCCTGGTTTTTTAGTGTTTTTAACATGAAGGGACATTTGATTTTATTAAAAGTCTCTTCTGCCTCTATTGTTACGGCCATGTGGTTTTCTTCTTTTGATTTTAGGTTTTTTAATGTGGTAAATCACAAATAATTATTTGTGTATATTGAGTCAACCTTGCATTTCAGACATAAAGCACAGTTGATCATGATGGATAACTTTTTTTATATAGAGTTGGATTCATTATCTCAGTGTTTTGCTGAAAGTTTTTGCCTCTATGTTTATCAGCAATATTGAACCAAAGTTTGTTGTTGTTGTTGTTATGTCTCTGTCAGGTATTGGTATCAGTTTAATGCTGGCTTCATAGAAAGAGTTAGGAAGAAGTATTTATTGCTCAATTTTTCGGAGTAGTATTTTGTTGAAGATTTTTGCATCTATGTTCACCATGGATATTGGTCTGTAGTTTTGTTGTTGTTGTTGTTGTTACCAAATCCAACAGCATATCAAAAACGTAACCCACCATGATCAAGTGGGTTTTATACCAGGGATGCAGGGATGGTTGAACATATGCAAGTCAATAAATGTGATACACCACATAAACAGAATTAAAAACGAAAATCACATGATCACCTCAAGAGATGCAGAAAAAGTATTTGACAGAATCCAGCAGAATGAAAATGGACTAATACAGAGGGCTGTATCTTTCCAGTAATTTTTCTATCTCTTCTAGGTTTTCTAGTTTATTTACATAAAGGTGTTAAAAGTAGCCTTGAATGGTCATTTGTATTTCTGTTGTCTCGGTAGTAATATCTCCCGTTTCATTTCTAATTGAGCTTATTTTGATTTCTTCTCTTCTTTTGTTGGTTAACCTTGCTAATGGTGCACTAATTTTATTTATATTTTCAAAGTACTAGCATTTGTTTCATTTATCTTTTTGTTGTTGTTTCACTTTCATTTAGTTCTGCTCTGACCTTGATTATTTCCTTTGTTTTGCTTGATTTTTGTTTGTTTTTTCTTGTTTCACTAATTCCTTTAAGTGTGACTTTAGATTGTCTATTTGCGCTCTTTCAGACTTTTTGATGTAGGCATTTAAGCCTATGAACTTTGTCCTCTTAGCACCGCCTTCGCTGTTTCCCAGATGTTTTTATACATTGTGTCAAAATTATCATTCAGTTCAAATAATTTTTATAATTCCATCTCGATTTAATTGTTGACCCATTGATTATTCAGGAGCAGGTTATTTAATTTCCATGTATGTACATGGTTTTGAAGGTTCCTTTTGGAGTTGATTTCCAGTTTTATTCCACTGTGTTCTGAGAGAGGACTTCATATGATTTCAATTTTCTTAAATTTATTGAAACGTGTTTTGTGGCCTATGCTATAATCTATCTTGAAGAAAGTTCCATGTGCTGATGAATAGAATGTATATTCTGTGGTTGTGGATGGAATGTTCTGTACATTTCTGTTATACTTGAAGGAATAAAAAAAGAAAACTTCCCCTGGTGTAGTTTAAATCCATTGTTTCTTTGCTGACTTTCTGTCTTGATGACCTGTCTAGTGTTGTCAATGGAGTATTCAAGTCCCCCAATATTATTGTGTTGCTGTCTATCTCATTCCTTATATCTAGTAGTACTTGTTTTATAAATTTGGAAGCTCCAGTGTTAGGTGCATATATATTTAGGATTGTCATATTTTCCTGTTGGACCAAGGCCTTTATCATTATATAATGTCCCCCTTTGTCTTTTTAAAGCGCTGTTGCTTTAAAGTTTGTTTTGTCTTATGTAAGGATAGCTTCTTCTACTCACTTTTGGTGTCCATTTGCATGGAGTTTTTTTTTTTTCTTCCCTTTACCTTAAATATTATATGAGTGATTATGTGTTAGGTAAGTCTCTCAACAGCAGTGGATACTTGGTTGGTACATTCTTATCCATTCTGCCATTCTGTATCTTTTAAGTGGAACACTTAGGCCATTTACATTCAATGTTAATATTGAGATGTGTGGTACTATTCCATTCATTGTGCTATTTGTTGCCTGTATACTTTTTCTTTTTACTGCATTTTCTTTTATATATTATGTGAGATTTGTGCTTTTAAAGACGTTATGTTTTTACATGTTTCCAGGATTTGTTTCAAGATTTAGAGCTCCTTTTAGCAGTTCTTGTAGTGCTGGCTTGGTAGTGGGGAATTCTCTCAGCATTTGTTAGTCTGAAAAAAGACTATCTTTCCATCATTTAGGAAGCTTAGTTTCACTGGATACAAAATTCTTGGCTAATAATTGTTTTGTTTATGGAAGCTGAAGATAGGACCCCAATGCCTTCTAGACTGTAGGGTTTTTGCTGAGAAATCTGCTGTCAATCTGGTAGGTTTTCTTTTGTAGTTTACCTGGCACTTTTGCCTCCTAGCTCTTAAGATTCTTTTCTTCACCTTGACTTTGGATAACCTGATGACAATGTGCTTAGGTGATGATCATTTCGTGATGAATTCCAGAGGTGTTCTTTGTGCTTCTTTTATTTGTATGCCTAGGTCTCTAGCAAGACTGGGGAAGAGGAAGTTTTCTTTTTTTATTCCTTCAAGTATGTTTTCCAAAGTTTTAGATTTGTCTTCTTCCTCAGGAACACCAGTTATTCTTAGGTTTGGTCATTTAACACTATCTTAAACTTCTTGGAGGCTTTGTTCATTTTTTTAAATTATTTTTTCTTTGTCTTCATTGGATTGGGTTAATTTGAAAACCTTTCCTTTGAGCTCTGAAATTCTTCTTCTGCTTGTTTGATTCTATTGAGGAGACTTTCCAGTACATTTTTTATTTCTCTGTTTCCTTTATTTCCTGAAGTTGTGATTGTTTTTTTAATTTATGCTATGTATTTCACTGAAGATTTCTCCCCTCATATTTTGTATCTTTTTATGATTTCTTAAATTGGACTTCACCTCCCTCTGGTGTCTCCTTGATTAGCTTAATAATTGACCTTCTAAACTCTTCTTCAGGGAATCACATATTTCTCCTTAGTTTGGATCCATTGCTGGTGAGCTGGTGTGCTTTTGGGGTGTATTAACAAATCTTGATTTGTCGTTACCAGAATTTTTTTTCTCTCTCACTTGAGTAGGCTGTATCAGAGGGATGAACAGGGGTTCAAGGCAGTTGTTCCAATTCTTTTGTCCCATGGGTGTTCCCTTGATGTAGTACTCTTCTCATTTTCTTAAGAATGTGGCCTCCTGAGAGCCAAACTCTAATGATTGTTATTTCTCTTCTGGAGCTAGCCACCCAGCAGGGCTACCAGGTTCTGGGCTGGTGCTGAGGCTTGTCTGCACAGAATCTTGTAATGGGAACCGTCTTCAGGTCTCTCTACCATGGATAACAGCACCTGCTTTGGTGAAGGTGGTAGGAGAGTGAAATGGACTCTGTGAGAGTTCTTAGTTTTGTTGGTTTAATTCACTATTTTTGTGTCAGTTGGCCTCCTGTCAGAAGGTGGTGCTTTCAAGAGAGCATCAGCTATAGTAGCGTAAGGAGGATCAGGTGGTGGGCAGGGCTCTAGAACTCCCAAGAGAATATGTCCTTTGTCTTCAGCTACCAGGGTGGGTAGCAAAGGACCATCAGCTGGGAGCAGGGCTAGGCATGTCTGAGCTCAGACTATTCTTGGATGGGGCTTGCTATGGCTGCTGTGGGGAATAGGGGTTTGGTTCCTGGGTCAATGGAGTTATGTTCCCAGAAGGATTATGGTTGCCTCTGTTGTGTCATGCAGGTTGTCAGGAAAGTAGGGGAAAGCCAGCAGTTACAGGCCTCACCCAGCTCCCATGCAACCCAAAAGGCCAGTCTTACTTCCACTGTGTTCCACGCAACAGCAGCACTTGGTTTGCTTCCAGGAAGTGGGTTGAGAACTTGCCCCAGGCTACCAGCCCTGGCTGAAAAAGCAAGCAGGACTTTCCCCCCTCCCCAGCTGTTGAGTCTGCACAGCAGATTTATGCCCTCTCCCAAGTTCTAGCCAGAAGACTTTGCATTTGGTTAGAATTATTTTTTTTTTTTATTTATTTTTTTTTTTTGAGACAGAGTCTCGCTCTGTTGCCCAGGCCGGACTGTGGACTGCAATGGCGCAATCTCGGCTCACTGCAAGCTCCGCTTCCTGGGTTCACGCCATTCTCCTGCCTCAGCCTCCCGAGTAGCTGGGACTACAGGCGCCCGCCACCGCGCCCGGCTAATTTTTTGTATTTTTAGTAGAGACGGGGTTTCACCTTGTTAGCCAGGATGGTCTCGATCTCCTGACCTCGTGATCCACCCGCCTCGGCCTCCCAAAGTGCTGGGATTACAGGCGTGAGCCACCGCGCCCGGCCTTGGTTAGAATTATTACCACATTCAGCTGGAGGTTTCTTTCTCCCCGTGGTCTTTTCTCAGTTCTTCTGGCAGTCCTCCCCAAGGATCCTGCATGAAACGAGTCAGAGACAGCTTCCCCGGGGACCCAGAGAACCCACAGGGCATTTCCAGCTTCTTTCTCTAATCCTGTATTTCGTTCAGCTTTCTAAATTGACTCAGCTCCAGGTAAGGTCAAATCCTTCTCCTGTGATCTAAACCTTCACTCACTCACCCTTTCCCTTGTTGGAGAGGTTCTTCTGGCTCCATGCTGAGGCCAGACAAGCTGGTGCCCAGCTTCACTCCTCTCTGTTCTCTGTGTCCCCATGCTGCCATGATGGATCCTGTTGTGGTGCCTCAAATGATCAGCCTACATTGTCAGTGTTCACTAGCTCTTTGTTTCCTCTCCATGAGAGAAGCACACATTCATTGCTTCTAGTTTCCATCTTGTTGCCATACAATTTTTATTTATTGCTGTTTTCATTTTAAAAATTAGTTATTTTTCACCTTTAAAGTCTTTAGATTTTCATAGGTATATTTCTCCATGTCTTTTTTTTCTGATTATTTTTATTATTACATTGTCCTTGTTTGATTTTGTTATCGGGATAAGTACAGCCTCATAAAATGTTCCCTTTTCTTCCATTTTCTGAAATAAATTGTGTAAATGTGTTATTAATTCAGTTTTAACACTTGGTAGAATTGTCCAGTGAAAGCATTTCAGCCTGAAGATTTGTTTATTAAAATATTTTAAGTTATAAACTCAATTTTAATATTTTTAGTTGAATTTTGGTAGTTTGTGATTTTCAATTTACTGATAATAAATTAATTTGAGGTATTCTTTCATCTTTTTCTAATGAATGCAAAATCTGTACTGAAATTTCCTGTTTCATTTGTGATATTAGTGATTTATGTCTTCTTTACATCCCTCTCTGTCTTACTAGAGGTTTATTAATTGTAGTAAATTTTTCAAAGTGCCAAGTTTTGTTTTAATTACTTTATAAATGTTTCTCATTTTTGTTTTATTGATTTTATTGTTCCTTCCAATTGCTTTTAGTTTAATTTGCTTATTTATTAAAATTTCCCTATACAGGACTTAGATTATTTAAGATCTTTCCTTTTTTAATACAAGAATTTATGTCCATAATTTTTTCTCTCATTACAGATATTGATATGTTGTATATACATTTCACTGAGCTCTAATTATTACTTTTTTATTTTCTTTTCAACTTGGTCTTTGAACCATGAAGTATTTCTGAGTGTACTGTTTAATTTCTAAGTATTTAGACAATTTCTCATTATCTCTGTGAAACTATTTTTTTTTAGTTTCATTCTATTATGGTCCAAGAACTTACTCTGTACCATATCAATTATTTTAAATGTGTTGATGCTACTTTTATGTACCACAATATGGTCTAACTTGGTGGATATTTAATGTATTCTTGAAATTATGTATTTTTCTATTCTTGAATGGAGTTTTCTATGTCTTCATTAAATACCATTTCTTGATTATGTTGGTCAGATCCTTTATATGCTTGCTGATACCTGACTAATAATTCTTTAAAGAGAGGTGTTTTTGTCCCCAGTTATAACTGTGTATACTCCTACTTTTCCTTTCATTCTATTTGTTCTATTTCTTTAAAACAAATTTTTATATTTTGAGGCTACACTGTTGAGGGAAAACATATCCAGGATCATTATATCTTCTAGGAGAATTGATGCTTCTATCATTATGTAAGGTCCCTCTTTGCCTCTAGTAATTTTCTTATTCTAAATTCTGTTTTATCAGATATTAATATAGACAATGTTGCATTATAAAATTAAAGTTAGAATGATATGCCTTTTCTCATCCTTTTACTTTCAACTTATCTCTTTTGTTGCATTTGAACTAAGTTTGTTATAAACAGCACATATTTGGAGCTGTGTTTTTTAATCACTCTGCCAATCTCTTTCCTTAATATGTGTATTTAGACCATTTACATTTAGCATAATTTTTGATGTTGTAAAGATTATATCTTGTTTATTAGTATTCCTGTTGCTTTGTTTTCTCATTTTTATGAGTTACTTAAACGCTTTTCTTTAAAATTTTATCTTTATTTATTTGGAGGGCTTTTGAGTGTGCCACTTTTATGATTTCTCAGAATTAACTCTAATTTTTACCAAATACTTATGTGACATCACTGTTTACTTTGATTGCAGTATGAAAACATGAAAACCTAAGTACTCTCTAGATCTTTCTTCCATTCAGAATTTTAAATATTATTGTCTTGATTATAATTTTTAAATTTTATTTCAATTATCACATATAAATTAGAAAATTTATTAGAAGGATAGTCTTATATAGGTACTAACATTTCTACTTTCTGTTTTTCTTGCTTCTCTGCTGATGCTCCAAGATTTCTTCTTTTATGATTTTCATTGTGTTTGAAGAACTTCCTTCAGTCATTATTTAATTGTTTGTCTGCTTGTGACAGAAAATTGTAGTTATATTTTATCTGACATTGCCTCTATTTCTTCCTTATTTTTTAAAAAAAGTTTCACCAGATTTGCTATATATATATATATATATATATATATATATGGTGTATATATATATATATATATATGGTGTATATATATATATATATATATGGTGTATATATATATATATATATATGGTGTATATATATATATATGGTGTATATATATATATGCTGTATATATATATGGTATATATATATGGTATATATATATTTGCTATATATATAGCAGATCTGCTATATATATATATTTGCTATATATATAGCAGATCTGCTATATATATTTGCTATATATATGCTATATATATGCTACATATATGCTATATATATGCTATATATATGCTATATATATGCTATATATATGCTATATATATGCTACATATATGCTATATATATGCTACATATATGCTATATATATGCTATATATATATGCTATATATATGCTATATATATATGCTATATATATGCTATATATATATGCTATATATATGCTATATATATATGCTATATATATGCTATATATATGCTATATATATAGCATATATATATAGCTATATATATGCTATATATATAGCTTATATATATGCTATATATGCTATATATATGCTATATATATAGCTATATATATGCTATATATAGCTATATATATGCTACATATATGCTATATATATGCCATATGTATGCTATATATATGCTATATATATATGCTATATATATGCTATATATATATATATATATATATATATATATGGCCATATATGTATATATGGCCCCAATATGTGGTGTGTGTGTATATATATGTGTGTGTGTGTGTGTGTATGTGTGTGTGTATATATATATGTGTGTATATATATGGCTATTATATGTATATATGGCCCCAATGTATGGCATATATATATATATATATATATATATATATATATATATATATGGTTTATAATTCTTTATTTTTAGCACTGAAAAAAATACTATGCCACTTCCTTCTGGCCTCCATGTTTTCAGGTCATGAATGTCTTCAATGAAATTAGTGTACACCAATAGCCAATGCATCAGTTACCTCTGGCTGATTTAAAGATTTCTCCTTTGTTTACAGTTTTCAAAATTCTAATTTTGACGTCTTAAAATAGATTTATTTCATTTTTTTCTATTTGAAATTTTTAAGCTTTCTAAATTTGTATTTTTATGTTTGTCCCAAACTTTAGGGAGCTTTCAGCCATATTTCTCCAAATAATGTGTCATTTCCACTTTATCCTCTTCTTATGAGACTCCAGTAATCTGAATTTCGGATACTTTATAATTATACACAAGTCTTTGGTCATCTTTTGTCTATTTTCCCTCTATTGTTCAGATTGAATAAATTACATGAGCCCACCCTCAAGTTCGCGGATTCTATCTTCTGTCATTTTATTCTATCATTGAGCACATTCAGCAAATTTATGTTATTTAATTTTTAGTTCTACAGCTTCATTGCATTTTCTTTATAACTTTCATGTCTTGTTGAGATGTTATTTGTCTGTTTGTTTACAGATAATTTTTAAATTTTCTGCTGAATTAATTTTTAGGATGGTGATTTAAAATCATTTGAAAATTTAATTATCTAGTTCATTTTTATTTTATGTCATATAATTGTCTTTTCATATTCATAAGATAATTTTTCTTGTTCATTGCATGACAGGTGGTTGTCTTTTCTGTACTGAGTGTTTTGTCTCTTGTTTTCAGAAACCTCACGTTCTTTTTAGTTTTTTCTAAATTTTATCACACAATCACCATGCAGATTTTGAACACAGGTTCTGATGTATTTTTTGGGCTGGTATTCCTATGACATTCTAATTTTTAGAATATTTTTAATGAAATTTGGTCTACTTATTTTACTTCATGCTGCTGGAGCTCTTACTGCTCCCTACTGATGCTGCTTGAGGAAAATAATGGAACTTCTCTGGTTGTGCTGCCTCATGTCTGTAATGGGTGAAGGGAGTGTCAAGGCCTCTCTCAGAGAAACACTGAGTCATTTACTGGATTTTTTTTTTAAATTGGGATCACCATTTTTGGGATCACCATTTTTGAGATCATCTGGCTTCCTAGTGTCACTTTGTGTACTAAGAGAGTTTTAAGACTGCAGTGACAGAGTTTCCCTGAACTGGACACTTGTCATGGTGACATTTCCCTTGTCTATGTTTTTCAGTTGTGTGGTTTCTCTGTATGGAAGTGAGTCCCAGGCACAGCAGGAGAGAAGAGCACTTTTTCTGGACACTTATTGTCAGTGGGATTTCCCATAGAACAGATCATCATTGATCTTTTTATTAATGTAGATGGAACCCCCATTAAATGAAAATATGTGCACACCTGGGTGGTTTTGTGTTGTTGAGAATCAGCAAATCTGGGCCAGGGTCACCATTTTTCTGTTATGTGTGGAATCATAAGGTTCATTAGTTCTCTATTTTTTCTTAAGTTTCTAGAATCCCTAACCAGTTTGCCTTTATTTTTTTCTGCTTAGCATTCTCCTTTGCCTGTATATTACCTTATATCAGGAAAGTATAGTTGATGAAGAGCAGGAAGAGATGAGCCTATGCCATCTTAACTGGTCTGGACATTCCTGTGAGGCATAGATAGTTAAGGTATATTTTCATTAATTTAGTAAAGACAATTTTAAGAAGGAATCATTTCTCCCCAAAACACTTGACATGAATTTTAACCCTGCTTTAAGAAGATTAGATAGCTACATAATCATATTCCTGTTTCCCTGTGTGAGGACTGACTAGATATTTAATTTTCTGTGAAAATATCATCACTTATTTAAAATTCACCAGTTTATTCATTCTTATCTTGAATTCACACACATTCCAACTACCTGAACACATTTTGATGTATTTTCCAAATTTAAGGACATTCATTTCTTCCATTTTCATGAACCTTTATGGGTGATCAAAAAGAAAATATTTCTGTGGTCCAAAGAGATTATGTTTAGGTTTTATAGTTTCGTTTCTTTTTTCTTTTAAAAGAAGGAATTCAGATGTTGGGGCTAAATACAAAGAACCATTTAATAGCCATATGCACACATTTTAATAATGATATAATAAATATAATTATAATATACTTATTTGTTTAATGTAAACTAGGATACTAAATTTAAAGTTCAGCTGGAAAAAGATTATTTGTAAGTAGAGGAAAAAATAATATAAACATTATTATATAGAATGTGGAATATTGGACACTCAGTATATTTATGTTCTGTCTTTTAGAATATTAATTAGGTGGGAATAGAAAACTAATAGAAGTGGGAAATCTTGAATGTTCAAATAATTTTACATATTTCTGCTCTAGAAATAGAATAAACAGACTTTATGTTGTAATGGCAGAAATTAAAGAGAGGAAGCGTGGTCTTCTCAATTTTGGATTGAATATCTAAATCACTGAAAAACTTAAAGCATATCACTGATAGTTGAACTAAACACAAAAAAAAGAATAGCGTCTACTTATCATATCTTTAGGATTGATGGATTTAATAAAATAATCTTGAAAGATACTGTCCACCATTAAAGTACAAATAAAAGACAAACAAAATAAGCACATCAAGAGGTTGAATGGACCAAATAGCATGACAAACAAATACTTCAAAAACTTAATAAGATCTATTCAATAACCCAAAATTAAAAAAAAAAAGGCGGGGGGGTGTATAATATGTATAATATGGGTGAAAGTTGTAGGTGCCAGGGAAAATGACTTTTGTCAGGCCCAGACAAAATAGGGCCAGGAAAGCATGAAGAGAGGAAGCTTATACCTACATATCCGGGATAAGGACTGTTTCCAAGAACATTCCAAAACCCCACAAGAAATTCCTGTACATTCTTCAAGCATGTCCTTTTCATGGCTTACATATTTCACACATATACTAACATTTCTATGACAAGGTAGATATTCCTTAGACATTCCCTAGAACTGCAGTAATTCGGACAAGATATTGTCAAAAAATACTTGCCCAGTTAACAGCATCTCCACCAATGAACTGATAACCACTCTGACTTTGGATCTCTGGAACCAATGAACACTATTTCTAAGCAGCTTCTCTCTCCCTTTCTAAGCAGTGACCCTCTCCCTTTTTGCTAGGAAAAGCTTCCTTTTGCCCTTCCCTCAAAGTATGCCCTTGTGGCATCCTAGGTTATAATCTTCATTTCTCATTCCAAGTAAACTCAACATATTTGGAGAACATTTTCTGTAACGGAGATACTTAAAGAACAATTTATTTGGTTTCTAAATCGCTCAAGTAGTAGGGAATTATTCTCTACCTCCTTGAAAACTAACGCATTATGTGGAATTCTTCTGCAGGAGAGGTTTGTATATTCTCAACTCTATTCAATAGTTATTTGTATTATTACAGACTCACTGATACTGAGTTAATTTTGTTGCTCAAATTGGCCCAGATTGGTGACTGAGAGCTCTTTCAGTGGATTCTGTGTCCTTCCACTCCCCCAATCATTGTTTGGTTTTGCATGCTTAGCACTTTCTTACTTTCTTACACCCTAGACTTACACATTTTCTGTCTCAGTCCTAGAGTCAGCCATTTCTCCAAGAAGCCCTTGTTCCTTTTTATGGGAGAAAGATATTAGAAATCAGAATCTGAGTATAAAATATGCATGTTGTTACTGGAGAGTCATTGCTTCTAGTCTCTCTCAACTGATAGAGGAAATATATATATATGTGTGTGTGTGTGTGTGTGTGTGTGTGTGTGTGCGTGTGCATGTGTGTGTGTGTATTAGCCAGAACTTTGAAGATGTGATTAAGTTAGGAATCTTAAAATGAGATTAAGGTCCTTGTAAGAGGGAGGCTGGAGAGTCAGTGTCAGAGGAAAAGACAGGAAGATGGAAGGAGAGGCCTAAGTGATGCAATTGCTGGCTTTGAAGGTGGTCGACAGGACCAGGGCCATGGAATATAGGCAGCCCCTAGAAGCTGGAAAAACAAGAGGGTGAATTCTCCCCTAGAACCTGTAGAAGGAATGCAATCCTGCTACACTTTGATTTTGAAGAACAAACCCTATTTTGAATTCTCACCTACAGAACTCTAAGATACTGATTTATTTTATTTCAAGCCACCGAGTTTTGTGAAACTTTGCTGTGGCAGCTGTAGAAACTTGATATACTGATTTTAGGAGAATTCACACTGAAATTTTGCAACTCAAATCCGTTGCTATATGAATCATTTTATTCTACTACTCTTGCTTACTTATACTCTTCCATTCCAATTGTGAGAAACTTGGCTCCCACTATCTGCCATCCATGTACTTGTTTACTTCTAGTATATATGTTTTACAGTGGTTCCAGAATTGGTAACCTATACACCATGGGAAATGACTTTATCAAGAAGAGTACACTGATTATGTAGGTTTCCTTTGGATTTCAATCATTCTGACTCTCCTTATTTCCAAGTTATTAGTCCAGCACCTCTGCTCCCCACCTTCAGTAAATTGGTCACATGCATTTGTGACACAGATTATTTTGGCACATTTGCTTTACACCACTGAATCGTCTGAATTCCTGATTTTGTAAGTTTAAATACTTCACTTTGTGATGTAAAGTTTCATGCACGGAATTTAAAAAATTGTGTCATGTTTCTATTATTAGAGTATCATATAGAGTGTTACACCATCCTAAATAATCCTCTGCACTTCATTTATTTAACACCCCCAACCACTAATCTCTGACAACTTCTCATCTGTGAACTATTTTTATAGAATATAGCTTTGAAGCTTTGAAGGTTTGCATCTATCAATTTGCAATAGGCACTTAAAATTCATCTGTGTCAGTGTGTAGTTTGATAGCTCACTTTATTTATTTATTTATTTTTTTGACAGTTTCACTCTTGTTGCCCAGACTGGAGTGCAGTGGTGTGATCTCAGTTCACCCCAACCTCCGCCTCCCAGGTTCAAGCGATTCTCCTGCCTCAACCTCCTGAGTGGCTGGGATTACAGGCATGCACCACCATACCCAGCTAATTTTGTATTTTTTAGTAGTGATGGGGTTTCTCCATGTTGGTCAGGCTGGTCTCAAACTAACAACCTCAGGTGATCCTCCTGCCTCGGCCTCCCAAAGTGCTGGGATGACAGGCATAAGCCACTGAGCCGGCTAGCTCACTTCCCTTTTTAGCTGTGCTGCAGTTTGATTATCCACTCATCTATTGAGAGTGGATTTGGTAGCTTCCAGGTTTTGAAACTCATAAATACAGGCCGGGCGCGGTGGCTCACGCCTGTAATCCCAGCACTTTGGGAGGCTGAGGCAGGCGGATCACGAGGTCAGGAAATCAAGACCACCCTGGCTAACATGGTGAAACCCTGTCTCTACTAAAAATACAAAAAAATTAGCCAGACGTGGTGGCGGGCGCCTGTAGTCCCAGCTACTCGGAGAGGCTGAGGCAGGAGAATGGCGTGAACCCGGGAGGTGTAGCTTGCAGTGAGCCGAGATCGTGCCACTGCACTCCAGCCTAGGCGACAGAGCGAGACTCTGTCTCAAAAAAAAAAAAAAAAAAAAAAAAAAAAAAAGAAAATCATAAATACAGATGCTATGAATGTTTGCACATGCATGTTTTTGAGTGGGCATAGGTTTTCAAACTAGTTGGGTAAATAACAAGAAGCGTGATTACAGTATTACGTGGTAAAACTATTTTTAGCTTTGAAAGAAACTGCGAAACTACCGTCCAAAGTTGTTAATATCGTTTTGCATTGTACAAGCAATGAGTGAGAGTGCCTGTGCTTTACATCCCCGTTAGCATTGGGCATTGTCAGTTTTAGGGAACTTATCCATTCTAAAAATATTGGTGGTAACTCATTATTATTTTATTTTGTATTTCCCTAATGACAGATAATGCAGAAGATATTTTGCTTTGGTTTATTTGCATCCACTTATCTTTTCATTGCATTTTCCACATCTTGCCCATTTTAAAACTGGGTTGTATTCTGGTTGTTGAGATTTGAAGGTTGTTTATAAGATAGGTGTTTTGCAAATATTTTCTCCCAGTGTGGCTTACGTTTGCCTGCTCTTAAAAATGTTCCTTGTGGAGAAGATTTAATCTTAATAAAGTCCAACTTGTCATTTTAAAAAATTGAACATGCTTTTGGTGTCGTATCAAAAAACTCACAGCCTAACCAAAAGTCAAAGATTTTTGTTAATGTTATCTTTTAGAAGTTTCATAGTTTTGTATTTCAGATCTACAATCCATTTCCTATGTTCTGTATCTAGTGTACTCTAATTCATAGAGCCAGAAGTAGAATGGTGGTTGGCGGCCACTGCTGGAATGGACTAAATGGTAGTTACTGTTTAATGGGCACAGAGTTTCAGCTTTGCAAGATGGATGGAGTTTTGGAGATGGATGGTGGTAATGATTGAACAACAAATTGAAAATACTTAATACCCCTGAGCTGTACCCTTGAAAATGATTAAGATGGGTTGGTTTCAAGCCTTTGCTATTGTAAATAGTGCTACAGTAAACATACGTGTGCATGTGTCTTTTTAGTAAAATGATTTATAATGCTTTGGGTATATACCCAGTAATGGGATTGCTGGTTCAAATGGTATTTCAAATGCTGGGTCAAATGGTATTTCTCATTCTAGATCCTTGAGGAATCTCCACACTGTCTTCCACAATGGTTGAACTAATTTGCGCTGCCACCAACAGTGTAAAAGCATTCCTATTTCTCCATAGCCTCGCCAGCATTTCCTGTTTCCTGACTTTTTAATAATAGCCATTCTGACTGGCATGAGATGGTATAAAGAAAATGTGGCATATACACACCATGGAAAACTATGCAGCCATAAAAAAGAATGAGTTCATGTCCTTTGCAGGGACATGGATGAAGCTGGAAGCCATCATTCTCAGCCAACTAATACAGGAACAGAAAATTAAACACTGCATGTTCTCACTTATAAGTGGGAGTTGAAAAAGAGAACATATGGACACAGGGAGGGGATGATCACACACTGGGACCTGTCAGAGGGTGGGCGACAAGCGGAGGGAGAGCATTAGGACAAACACCTAATGTATGTGGGGCTTAAAACCCATATGATGGGTTGATAGATGCAGCAAACCACCATGGCATATGCATACCTATGTAACAAACCTGCGCATTCTGCACATGTATCCCAGAACTTAAAATTTTTTTAAAAAAAGTTTAGGATAGTAAATTTTATGTCGTGTCTATATTGCCACAATAAAAAATAATGTATAATTTTAAGTATTAGATTTAGATTTTTGACCCGTTTTGAGTTGATTTTTATACATGTTGTAAGATATGATTCAACTTCAACTTTTTGCCTGTTGATATCCAGTTGTTCTGGTACCATTTGTTGTAAAGAATATTCTCTCTCCATTGAGTGGACTTGGCACACTTGTAAAAAATTAGGCTGGATGCAGTGGCTCATGCCTGTAATTCCAGCACTTCAGAAGACTGAGGTGAGAAGATCACTTGAGCCCAGGAGTTTGAGACTATCCAGTGCAAGATTGCAAGACCTCATCTCTATAAAATAATTTTTAAAAATTATCGGGTCATGGCAGCACCTGCCTGTAGTTCCAGCTACTCAGGAGGCTGAGGTGGGAGGATCCCCAGAGACCAGGAGTTCAACATTTCAGTGAGCTGCAATCTCACTTTGCACTCCAACCTGGGCAATAGAGAAGACCCCCATCTCTTTAAAAAAATCAATTGACCATGGATGTATGGGTATATTTTGGGTTTCCCAATTCTATCTTATTGATCTATATGTGTTATCTTTGTGCCAGTTTGAAGCTGGGACGTGTGACTCTCCTTATTTTGTGTTTGTCTTTGAAAGATTGTTTTGGTTATACTTGGTACCTTGCAACATATGGACTTTAGATACAGTTTTTCAATTTCTATGAGAAGACAGCTGAGATTTTGATTAATTGCATTGCATCTGTATCAATTTGTGAAGTAATGACATCTTAATAATGTTAAGTATTCTAATACATGAATATGGGATATTTTTTCAACTTATTTAGATCTTCCTTATTTATTTCAATAACGATTTGTAGTTTTCAATACATACATTTCTTTTTCTTTAGATACATTTATTCCTAAATATTTCAGTTCTTTTGATACTATTATTAATTGAATTATTTTCTTTTTTAAATAATTATGACTGGCCAGGTGCAGTGGCTCATGCTTGTAATCCCAGCATTCTGGAAGGCTGAGATGGGTGGATCACTTGAGGTCAGGAGTTTGAAAACAGCCTAACCAATGTGGCAAAACCCCATCTCTACTAAAAATACAAAAATTAGCTGGATGTGGTGGTATGTGTCTATAATTCCCGAGTAAGAGGCTGAGGCACAAGAATCACTTGTACCTGGGAGGTGGAGGTTGCATTCAGCTGAGACCACACCACTACATTCCAGCCTGGGTGACTCTGTCTCAAAAAATATTTTAATAATAATAACAATATTTGTTTTAGATTCAGGTATTACATGTGTAGTTTGTTTGATGTTAAAATTTAGGCCATGAATTATCTCATCACCAAGGTAGTAAGCATAGTACTCAGTAGGTAGTTTTTTTGGCTCTTGCCCCCCCTCATTTCCCCCTCTAGTAGTCCCCCATGTCTATTGTCCCCATATTTTTCATACCCAATGTTTAGGTCCCACTTATAAGTGAGAACATATAATATTTGGTTTCTTCTGTTTCTTTGTAAATTTCCTTAGTATAATGGCCTCTAGCTCTCTCCATGCTGCTGCAAAGGACATGATTTCATTCTTTCAGATGACTGTGTAGTAGGCTATGGTGCATACGTACAACATTTTCTCTATTCAATTTATTGCTGATGGGCACCTGCATTGATTCCGTGTCTTTGCTATTGTGAACACCGCTTCCATGAACGTAGTAATAGGATTGCTAAGTCAAATGGCAGTTCTGAGTTATTTGATATATTTCCCAACTTTTTTTGCAGCAGTTGAACTAATTTACATTCCCACCAGTAGGGTATAAGTATTCCCTTTTCTCTGCAGCTTCATCAGCATCTGTTATTATTATTATTATTATTTTTCTTTTTAATAAAAGCCATTCTGGGAGGGACCAATATGGCCAAGTAGGAACAGCTCCAGTCTGCAGCTCCCAGTGAGGCCAATGCAGAAGGCGGGTGATTTCTGCATTTCCAACTGAGGTACCTGATTCATCTCAATGGGACTGGTTAGGCAGTGGGTGCAACCCACAGAGAGTGAGCAGAAGCAGGGTGGGTGTTGCTTCACCTGTGAAGTGCAAGGAGCTGTAGGACCTCCCTCCCCCAGCCAAGGGAAGATGTGAGGGACTGTGCTACCCGGCCTGGGTACTATGCTTTTCCCACAGTTTTGCAATCCGCAGATTAGGAGATTCCCTCATGTGCCTACACTACCAAGGCCCTGGGTTTCAAGCACAAAAGTGGGTGGCTGTTTGGGCAGACACCGAACTAGCTGCATGAGTTTTTTTTTTTGGTACCCCAGTGGTACCTGGAACCCCAGCGAGACAGAACCGTTCACTCCCCTGGAAAGGGGACTGAAGCCAGGGAGCCAAGTAGTTTTCGTTCAGTGGGTCCCACTCCCATGGAGCCCAGCAAGCTAAGAACCGCTGGCTGGAAAATCTCACTGCCAGCACAGCAATGTGAAGTCAACCAGAGATAATCAAGCTTGGTGGGTGGAGGGACATCTGCCATTACTGAGGCTTTAGTAGGTAGTTTTCTCCTGACGGTGCTAAGGGGGCTAGGAGGTTTGGACTGGGTGGAATTCATCACAGTGTGGCAAAGCAGCTGTGGCCAGACTGCTTCTCTAGATTCCTCCTCACTGGGCAGGGTATTTCTGAAGGAAAGACAGCAGCCCCAGTAATGGGCTTACAGATAAAACTCTCATCTCACTGGGACAGAGCACCGGGGGGAAGGGGCAGATGTGGGCACAGCTTCAACGCATTTAATCTTTCCTGCCTGCTGGCTCTGAAGAGTGCAGCTGATCCGGACAAGCAGGATTCTGCCAGCACAGCACACAAGCTCTGCTAAGGGACAAACTGCCTCCTCAAGTGGGTCCCTGATCCCTGTGCCTCCTAACTGGGAGAGAACTCCCAAAAGGGGTGGACAGACACATCATACAGGACAGCATCAGCTGGCATCACTCTGGTGGCCCTCTAGGGTGAAGCTTTCAGAGAAAGGAGCAGTTAGTAATCTTTGCAGCCTCCAGCAAACTGCAGCAGACCTGCAGAAGAGGAGTCTGTTTGGTAGAAGAAAAACTGACATACAGAAAGGAGCAACATCAGCATCAGCAAAAAGAGATTCCCACACAAAAACCTCAAACAAAGATCATCAGCCTCAAAGATCAAAGGTAGATAAATCCACGAAGATGAGGAATAACCAGTGAAAAAGTGCTGAAAATTCCAAAAAACAGACTGCCTCTTCTCCTCCAAATGATCGCAACTCCTCTCCAGCAAGGGCACAAAACTGGAGGGAGAATGAGATTGACAAATTGACAGAAGTAGGCTTCAGAAGGTGGGCAATAACAAACTCCTCTGAGCTAAAGGAGCATGTTCTAACCCAATGCAAGGAAGTTAAGAACCTTGATAAAAGGCTAGAGGACCTACTAACTAGAATAACCAGTTTAGAGAAGAACATAAATGACCTGATGTAGCTGAAAAACACAGCACGAGAACTTCGTGAAGCATACACAAGTATTAACAGCCAAATCGATCAAGTGGAAGAAAGGATGTCAGGGATTGAAGATCATCTTACTGAAATAAGGCATGAAGACAAAATTAGAGAAAAAAGAATGAAAAGGAATGAACAAAGCCTCCCGGAAATATAAGACTATGTGAAAAGACCAAACCTGCAATTGATTGGTGTACCCGAAAGTGATGGGGAGAATGGAACCAAATTGGAAAACACACTTTAGGATATTATCCAAGAGAACTTCCCAACCTAGCAAGACAGGCTAACATTCAAATTCAGGAAATACAGAGAAAACCACTAAGATACTCCTTGAGAAGAGCAACCCCAACTCATATAATTGTCAGATTCTCCAAGGTTGAAATGAAGGAAAAATGTTAAGGACAGCCATAGAGAAAGGTTAGGTTACCTACAAAGGGAAGCCCATCAGACTAACAGTAGATCTCTCTGCAGAAACCTTACAAGCCAGAAGAGAGAGGGAGTCAATATTCAACATTCTTAAAGAAAAGAATTTTCGACCTAGAATTTCATATCCAGCCAAACTAAGCTTTATGAGTAAAGGAGAAATAAAATCATTTACAGACAAGTAAATGCTGAGAGATTTTGTCACCACCAGGCCTGCCTTACAAGGGCTCCTGAAGGAAGCACTAAATATGTAAAGGAAAAAACAGTACTAGCTACTGCATAAACACACCAAAATATGAAGACCAATGACACTATGAAGAAACTGCATCAACTAATGTGCAAAATAAGCAGCTAGCATCGTAATGACAGGATCAAATTTACACATAACAATATTAACCTCAAATGTAAATGGGCTAAATCCTCCCAATTAAAAGACACAGACTGACAAATTGGGTAAAGAGTCAAGACCCATGGGTGTGCTGTGTTTAGGAAACGCATCTTACATGCGAAAACACACACAGGCTCAAAATAAAGGGATGGAGGAATATCCACCAAGCAAAAGGAAAGCATAAAAAGCAGGAGTTGCAATCCTAATCTTTGATAAAACAGACTTTCAACCAACAAAGATCAAAAAAGACAAAGAAGGGCATTACATAATGGTAAAGGAATCAATGCAACAAGAGGAGCTAACTATCCTAAATATATATGCACCCAGTACAGGAGCATCCAGATTCATAAAACAAGTTCTTAGAGACCTACAAAGAGACTTAGACTCCCACACAGTAGTAGTGGAGACTTTAATACCTTACTGTCAACATTAGATGGATCAATGAGACAGAAAATTAACGAGGATATTCAGGACTCAAACTTAGCTCTGGACCAAGCAGACCTAACAGACATCTACAGAACTCTGTACCCCAAATCAACAGAATATACATTCTTCTCAGCACCACATAGCACTTGTTCTAAAATTGACCACATAATTGGAAGTAAAACACTCCTCAGAAAATGCAAAAGAATGGAAATCATAACAAACTGTCTCTCAGACCACAGTGCAATCAAATTAGAACTCAGGATTAAGAAACTCACTCAAGGTCAGGCGTGGTGGTTCACACCTGTAATCCCAGCACTTTGGGAGGCCAAGGTAGGTGGATGACGAGGTCAGGAGATTGAGACCATCCTGGCTAACATGGTGAAACCCCGTCTCTACTAAAAATACAAAAAATTAGCTGGGCGTGGTGGTGGGTGCCTGTAGTCCCAGCTACTTGGGAGGCTGAGGCAGGAGAATGGTGTGAACCCTGGGAGGTGGAGCTTGCAGTGAGCTGACATCATGCCACTGCGCTCCAGCCTGGGTGACAGAGCAAGACTCTGTCTCAAAAAAAAAAATATATATATAACTAGAAAGAGCCCAGTTTCATGCACAAACCCACACACACATACATATATCTAAAACATTACCGGGGATTTTTTTCAACTGAAGAACTGATAAAAAATACTTTAAGTAAATTAAATGTATTTTGTATACTGTTGATCAACAAATTGTAATCTATAAATCTATAGCACTGAAGTCTATAACATGATATTTATAATGATATTAACCCTTTAATGTTTGTTTACTGGCTTTAATATCTAGCCAGTAAACATGTTCTATATTCTGGACCAGTCTAGGTTATTCCTCTTATAGTTCATATTTTGCAGACACTCTTGTGTGAGTCTTTAATTTTATTGTGTCATTCTTTCAATATTGGTCACCTCTTTTGTTAGGTCATTCATTACTACTATCTGCTAATGTGTTTTTTCTTTTTAGAATGTGCATCTTTAAATGATTAAAGCTCAATGGAAGATCTAAGGAGTTATGTGAACATTAAGAGTGATTTGTTTTCTCCAATGATGTCTTCAATAGATCTCACCTACCTGCTTTATTCATTTTTCTGATATGATGTGTGTATATTTGCCTTGGGGTATTTTTAGCTGTGTGCTTATATATAGTGATGGTGTATTCTCTTGCAGGTCTGGAGAGGAGGGGAACAGGATAGGGTCATTCCAAATGTCTTTTAATGGAAACAATCTCTTACACCGTTCAAGAATGAAATCAAAGGTGCAAAGCAACACAGCACATCCTCTATCCTCATTGTCCTTCTTCAACTAATCTCAATATAAGCAGGCACCAAACATAGTAAACAGCATTGCTTTTAATTAGTAGTTTCTAGGGTGCAAAACAGTTAGGATACAAGCATAACTGGTAGACTTGTACTATTTCTGAGCTTCTAATGACTGTAACATGACAATTTTAACTAATATGGGATTCTTTGGAAAAAGAGGCAATAGGATAACCTGAAATAATCAAATTAATGTGTTTACAATGAGTATATATAAGTAAAACACTATAAAATAGACATATTTATAAAATAACATATTTATGAAAATAATGTAATAGACATCCAGATACTTTCGGTGGCTCAAGCCTGTAATCCCAGCACTTCGGAAGGCCAAGGCAGGCAGATCACGAGGTCAGGAGATTGAGACCATCCTGGCTAACACGGTGAAACCCCATCTCTACTAAAAATACAAAAAATTAGCCAGGCTTGGTGGTGGGTGCCTGTAGTCCCAGCTACTCTGGAGGCTGAGGCAGGAGAATGTCATGAACCCAGGAGGTGGAGCTTGCAGTGAGCCAAGATTGCACCACTGCACTCCAGCCTGGGTGATAGAGTGAGACTCTGTCTCAAAAAAAAAAAAAAAAAAAGAAACTCACTGAAAGCCACACAGCTACATGGAAACTGAACCACCTGCTCCTGAGTGACTACAGGGTAAATAACGAAATTAAGGCAGAAATAAAGAAGTTTTTTGAAACCGATGAGAACAAAGACACCACTTACCAGAATCTCTACGACACAGCTAAAGCAATGTTAAGAGGAAAATTTATAGCCATAAATGCCCACATCAGAAAGCTTGAAAGATCTGAAATCAATACCCGAACATCACAATTAAAAGAACTGGAGAAGCAAGAGCAAACAAATTCAAAAGCTAGAAGACTACAAGAAGTAACTAAGATCAGAGCAGAACTGAAGGAGATGGAGACACAAAAAATCCTTCAAAATATCAGTGAATCCAGAATCCGGTTTTTCGGAAAGATTAACAAACCAGATAGACCACTAGCTAGACTAATAAAGAAGAAAAGAGCATAGAATTAAAACACAATAAAAAGTGATAAAGAGGAGATCACCACTAATCCCACAGAAATACAAACTACCATCAGAGAATAATATAAACACCTTTATCAAATAAACTAGAAAATCTAGAAGAAATAGGTAAATTCCTGAATACATACACTCTCCCAAGTCAAATCCCCAAATAGATCAATAACAAGTTTTGAAATTGAGGCAGTAATTAATATCCTACCAACCAAAAAAAAAAAAAAAAAAAAACCCAGGACCAGATGGATTCAATTGAATTCTCCCAGACGGATTCACAGTCGAATTCACCAGACATACAAAAAGGAGCAGGTACCATTCCTTCTAAAACTATTCCAAACAATAAAAAAAAAAGACTTCTCTCTAACTCATTTTATGAGGCCAGCATCATCCTGATACCAAAATCTGGCAGAAACACAACACAACAAAAAAAAGAAAATTGCAAAAATACTCAATAAAATACTGGTACACCAAATCCAGCAGTATATCAAAAAGCTTATCCACCACAATCAAGTCAGCTTCATCCCTGATTCAACATATGCAAATCAATAAACATAATCCATCACATAAACAGTACCAATGACAAAAACCATATGATTATCTCAATAAATGCAGAAAAGGCCTTCGATAAAATTTAACAGCCCTTCATGCTGAAAACTTTCAATAAACTAGGTATTGATGGAATGTATCTCAAAATAATAAGACCTATTTATGACAAATTCATAGCCAATATCATAATGAACGGGCAAAACCTAGAAGCATTCCCTTTGAAAACTAGCACAAGACAAGGATGGCCTCTCTCACCACTCCTATTCAACATAGTATTGGAAGTTCTGGCCAGGGCAATCAGGCAAGAGAAAGAAATAAAGGATATCCAAATAGGAAGAGAGGAAGTCAAATTGTCTGTTTGTAGATGACATGACTGTATATTTAGAAAGCCCCATCATCTCAGCCCAAAACCTCCTTAAGCAGATAAGCAACTTCAGATAATCTATTTTTAAAAAATATTTCCACCTTTATTAATGATCTTGGCTAGATCTTCTAAATAACTTCTGCAGCTTTTACATCAGCATTTGCTGCTTCACTTTGCACTTTTTTCCCCTGAATAGTATAGTATTGTGTGTGTGCATATATATATATATATATATATATATATGCATCACATTTTCTTTACTCATTCGTCTGTTGATGAACACTTAATTTTATTTTATTTTTTATTTTTATTATACTTTAAGTTCTGGGGTACATGTCACTTTGCACTTTTATGTTATGGATATAGCATCTTTTCTTAAACCACATGAACTAACTTTGCTGTCTTCAAACATTTCTTTTATAGCTTCCTCACCTCTCTCTGCATTCATAGAATTGGAGAGAGTTAGGACCTGGCTCTTGGTTAGGCTTTGGTTTAAGGAATGTTGGAGCTGGTTTGATCTTCTATCCAGACCACTAAAACTTTCTTCATATTAGCAATAATGCTTGTTCATTTTCTTATTGTGTGTTTACTGGAATAGCAGATTTAATTTCCTTCAATACCTTTTCCTTTGCATTCACAACTTGGCTAACTGGCACAAAAGTCCTACCTTTCAGCCTATCTCAGGTTTTGACATATTTTCCTCACTGAGCTTAATTATTTCTAACTTTTGACTGAAAATGAGAGACATACAACGATTCCATTTACTTGAAAATGCAAAGACCTTTAGGGGTAAATTAATTTCTATATTTTTGTGTCTTGGGAAACAGGGAGGCCCAAGGAGAAGAAGAAAGATGGCGGAACAGTTGGTCCATGTAGCAGTGAGAACACACACAGAATTTTATTAGCTACTTTTGCCATTTTACATGGTGATAGTTCATGGAGACACAAAGCAATTACAATAGTAGCTTCAAAGATCACTGATTACAGGTCACCAAACTGATATAATAATAATGAAAATATTGAAATATTGCAAGAAAAACCAAAATGTAACACAAACACATGAAGTGAGCACATGCTGTTGGAAAGAGATATGAACTCAGGGTTACTACACCCCTTCAATTTGTACAAAACACAATGTTTGCCAGGCATAATAAAGCAAAGCATGAGGTATGAAATGAAAATGAAAATGAAATGAGGTATGCCTGTACTTATATCTGTTATTTTACTTTTTGTTTCCCATTTGTCTAATATCATTTTATTCATGTATTTCTCCTCACTGTTTCCTTTTGATTGAGTATATATATTCTATTATGCCCTTTAACTTGTTTAATAATTTCTTTATTATTTTTCGAGTTATAATTTAATGATTTCTCTAGGATTTGTCAAATGCATCTGAACTTATCAGAATTAACTTCATATTAATACTTGTCAAATTCCAGTGAAATAGAGAAATATTATCCTTACATAACTATTTCTTTTTCTCCTTTTAGTGATATTATTATTATCCATATTATACCTATCACTATTACGAATTTAACAATACATTCTTATGCTTATGACTTTACCATTTGTAGTCATTTCCTCATCCAAATATAGCATTGCTCCCTTTCAACCTCTTTTGTGCAGTTCTGTTTGATATGTTATATGGCCCAAAAATACATTGGATGCATATTGTTTTATACAATTCATTTTTAAACTAGTTAAGAAAAGAAAGGAGAAACAAATTCCTTAATATTTTTTAAATAATTACCTTTGCCAGTGCTCTTCATTTGTTCATGTGCATTGCAATTATTTTCTTGTCTCACTTGTTTTCAGCTTGAATAACTTTCTTTAGTACTTCATGTGTGATATGTCTGTTAGCAATCAATTCTCTCAGTTCTTGTTTTTCTGGGAAAATATTTATTTCTCTTTCATTTTTGAAATATACCTTTGATGGATTAATGATTCCTGGTGGACAGTTTTTTTCTTGAGCACTTTAATATGTTATCTCACTCCTACTGGCCTCTACTATTTGAGCTTGGAATTAGCTATTAATAGTATTGATGTTCTTCTCTAAGTGATATGCCATTTTTCCTCCTGTTGCTTTGAAAATTTTTTTCCTTGTCTTTGATTTTTCGTATTTTACTATGAAGCATCTCTCTATGAATCTTTTTGTATCTGTCCTAATTGGAGTTCACAGAGTTTCCTGAATATATGTTATTATTTTTTAATAAATTCAGTAAATTTTTAGCCATATAGTTTTCATTTTTTTCTATTTTATTTCTCTCTTCCTGCTGTGCTCTATATGCAAATGTATAGTTCAGTTAATAGTGTTACACATTTCATTGAGTTTCTGTTCATTTTTATTTATTTTTTCTACTCTGTTCCTCAACTCACATAATATCCATAATCTATATCAATGTATCTTTGATTTGCTAATTATTTCTTTTTTTGCCACTTCAAATATACTGCTGATACTTTCTAGCAATGCTTTTATTTTTTAATTCTAGTGATTGTACTTTTCAGCTCCAAAATTAGTATTTTATTCCCTTTACATTTTATTATTGCTGACATTCTTTACTTCTGTAACATTTCCATCATACATTTATTTAATTCTTTATTTATGATTTCCTTTAATTATATAACAATGCATATCATTGTTCCTTTGTATTCTTTTTTTTCTATAGAATATGGCACGTGGTCACTCTGAGAGGCAATTGAAGTTGTCTACTTTTTTTTTTAACCAGTGTATACATCATATTTTCTTGTTTCTTTCCTTGCTTTATACTATTTTATTTGAAACTGGACATATGTAACAATGTATTGTAACAACCCCAGATATTGCCTTTGACCCCAGGAACTGGTTGTTTATTCTATTGCTTATTGACTAGATGGTTTATTTTAGTAAAGTCTATCACTCCCCAGTAAACCTTTGATATTGCTCCTCAAGGAGGTGCAACTTTTGGTTGCTCTGAGATGACAGTAGTATTAAAAGAACTCTCTTCATCTCTTTTGCTAATTGCACCACTCATTGTTGGCTAATTGTCTCTTATTTTTAACAGCTCCGTGTGACACAAATTGAACTTCAAACTAATTCAATAAAATTAAATGTGATTTATTCAGCGGAATAGTTTTTGATTTCAGTATTTGATATTTTTATTTACCTTATTGAGGAGAAAGATCCTCCACTTTTCCTATTATCTCAATCTCTCCTGAAAACTATTCATTTTTCTTCTGAAAACTAGTATAGGCCATGATATTATTAAATACGCAAATCCCCTCTGAATGATCTTTCACCACAACCTCCACTACTCTTGAGAGTGTCCTTAGACTTGAACTTTCCTATTTTCTGTTGTAAATAAAGTCAGTTTTTTTCTTTACTTAAGTGCTTGAGAAGTATTTATTTTACCATCTGCTTATTTTCTTAGACAAAAGTCCGTGAGCTAGAGCTCTAAAGCTGGAGGTAGGGCAACAAAAATCTTCTCTGTTAGTAACACCTTCTCTCCAGGACCCCAGTAATTAGTGGTAGGGAAGTGGCAAGTTGAGATCCTCTGGGCCTTTTGTCCTGCCATGAAACCACTGTGTCATGGTCAAGGAAAGCGTTATCTGGGCTGCAGTTTTCTCAATATGCCACAATCACATAGAACCTCAGTTCCAAAAATGGGAATAGATAGAAGAAGGAAACTCCTACCTCTTGACCACACAAATTCCAAAGTCTTATACTCAAAACCAAGTAACTTGAGATACAATAGAAAGCCAAACTCTTTTACCTTCCAGAGCAAAACCCCTCTGACTGGGAGCTGGGACAGAGGGACTCCTGTGTTTATATATGCTAAAGCCTAAAAAGAAGTTGTCATCTTGCTCATCTGGGAGGTTGGGGCATGGAAGGTTCTTGACTAAAATACCACAGACTCAGTTTTCTTAGCAAATTATTATAGATTATCTTGAACAGATATTTCTTCATTAACTGTGGGCCCTCAGAACAATTGCCAGAGATTTTTAACTGATTTTCTTTAAATAATTTTTATCAATTTCACTGGGAAGCAGGTCAGTGGAGCTTCTCATGATTTCATGCTCAAATAACTCTCCAATTGTTTTCTGTATTAATTGATATAATCATATGGCTTTATTTATTTACTTTATTGATACGATGGATTACATTCATGGAGTTTTTAATGTTGCACAGACTTGAGTAGATGTAGAGTAGATGTAGAGTAGTACTTGAGTAGATGTAGAGTTCCACTTGAACAGATAGAATAAGTCATAGTATATAATAATTTTATATATTGTATTTGATTTGATAATATTTTGTTAAGAATGTTGCACCTACGTTAATAAGAGACATTGGTTTTAAGTTTTCCTTTTTTCTAATAAATGTATCTTACTTTAATGTTAGAATAATGCTGGCCTCATAGGATGAATCATGATGTGTTGCTTCTGTTTCTATTTTAGGGAAGAGGTTATGATTAATTGGTATGCGTTTTTCTTAAATGTTTGACAGAATTCACTACAAAATTTCATTTTGATTTCGGTAATATTTCCTATGACTTTTATTCTTTTACATTGTTAATGTGTATTTTCGGACCCAAAATGTTGTCTATCTTGTGAATGTTCTATTTGAGCTTGAGTAGAATGTGTATGTTGTTTGTTTGTGGATGGATGTTGAACAATGTGGTGGTTGTAAATATCAGTTTCATTAAGTGGATTAACAGTGCTACTTAAGTTATCTATATTCTTATTGTCTATTTAATGTGTCAACTACTGAGAAAAGCATGCTAAAGTCCTCAATTATAATATTAGTTTTCCCTCTTTCTCCTAACAGTTCTATCCATTTTTATCAGTGTTTTCCTTTTGGATTTTGACACCATCTTTTTAGGTGCATATGCATTTAGGATTGCTATCTCTTCATGGAGAATTGACCTTTTATCATTATGCAATGCTCCTCTTTATCCTTGATAAGTTTCATTACTCTAAATTCTACGTGGTCTGGAATTGAAAACAGAAGCTACTTCTGTTTTCTTTTAGTTGGTGTTGGCAAGGTCTTTCATTAACCATATTTCAATTTTAATTTATCTCAGCTTTAATAGTTAAATTGGGTTATATTTATTTATTCTCTATTGCTTTTTTTTAAAGTAGACTCAAGTCTCTACAGACTAATTTTGCCATTTTTTTAAGCCTTAAATTTTTGTTGTTAAAAGGACACCCATTGCAGAAGGTGCTAAGAATTGAGATAAAGTTTTAGCTTGGGGCCAGGAGCAGTGGTTCACGCCTGTAATCCCAGAAGTTTGGGAGGCTGAGGTGGGCGGATCACCAGAGGTCAGGAGTTCAAGACCAGTCCAGTCAACATGGTGAAACCCCATCTCTACTAAAAATACAAAACTTAACTGTGTGTAGTGGTGAGTGCCTGTAGTCCCAGTTACTCAGGAGGCTGAGGCAGGAGAATCACTTGAACCCAGGAGGTGGAGGTTGCAGTAAGCCAAGGTCGTGCCATTGCATTCCAGCCTGAGAGACAGAGAAAAACAAAAAAAAACATTTAGCTTGAAGATTTTTGTAAACCATCTGAAATGGGCTGTGTTTTCTGCTTTATGTAGCTGCAGGTATAAAATTGTTCAAATCTCTCTACTATCTTTGTTTATGCCTCCCCTCTTGACTTTGGTCTTCTCTAAGTACTTCTCAGACAAAGTCTGAATCTTGAAGCTCTTTTAGCTAAAATTATCTTATTATACTGGGTCCCTTTAAGTGTGGTGGTAAGGTGTGGAAGAGCAGTGTTTTATAACATTTTGATTAAGTGTCAGTCCCTAACCCTTGTTGACTATGTTCCCTCCTACTTAGGTGAGATATAAAGCTAGAGGGGATGGAGTAGCAAGACTGTTCTTCCTCAACTGAGCTAATGTTTGCAGTCTTTTCTTCTAGAGTGAAGGTCTTTGTTATGCAAAAGATTCTAAGTGTATTTTGCAATAATTGCTCCTTCTTCCTACCAGGGCTAAAAGAGGATTTTTTTTTTTTAAGATTTTTATCATGTGTTTTTTGGCTGCATAAATGTCTTCTTTTGAGAAGTGTCTGTTCATGTACTTCACCCACTTTTTGATGGGGTTGTTTGTTTTTTTCTTGTAAATTTGTTTGTGTTCATTGTAGATTCTGGATATTAGCCCTTTGTCAGATGAGTAGGTTGCAAAAATTTTCTCCCATTTTGTAGGTTGCCTGTTCATTCTGATGGTAGTTCCTTTTGCTGTGCAGAAGCTCTTTAGTTTAATTAGATCCCATTTGTCAATTTTGGCTTTTGTTGCCATTGCTTTTGGTGTTTTAGACATGAAGTCCTTGCCCATGCCTATGTCCTGAATGGTAATGCCTAGGTTTTCTTCTAGGGTTTTTATGGTTTTAGGTCTAACGTTTAAGTCTTTAATCCATCTTGAATTTATTTTTGTATAAGGTGTAAGGAAGGGATCCAGTTTCAGCTTTCTACATATGGCTAGCCAGTTTTCCCAGCACCATTTATTAAATAGGGAATCCTTTTCCCATTGCTTGTTTTTCTCAGGTTTGTCAAAGATCAGATAGTTGTAGATATGCGGCATTATTTCTGAGGGCTCTGTTCTGTTCCATTGATCTATATCTCTGTTTTGGTACCAGTACCATGCTGTTTTGGTTACTGTAGCCTTGTAGTATAGTTTGAAGTCAGGTAGTGTGATGCCTCCAGCTTTGTTCTTTTGGCTTAGGATTGACTTGGTGATGCGGGCTCTTTTTTGGTTCCATATGAACTTTAAAGTAGTTTTTTCCAGTTCTGTGAAGAAAGTCATTGGTAGCTTGATGGGGATGGCATTGAATCTATAAATTACCTTGGGCAGTATGGCCATTTTCACGATATTGATTCTTCCTACCCATGAGCATGGAATGTTCTTCCATTTGTTTGTATCCTCTTTTATTTCCTTGAGCAGTGGTTTGTAGTTCTCCTTGAAGAGGTCCTTCACATCCCTTGTAAGTTGGATTCCTAGGTATTTTATTCTCTTTGAAGCAATTGTGAATGGGAGTTCACTCATGATTTGGCTGTTTGTCTGTTGTTGGTGTATAAGAATGCTTGTGATTTTTGTACATTGATTTTGCATCCTGAGACTTTGCTGAAGTTACTTATCAGCTTAAGGAGATTTTGGGCTGAGACAATGGGGTTTTCTAGATATACAATCATGTCGTCTGCAAACAGGGACAATTTGACCTCCTCTTTTCCTAATTGAATACCCTTTATTTCCTTCTCCTGCCTAATTGCCCTGGCCAGAACTTCCACCGCATATTCTCACTCATAGGTGGGAATTGAACAATGAGAACACATGGACACAGGAAGGGGAACATCACACTCTGGGGACTGTTGTGGGGTGGAGGGAGGTGGGAGGGATAGCACTGGGAGATATACCTAATGCTAGATGACGAGTTAGTGGGTACAGCACACCAGCATGGCACATGTATACATATGTAACTAACCTGCACATTGTGCACATGTATCCTAAAAGTATAATAATAATAAATAAATAAAATAAAAAATATAAATAAATAAATAAAAGAAATCATAATATATTGGAAATGTCATTTAAATGACAGTCTAGTTTTTTAAGAAAAATCAAAGTCCAGCTGAATCTTCAATAAATACCTTCAAAAAATATTATCATGTACAAAATAATAGGGTGACAACATTGTAGAAAATGATAGAAAAATTATTTATATGTCATGTGAATAATCACTATTTTTTTAATTCCAAAAGCCCACCGTGTCTTTAAGAGACAAGATTAGTAAAATGTTAATAATTGTTAAAACCAGATGATGGGTTAGTAAAGTTCATTAAATTAGTCTCTATTTTTGCATATGTTTAAATTTTTATAATAAAACATTTAAACATAAAAAAAAAAGATTTTTATCATGAGAACCTGATGGCATTCCTGGAAGTAAAGTACATGAAAACTGAGAGACTTCCCTAAGACTGCTGCCCCTAATGCATTTTTAACTCTCATGCTAGTTTTCACTTAGTTCTTAGGAATGAATCAGAATGGCCATTTATCTGCTGCTACCAGTTTATTACCAGTGACTTCTGCTCCAAGTAAGCAGAGCTCAGATGCAATATCCCTCTAGAAGTGCCTGTCACTTCAGATTCTGGAGTAACATTTCTCCTTTCAGGGTGATAATTTTTCTTTCAACCTAAGTTCTTTTGTGTTCTTTTAAAGTCCACACATTAGCGACTAGAAGAACTTGGGTCTGAATATTTAGTTGTTCTTCCTCTTCCTCAGCCCAGAAATGTAGAGCAATGCTTGAAAGGAAACCTGTAGGCATAGAGGTGCTTTCTTTTGTATTCTGAATTTTATTTCTGCTCATATTTATGAGACTCCTTTAACTATTTCCAAGAAAGTAGCAGTAATGGGACTTTAATGCTCTTTATAGCTGATAGGATTTGTTGCTTAGCACTTCAGTTTACATTTTTTTGCCCCAAACTGTAAGGTCTTCACATCAATCTCAGCCTCCAGCAGGGAAGATGACAAGCTTATCTGTATGAAAAGAGATATCTGTGAATGAATGCATTTTCAGGAATTCTGTGAGAGGCATTAAATATATCTACTCTAATAGCTTTCTATGACACTTGAACTACTTAACTAACACATATATTTTCTGAAGATCAATAATTTGAGAAGTGTTTTATTCAAATAAAAAAGACATTATCTCCTTAGGCAGGGTCACCTAGTACTTCAATATAGATTAGCAACTAATCTCAGAGAACAAATTTTTCGGGGACGAAAGAAAGCACCACGCCTGATAAGGTGCTGTGGTATGACCTAAAAGGAAGATGAGAGGGCTTTAAAGACAAGCTCATCCTAACTCATAGCCTTGCTGACAGTGATTCTAGTCATGAGCCAGTCAAACTACCCAGCATTTCCATCTCTGAGTGGAAGTGGAACTTTTTGCCTGCTGATTCACGTCCCTATTTAGTGTTCACATGCTAACCCATTTACTTATTTATTTAGTGCACTGCACAACTTTTTCCAGATCCAAATATTTGAATGGATTTAGGGTGAATAAACAGAGTCACTGTTTTTTTTTTTTCACCAATGTTCTTCAAAATAAACCAAATATATATGAACATGTGACTATTAAATAAACTTTAACAGAGGGGTGACCAGTCTTTTGGGTTCCTTTGCCCATACTGGATGAAGAAGAATTGCCTTGAACCACACCTAAAATACACTAACACTAATGATAGCTGATGAGCTAAAAAAAAAAAAAAAAAACTGTGAAAAAATTTCATAGTGTTTTAAGAAAGTTTACAAATTTGTTTTGGTCCACATTCAAAGCCATCCTGGGCCACATGCAGTCTATAGGCTGTGGGTTGAGCAAGCTTGTTTTAACACATAGAATAGATTGAAGAAAATTTTGTTTCAAATTAGCATACAATCCCATCACCCAGCATCAGAATAAAACAGTTTTTCGTGGTTTGTTCTTCCTAGTTAATATCCTACTGCATACAGAGTATTCTGACTTTTCTTGTGTCATTATGTTTTATACAATATTCACTTATGACTTTGCTGTATGGATAACCTTTCTAATGTATGCATACCATTCAATTAAGTTAAATTAACATCATTTTTATTACCGTCTTGCTGAAATTGTAGTTTGTTTTCAGTAATAATCTTTTAAAGACCACAGAAAAAAAAATGACATTTGTGTGATATTATACTTTTCATGACAATTTCAACTTGACATATTTCTTCAAATGGAACCACTGTATAAACAAGAAAGGACATATTTATATTGTCTGGTGAATTTTGTCTAATTGCCTTTCCAAAATTATCAATAATTTTGTCCTTTGTTTCCCCATTATAACAGTGTAATTATGGTTAAGCAAATTTGGGGAAATCATTTTTGACTCTTTTTTCACTCCAGAGGAACAAAAATTAGTTTTTAAAATTTTTATATGCATTGTTCCTACTATTTTTATTTACACATTTGTAAATTATTTATTTCTTCTCTTTCTGCTTTTTTAAAACACCAACTAGAGTTGAAGATTTTCTTTGCATCTCTGACATTAACAATAAAGTATATACTGGGCAATGGTGAGGCCATTACCAAGAAATCCTCACCAGAAATTAGGGCAGTGGAATTCACTGAGAAAACTTAGAGAATGGTATAATCACAGGTGTGTTGGTCCCCTTTGCCCATTTCTTCCTAGGGTGGTTTCCAGAGTTCTAGGAGCATTTCAGGGCAGACTGAAGGGGAGAAACCAGAAGCCCTGGGCAATGGAGCTTCTAATGTGTACATTCATGAACAGACCAGCCCTTTCCATGCTGTGAGTGGGTGCTGGGGTGCAATGGCAGTATAATGTGGTAGAAACATGGCTACAGCCCTATCCTTCTAGCTCAGCTTTATTGCTGATTTAAGCACTAGTTTGTAACTAGTTTCCATGTACATTTGTAGGAAACCAACTCCTTTGTGGGGGTACAACATGCAGGAGATAATAAAAAGTTAGTCTTTATCTTCCCTGTACTCCAATATTAACTATGATATCTATTGATTGAATTACTTGTGGTAAATAGCTTGACTTCTCTCTTTTTCAGTTTCTTTATCTCAATGATACTGACATAAAAACTTTGAATATTTACACATAAGAATGATTTAATGACGCTTAATTGAAAATGTTTATGTATGAAGTTATAGAAATTTTTCAGAAAATAATGATGATGTCTCTTTTCAGTCCATTACTAGAATCATGGTGAAATATACTTTAACATTAGAACAGTTTGGATGTTCTAATGTAGCTACAACCCCTGAAAATGGATCCTATGAGGATAGGCACCCAGTGACTATGCCATTTAACTAAGGTTACTTCCTTAGATATTGGTGATTGATCCAGGCCAGCTGAATTCTCTCATGTTAGGATTTGGAATGCAGAATAAATGAAGACAGATCCTGAAAATCACTGATGTTATTAAATTGTATTAGTCTGTTTTCATGCTGCCAATAGAGACATGCCCGAGACTGGGCAATTTACAAAAGAAAAGAGTTTAATGGACTTACAGGTCCTAGTGGCTGGGGAGGCCTCATAATCATGGTGGAAGATAAAGAGGAGCAAGTCACGTTTTACATGGATGGCAGCAGGCAAAGAGAAGGCTTGTGCAGGGAAACTCCCCCTTAGAAAACCATCAGATCTCATGAGACTTATTCACTATCATGAGAAAAGCATGGGAAACACCTGCCCCCATGATTCAATAACCTCCCACCAAGACCCTCCCACAACATGTGGGAATTCAAAATAAGATTTGGGTGGGGACATAGTCAAAACATATCATAAATAATAGGTATAATCTAAACAAAGACGTTTACACTCATACCCCTGCTGCTAATGCCTTCTAGATGCTTGCATTGCTTTTTTACTGAGTCATGTTTGTTCATCTCCTCCTTTAAAACCAACAGTCATTCTCCTTGTAGTCCATTATATTTGCCTTTTGTAACAAAGCTGCCATTGGTCAGAATCAGAGTCAGGGTCACTTGCATACAAAAGGAGAATCATTCTAATGGTATAATTACTCATGTCTATTTTTACTCATCTTATAGTAATATGGAGCCCCTTAGTGACAGGTAGGGGCAAACAAGTCCACATTGCTCACTTTTGTCCTGTTTCCTTTGACAAATCCTGATTTATTGAATGCCTACTAATTAAAAGACTCTTGTGCCAAAATTTTAGTTTTAGTACTTTTTCCCTTTACATTTTTTACAACTTTTTAATTTAAGAATTATCGTTACCTTAGCCAGGTCATGGTGGCTCACGCCTGTAATCCCAGCACTTTGGGAGGTGGGTGGATCACTTGAGGTCAGGAGTTTGAGATCAGCCTGGCCAACATGGCAAAACCTTGTCTCTATTAAAAATACAAAAATTAGCTGGGTGTGGTGGTGCTTGTAGTCTCAGCTACTTGGGAGGCTGAGGCAGAAGAATGGCTTGAACTTGGGAGGTAGAGGTTGCAGTGAGCCGAGATGGTGCTACTGCACTACAGCCTGGAAAACAGAGCAAGACTCCATATCCAAAAAAAAAAAAAAAAAAAAAAAAAAAGAATTAGTGATACCTTAGATGTGGAAACTAGAACTTGCAGATATTAAATACTTTGTTACTGTTCAAACAAGTGTAAAATTGCTGAGTAGCCTGCCTAATATCACAGTCAACTCTGTTTCTACTGTCACTCCACTTTCCTTTTTTGAACTTCAATATAAATAACAATAGATGATGAGAACTTTATAAAAGTCCATAGGTTACAGATACTTTATTTTGGCTTTCCAAGGGTTAGGCTGCTGACAAGGGAGTGGGAATGATCTTAGGGGAGGTAGTGAAGCTTTCTATCCTATGATAGTAACACCGAGATAGAAAACAGCATGCAGAAATATGCTTAGGGAACAATCTGAGGCAACACACCTGTGGGGATTGAAGAAAGTAGGCGTGGGCAGAGGGAGGAGTAGAACAGTATCACATTCAAAATGAAAACCTTAACTGATTTTGTAGGAGTGCAGGAGCTGGGTGGCACTCATATTTGCTCCACCTTGCATGAAGGAAAGAAGTCTTTATAACCCCACATATATCAGAAATTGGGTTAGGCTACTGACAAGAGGGCGGGAACGATCTTATCTTTGCTAAGATTCCCTACATCCTGAAAATACTTAGAAAGTTAATGAAGTTTTTCAGGAAATAACAGTGTCTCTTTTCAGACCATTACTAGAATCATGGTGAAATGTACTCTAACGTTACAACAATTTTGATGTTTTAATGTAGCTGTAATCTCTAAAAATGGATCCTATGAAGATAGAAATTTGGAGTGGGCTCTTGCGTTCCTGTGAAACAGCTTATATTTTCATTTTGAATGTGATACTGTTCTGCTTGTCACTCTGCCCACTCCTACTTTCTATCTGCATAAGATAGAAAGCTTTGCTACCTTCCCTAAGATCATTCCTGCCCCCTTGTCAGCAGCCTAATCCAATGTCTGATAGAAGTGGGGAAATAAAGACTTCTCTGGGTGTCACAGCATGGCCTTCACTGCAATTCATGTCTTGTGCCACTTGGATTCAATTCTTTGCATTATAAATTTAAGAAACACTTCCTGCAGAATTCTGCCTGGGGTCTTTTCCTGGGAAATCTTACAAAAAGACGAAATTAATTGGACATGTTATAGACCTTGTTATGGGTTGATTTGTGTCCCCTCACCCACAAATTCACATGTTCAACTTCTTGCCCACAATATCTCAGAGTGGAACTACATTGGAAATAAAGTAACTAAAGAGGTGATTGTGTTAGTATGAGACTCTTAGGATGGGATCCTACTTCAACATGATTGGTGGCATTGTAATAAGAGAACATCTGGACACATAAAGGGACAGCAGGGATGAGTGCACACAGAGAAATAGCCATGTGAGGACATATCCAGAAGGTGGCCATCTGTAAGCCAAGGAATGCCTCAGGAATAACCAAACCCACCAACACCTTGATCTAGAACTTCTAGTCTCAAGAACTGTGAGAAAAAAATTTCTGCTGTTTGAACTATCCATTGTGTGTTAGTTTCTTACGGTAGCCTGAGCAAACTATAACAGAACTCTTAGCTTTTTCTCATGTCTCAGTTGCACTTAATTGTCATTTTCTGCATCTCTACTGCAGATTCTAGATCGCTTCATTCTCAGCCACCAACTGTGCTGGAGTAGGTGGCATACATGGTAAAATACTTAGCATACTCAGACTAACATAAATTTTTCTACCACTGAATCTTGGTAACTTAGAGCAGTAACAAAAATTGCAAATGTTTAGACTCTGTTATTAAATTATAGTTCAAGCAGTTACTAAGTTTCATCATATTTTCTTGTGACAAATCATTTAAAAGCAAAATTGAAAATCTACAATATAACTATTCACTCTCATTAACTAATCTAGAGAGACAAATGTCTGTGCTATTGTTAGAGGAAACAAAACTGTGAAATATAATATATTGGCACCCATGATAAATAATTCTTCACCCAATACTTGAGAAGTTTCACTGAATTCCATGAGAGGGAAAGAAAAAGTACAGATAAGTACATTTAAAGAAATTACATCTTTAAATTTTATTAAAAATGACTAATGTATGGGCTGATCGTGGTGGCTCAAGCCTGTAATCCCAGCACTTTGGGAGACTGAGGCAGGCGGATCACCTGAGGTGGAGCGTTCGAGGCCAGCCTGACCAACATGGAGAAACCCCATCTCTACTAAAAATAAAAAATTAGCCGGGCATGGTGGCACATGCCTGTAATCCCAGCTACTTGGGAGGCTGAGGCAGGAGAATCGCTTGAACCTGAGAGACGGAGGTTGGGGTGAACTGAGATCACACCATTGCACTCCAGTCTGAAAAAAAAAAAAGAAAGACTAATGTATGAAAAGACAATTACATGGATTGCCGTCTCCTCAGAATATCAGAATTCTAAAATCAACAATTTATTTTGATTTGTGTAATTATGAATAACCTCTTTTATATTTGTTTAATCTAAGTTTTGTATTATGGTATTGTTTTAATAATAGAGTATTAATGTTTTGTATTCTTGAAGAGGAACTTAGATTCATATAGATGTAATTGTAGGAAGATTTTCTTTTCCTTCTGTAAAATGCCAATTTAAAAAGGGAGAATGGAAGAAGAGTTCAGAACCTATAAGAGTTTTTATTTACTACATGCATACACTCTGCTGTTAGATAAGAGTGAGCAACATTTAGGCTGGGGTCATCATTTAGTATTTTATATGAATTTATCTGAGGCCATAATGGGGCAAGAATATCTCTATTCTAAATAGCAGCTAAATGTTAGTTAACGCAGATAGGGACAAAACTAATAAATTCCCTTTTATTGTTGCATTAATTTATTTAACATGTATCTTATATATCCACATGCATTCCAAGAAATGGAAGACATTATGTTAAGTGAAATAAGCCAAGTACAGAAAGACAAATTTTCCATGTTCTTCCTCATATGTGGGAGCCAAACATTTAAAAAAATTAAACTCATGGAGACAGAGAGTCAAATGATAGTAACCAGAGGCTGGGAAAAGTAATAAGGAGGGTGATATAAAGTGAGGATAGCTAATGGGTACAAAAATATAGTTAGATAGAATGAGTAAGATGTAGTATTCAGTAGCACAACAGGGTGAATATAGTTAGTAATAATCTATTGTATATTTTGAAATAACTAAAACAGTGGAATTGTAATGTTCCTAACACAATAATAAATGCTTGAGATTTTGGCTATCCCAATGACTCTGATTTGATTATTACACATTGTATGCCTGTTTGAAGACATCGTAGGTACTTCATAAATGTATACAACTATAATGTACCCAAAATAATAAAAAGTAATTTTTAAAAAGAACTGTGAACTTGAGATGCTGCAATAAATAAAGGAAATGTCACTGTGTTCAGTGAAGTTATAATTTAGTGTTGGATTCCATTTTTTAAAAAGCATGGTTTGCGTGCTTGGCCCCTTGTGTTATTGGGGGTTTAAGCTAGCCTCAAGAAGATGAACTAGTATTTGTATTGTAGACAGTAAAGTACCAATTGCCACAGTCTGCTGACAGGTATATTTCTCAGTTTTTTTTTTTCCATTGAATACCAACTCTAATTGGAATATTTAGCAGTTTACAAAAATAAATTTAATTAAAAATACTGTGGTCTAAATAAGCCTTTTAATGTGAATATTTTTGAGCTTCTGTAACATAAATATGGTTATCAGGTATTCATGTCTTGCAACATTCAAACAACTTTTTCTACACATTATAAATTAGTGTCTGGAGTCTCTAAAGACAAAATGTCTGCTCCATTACTCCTCAAATGAGGGCAAAAGTACTTTTCTTCCTGGCTGATAGAATATTAGACACGATGCATGGAAAGTCTTTTTCAAGTTCCTTTTCTTTTGGTATCACTCCCTAGTTATATTCTTGACCTTATCCTCACTACTCACTCCCTTAGGTTAAACTATCGTATTTAGGTTAAACCACATGTGAGTTTTAACTTGTGTATATTTATGATGGTCAAAAGTCCCTATCTCAATCTCTGAGCTGAGCTTCAGATATAGATGTATCTTTTTGAGTATGCCACATACCTTGAAAATCAGCAAGTGAAAGAAGTGAGCTTGTCGTTTCCCACCTTCCCTTCCCAAATTTGTTATTTCTTCTAGGCCCCCTTAATGACTCTCATCCAGTGGAAAAAATGTAGGCATTATTCTTGATACTAAGCTAAAATATTACATATACACAAGATGCATAATGAATAAAATTGTTCATGGACTCAGGCCCCACCCAGTCCTTTGGACAATCCTCTGCATTATCTGCTTCCAGAGGGTAATGAGGAAGAGAAAGTGTGGTGGAAGCATAAACTTCTGGAAGGTCCCACAATTCTTCTGCTTAAAACCCATTGGCAAAACTAAACACATCTTGTATTCTTTCACAGCTATAGTTTAAACTATCAGAGTTGTTAGTTTTTTTTTTTTTTTTGTGATCGTCTTTTGCACTCTTTGTGTTTCCACTTAAAAGTAAGCTGACATTGAAAATTGTATTACATTTCAGTGCACAGCTATACCTAACACAGTATTTAGAATATAAGATTTAAAAATCTTGCTGCATAAATATGCGGCTATTTTTCCATTCATTTATGGATTCTACAAGTATGATTTGAGTATCTACTATACAGAGAAAATACTAGGAGCTATATATTAGTGAGCAAGACACACTTTTTCCTCATGAGCTTATGCATTAAAGGATGGAAACAAGAAATAAACCAAAGAGCAAATATATGTCACATGATGAGGTTACAGATAAAGTAAGGAAAATGGAGAATGCCAAGGCAGGAAGGTTATTTTGTAAAAAGTTTTCAGAGAGGTTCTCACTGAAAAAGTAGTATTTGAATAAAGATTTCCTGAATGAAGAGAGGCAATGAACCATACAGGCATCCTAGGGAAGATCACTCTGTAGCAAGAACGGCAAGGGTAAGGATCCTGAGGAAGACTCTTTTTGAATTAAGGCTACAATAAAGAGCTGGTGCATTGGAGTAGAATGAATCAGATGGAAAGTATCGAAAACGAGGTCAGAGATACAGCGGGGGTCCTGTTCTTATAGATCTGTGGTCCAGAGTAAAAGCATATCACTTTAGAATGAGAGGAGAAAATATTAGTGTTTGAACAGAGGACGAAGGTGAATTATGAGGCTACTGTAGTAAAAAAGGTGAGAGATGATGTGGCTTGAACCAGGGTGATGGCAGTGGAGGGGACAATATGGCCAGATTCTGGATATATCTTGAAAGAAAGCCCAGGAACTTCATCACAGGACTGGAAACACACAGTGGTTGCAAGGAGTCAATGATGGCTCCCATAGTTTAGGCCTGATAATGTAGTCATTAATATAGATCACCAAATATTTCTGATTGTTCTCAAACTAATGGATTTTCTTTCCTCTTCTTGATACATAGGAGATATGTATTCCATACCCTTTGCATTTGGGTATAGGCTCATACATGTATTTGTCCACTGAAATATGAATAGAAGGGATATGTGATCCTTTTTGGTGGCACTTTGAATTGCCAATATTTAATTCATCAAATATTCTTTATCTGCCTGCCAAAACCGGCAATGTCTCAGATACTGAATCCATCAGTGTGGATTCTGAAGTAAGGAAAAAATGGGGTAGGTCTTTAGCCTACTTCAAAGTTGATGTAGCATGAAAGAGAAGAATGAACTTTGTTGTTCCAGTTCACTGAAATTCTGGAGGCTCTTTGTTACTGTGGCATAACCTAGATCATGTGTGACTAATATAGGTAGAAATAGCATCTGGAAGGACGGGATCATATTTTACTAAGATTGAAATGACCAGGGTAGGAAGAACAATTAGAATTTTAGTTGGGCACATTGAATTGAATTGAAGTCCATCAGAAATTTAATTCTAAATGTTGCATAGGCAATGAATATAAGTCAGTATAGTTCAAGATAGAGGTCTTGGCTGGAAATAAAAGCTTAGAGTCCAGGAGAATTGAGCATTTAAAACAAGATTGTATGAGATGGTAAGAGTAGAGATTTTAAGACCTTGAAGTATGTCAATATTTTAAAGTTGGAGAGATAAGGGGGAAAAATGAAGACTGAAAAAGAATTGCCAGTAATGTAGACTGGATGGTGTCTCTATAGTTTAGAAAAAAATGTTAAAATGGAGGAAATTATCAAGTATGCTAAATGCTGCTGAGAATTTAAATATGATTGAATTTGAAAATTTACCATTGGATTTAGCAATGTGGAGATCATTAGCCCCTGCTTCCAAGATGGTGTCTTAAGTGTTGTATCCTCTAGAGGGGAAAATCTTTGTATCCTTATGTATGTAGCAGAAAGAGCAGAAGAGAGTAAACCCACTCCTGCAAGCCGTTTTTATAGCAACATTATTAATTCATGAGGGCAGAGCCTTCATGACCTAAACACTCCAAAAAAGCCTTGTCTTCCAACATTGTTGCTTTGGGGATTACGTTTCCAACACATGAGTTTTGGGGATTATAGTCAAACCATAGAAGTCGTCATATTTGCATGGTTTTTTCCCCCTAATCTAAGTTCGGCTGTAAAGTACAGATGCAGGGTTGATAGAGAGATGAATGCAGTCAGGGTTGTTGTATTATTACGTATTATGAAGAACAAAGGGGTCAGGGAAGAGTATATGTAAGACAGGGATAGAATCTGGCCTGTCTCAGTAGGAAAGAGAGGCCTTGAAGCTTTGACAGCCATAATAATTAGTGGGATCAAAGGACTGTTAGTCCAAGATGGGTGATTGAATTGTTTGAAGCACGTTATTAGAGAGAGTGGAGAAAAAAATGTAGTACTTGATAGTCTGACAGTTAGAGGTGATATGCTAGCTATTGTTTTTGACAATTCTTATCATTATTCTTAATGCTATTGATAATAATGACAAGGCAGAGAGTTTTGGTGATAGTATAACGTCACTACAGGCCTGCTATTCAATCACAAATCCCTGCTAAAGAGAGAAATATTACAAGTATTAAATATATAATGCTTACTCAATCCTTGTATTTAAATGTGCTTATGGTCTATTTGCCTTCACAATTCCTCAATTCAATTCTCATTTTGTGAAAGTGATTGCTGTTGGTAACAAAAAGAGAGAGCCTTAGGGGAAGAAAATAATCTTTTTCATGCCTATTTAATTCTAAGCCCTATGTGTTTTTAAGAAGAATAAACCAATACACACAAAACAGCTATATAAATTAATGACCCCTGGTGATTATGGTCTAAATACTTATAACTAAATACATATATTTTTATACATAAAAATTCAGAAATAATTACACCCATAGACCCTTAGAAATGAATTGCTAAAATCCCAACATAGATATAATTTCCTCTTGACTCTTATCATTCAAAGTATAAAATATTTTCATATTTAAGCAAGTGTATATGCATACTTTTTTTAAAGAAAACATTCCAAAAGAAGATAAATCTGGTATGGTTAGCACTTTTGTATTTAGTGAGGACATGGAGCACAAACTGAAATAAAAAGCTGAGTGAAATATGAGAGAATAAATTTACTCAATATAGACAATTAAGTTTTCTGTTTTCTTTCATGATAAATAATTTAAGTGAACTTTTCAATGAAAACTGAATTAATACAGTGGAAAGAATGAAATGGACCCAGGATACAACTGTGTATTCAACTATGTTTTTTATGGGACAATTCCCTATGACTTAATTTTCTCATTTATAAAACAAGGATCTCCCTCTCTTTTCTCTCACTTTCTCTCTCTATGAAAGGGCTTAATATTTTACAGAAAACATAGCTTTAGGTATAATTGTATTTAATATTAAATAAGGTTTCAATAAGGGATTTAAAATATCCAGTATTTAACTTACTCTATTTTGACTGTTGATTGTTAAACCACCCCTTATTGTACTAAATCTCATTTGCCTAAAGTTTCAATATTTATAGTCTTAAGAAAGAGTATACTATTAAAATATAACATATATGCAGAAAAGTAGTATAAATACACTAGATTAATTTTCTCATTATCAAACATTCATGTAATTAGCAATTAGAGCATTCATAATCTATTCTCTTCAATACACACCCAATGCAACATATTAGAATAACCACTATAATGACAAAGATTAATATGCTTTTTACATTGACATAAATATACTCATGCAAACTATATGCAAACTTCTATGTTTGGCTTTTCTGCCTCAACAGTTTGTGAGTTTTATTCATGTTGTTGCATATCACTTAATTCTTTTTGCTTTTGATTCACATTATTTAATTGAATGCATATGGTATTATTTATCCTTTCGGATGTTAATGAACTTTTGGGTTGTTTCAAATGGTTAGGTATTACATATAGTGATGTATGAATATTCTTGTGTTTGTTTATATATATACACACACACAAGACTTTTGAACAGTTGACCTTTGAACAAAACGAGTTTGAACTGCACAGGTCTACTTATACCCAGATTTTCTTCTGCCTCTGCTACCCCTGAGACAGCAAGACAAGGCCCTCATCCTCCTCCTCCTGAGTCTACTCAATGTGAAGATAAGAAGGATAAAGATCTTTATGATGATCCAATTCCACTTAATAGCAAATGTATTTTCTCTATGATTTTTTTTAGTAAAATTTTATTTTCAAATAATACATATAACATGCAAAACGTGCGAATTGACTATGCTATCAATAAGGTTATATATATAAATATAATATGTATATTATTTTCAGTATGCAAATTCCCTTTTTCTTATATCCTACCTAACTGCCATAAAAAGCAATTGAAACAGGCTGCGCGTGGTGGCTCACGCCTGTAATGCCAGCACTTTGGGAGGCCGAGACGGGCGGATTACGAGGTCAGGAGATCGAGACCATCCTGGCTAACACGGTGAAACCTCGTCTCTAATAAAAATACAAAAAAAAAAAAAAAATTAGCCTGGCGTGGTGGCAGGCACCTGTAGTCCCAGCTGCTCCGGAGGTTGAGGCGGGAGAATGGCGTGAACCCGGGGGGCGGAGCTTGCAATGAGCCGAGATCGCTCCACTGCACTCCAGCCTGGGCGACAGAGCAAGACTCCGTCTCAAAAAAAAAAAAAAAAAGATCGAAACAATATCTACTCCCACCACTAGCACATGTGAGGCCCAGTTGCTCTATATTTTTACCAGCATTTGGGTGTGCAATTAGTTTAGAAAAAGTACATTGAGGACTAATGATGTTGAATATCTTTTATAGGCTTGATGGTCATTCAAGTAGCTGCCTTTTAAAGCCTATTCCAAATTTTGCTTACATTTACTGTATTTATCTGTTTTGATTGATTATTGATTTTATGAATTTTTTGTAAGTTTGAGATGCAAATCTTTTGTTAGCTGTATGTATCAATACTTTTCTCTCTGTGATTAGAATTTTACTCTAAATTGTGTCTTCCAATGAACAAATATTATAATTTTTAAGATACACCAATTTTTTTCTTTAGAGGTAGTAGATGTTAATGTCAGATTTAAGATAATATGAGCCTCTTCCAATGGCATCAGGTATTTTCCTTTGTTTTGCTATAAAAGCTTTATTATTTTACCCTTCACATTTCTATCTACTAATGTTTTAATCACCTCCCATTCATCTCTTTGCTAAAAGAGGCATTATGACCTGAGACTTATGGGGATCTCCAAGCACGTGACACTCAACAGTGCACTGATGAGACTGACAAAAATGTGTTAGTCACATATATTCACAGCATAGGGAGTAGGACATGCCATGCAGTTTCTCATGGAGATTTTACCTGGAAACAGAATGAAAACCCAGGGGCTGTGAGAGGCAGACTTAGTAATATCAAGAGGGTAATTGTCCACTGATACCATAGGAGAGTGTGATTGGCTTGTTTTAAATGTGTTGGAAACTGAAATCAGCTACTCAAGGATAAACAGGAACTGTGCCTGGTTCCCTTGATAAGGAAAGTTGTTTAGCCTTTCTAAAGCCTCTTTCCAAGGGAGCAAGGTGGGGAGGGATCTTGCTGTTACACCATTTGACCTCCCCATTTCCAGGTTTTGCCAGAGGTCAAGGTAGCACGTAATAGTGGGCCTTAGTTGTAGGCCTTACACCACAATAATCCAATTGGAACTAGTATTTTTTTGTTTATATGGAAACTTAATTGATTTAAACCTTTATTGAAAAAATACATATCTGCTGTATAGCCTTGTCACATGTTTCATAAATCAGTTAGTATTATATGTAGATGTAAATTTCTGGAATTGATTCTTTTATATTACTACATTTGTCAATTCATATGCTAATCCATAAAGTCTTAATTATTGCTTCAAAATAGGTATTGATGTCTCACTAAATATAGATGTCCAGTTTTTCCAGCACCATTTTTGAAATGACTATACATTCTCCTTTTAATTATTCCTTCAAATTTGTCAAAAATCATTTGACCATATATGTCTATTTTACAATCTAAGTCTATTTCTAGACTTCCTATTCTGTCCAATAGTTCTAATTATTTTTCCATCTGTTATAACTATGCTTTCTTGATTACTATAGTTTATTCTCATAATAGGTAGTATAGGCAAGCAATTGTTTTCTTCTTTTTCACAACTATTTGATTCTTCCATATACTTTGAATTTCCAAATAGATTTTAAGTTTTCTTGTCATTTAAAAAAAATTCTAGAATATCTTTGTATTGCATTGAATATATAAGGCAATTTAAGATGGCTGACATCTTAGCAACACAGCCTTTCAATTTATAAGCATAATATAGCCTCTCTTTATTTGGCATTTCTTTGAGTACTCTCCACAGAGTTTTGCAGAGAGATGCCATATAGTTTATTCACTTAATTGCTAAGTATTATTGTCTCTGTTATAAATAAATCTTTCTCTTTAAACATATTTATAGCTATTATATAGAAATATAATTGATTTTATGTTGACTTCATATTCTGCAACTTTTCTAAATTCAACAATTAAATTCAACAACAATTTTGTAGATTCCTTAGGAATTTCTATATTAATAATTATGCCATATGAAAAAGCACATATTTTTTCTGATCTGTATTTTTTTTCTTGCCACATGTCACTGTGTAGATCTTCTATTGGTGAGGATAGAAATTATGGGCTTTATTCCATATCTTAGGGAAGAATCATTCAATTTTTTACCAATAAATGTGATATTAGCTATAAATGCCTTTTACTATATTGAGGGGGTTTGTTTCTAATCCTAAGTTACTGAGAAAGATTTTTGTTTTATCATTGCATGATGTTGAATTTCATCATTTTGTGTGTGTAATAGAGAATATACTATTTTTAATCTTTTGTGTTACTACAGCTGTAAATTAAATTGCTTCGTTCTTTAAAACATTGGGCCTATCATAAAATATTGGAATAAACCTAGCTCATGGGTTATTATTTATATATACCTTTTTAAAGTATATGTCATAATGAACTACACGTTTCATAATAAACTACATCCATAGACCTTCTATGCAAAATTCAGGAACACAAAAAAGAAAGAGAAAGAAACTATTAATGGATTTGAATTATGTGGATTTACATGTCTGATATCCTTAAACTTCCTGGAACCTCTCGTCTGGCTGATATGGGAAAACCACCACTCTTCACTGAGTGATTTTGTCAAGGTCTAATGAAAGGCACAATTCTCCAAAGATTATGTCTGCCTTTACCAATGTCTATCTTGCCTCTTATGTTTGACTTTAGGCAGTAGGTTAATTCTTAGCATATTTCTACTGAGTCCAGGCACCTGCTAGGGTAGTTTATATGCCCTCCAAAATTGTAGTCATGGTGAAAGTACAATGGCAGGAGCTAAGAAAATATGTGAAAGTGGATCTTGAGGATACTGAGTCAAAAAGGATACATTACAAGGCTAGATAAGAAAAGACTGGATTAAGAAAATATGGCACATATACACCATGGAATACTATGCAGCCATAAAAAATGATGAGTTCATGTCCTTTTTAGGGACATGGATGAAGCTGGAAACCATCATTCTCAGCAAACTATTGCAAGGACAAAAAAACAAACACTGCATGTTCTCACTCGTAGGTGGGAATTGAACAATGAGAACACTTGGACACAGGAAGGGGAACATCACACACCGGGGCCTGTTGTGGGGTAGGGGGAGAGGGGAGGGATAGCATTAGGAGATATACCTAATGTTAAACGATGAGTTAATGGGCACAGCACACCAACATGGCACAGGTATACGAGTGAGAACATGCGGTGTTTGGTTTTTTGTCCTTGCAATAGTAGTAACAAACCTGCGCGTTATACACATGTACCCTAAAACTTAAAATATAATTTAAAAAAAAAAGAAAAGTTTTATTGTTTGAAAACACTCCTTCATGGATTGGCTTAACATAATTCAAGGACATCTGAAACTGGTTGTACTATGCTACCAGGATGGTCTTTTGCTGCTTTACTTCAGTAAAGTATATGGTGGTGCCAGAACTGACTTTTATGGAGTGTTGAGAAAAGAATTCAAAGACATAGGAGAGAACAGATAAAATAGATTACAGTCTAAAGAATCCTCTACCTGATTGCTTCCTGGAAGTGACCAGATGACATTTACTACCTTAAGGCAATAAGGGATTCATTGATAATGATTCATAAGACAAAGTTTCTGGCACCTTTAAGAAACTCTGATGACTATCTTCTGTATGTTAGTGTTGGCAATAGAGATGCTCCATTAAAACTGCACACCCCAATGTCACATGGGATAATGGAGTTCCAAAATAGCCAAAGCTAGGTAGTGATTTGAACCAAAAAAGGCAAGACAGAAGTAAATACCAATGAAGGCAGCAGTGCTAGAGAAGCAATCATGGTATCTTGATCTGCATGGGTCTGAAATTTTTGCTAATAGATAATAATGTTTCCAGGGATAAGATAAATTAAGTAGTTTGAGTATTATGTTACTTGAAATTACTGTATTGTAACCAGGAGCAATTGAAGTCTGGTGAGCCAAAGGCTAAAATCAGCTGCCATATTGGAAGAATTATAATTTCTTGCCTGGTTTCCAGATCTATGTTCTCAGAATTAGAACCCATGGATTAAAGGGAAGTCCAACAGCTTTTCAGAAAAAAAAGACTTTTATTACAAATTATGCATATATGAGCAATATTCCCCAAATTCTTCTCCATATGTATTTGTTATTTTCAAAAATATCCATATAATAGAGAAAACAGAATACCTGGATTGCTTGAGGGCTATGGAATACAGGGTCTGAGCTGACATTGAAACCAGGTGTGCACAATACTGTCACCGTTGGAATGAAATCTTATGGAGAACAAGATGATGATAAAGTTTTGGCCCACGTTTGTCTCATAATTGGCCCAATATTATTACCTGACCCTAAATGTATAATTAAAATAGTTATACATAGAAACTGACAGAGTCCTCACTATGGGATTGGGTTCAATATATGTACATTTCTGTTTTTCATGTAAGCTTTCAGCATAGATAGGCATTCAACAACAAGGTAGCTAAGACAACTTGTAGTGGGGATGTCATTCAACCAATTTCTTTAGAGACCTGAGGGGCTTGCACAGTGGAGTCTTTATCAGAATAGTATTGGCTTAGGAAGTTGTATTCTGGAAAACTGTATTTTATCAGAATATCACTAGAATTCAAAACTCAGGTAATATGTTGAAACATACTAAAGTTTTCTTATTCAAATCATCATTAGTCAGAATGTAAAAGCCAACACTTTGAAGTCTGAGTTCTAATAATTTCTGAAATTGTTTTATAATTGAGATGGAGTAAGTTAACTTTATAAATAAATATGAATTCATTAATTGGTTTTTTGAGTGTATAAATAATGTATAATCCCGGGATAAACTTAGTATCTTCCTGAGAATATTTCTAAACAACATTGCCATCTGAGTAAGATATTTTATTTGGTTAACTGCAACAGGTTCAACAGCTTTGTTACCCTATTATCAGATTCTGAGACACGGACTTATGTGGTTTATTTTTTAAGTGATCCTGAGAAACAGAAGCAGGAAACTGGCATGAAATGAGGAAGGAGCTAAGATAATTAATAACTACATAATAGAGTTGGTCTTTGCTATGGATAATTGGGACTTGCAATCAGGTGAAGAGCCACTCAGGAGCTGCGTGGAAGAAACTTTAGAACTGTCAACTCCAGAGATGTTTGCAACCTTTCCTGTTTTCAATTGTTTAAAGACAGCTGTATATAACATTTAACCACATGTTTGCACATGAGTCAAATTGGGTGAACAAGTATCCAAAAGTCCTGAGCAGAGAGACAAAGTTGTACTGAGGTGACACATTTTCCCCTTATACCCATGTGCAATTAATTGTAGCAGCAACACGGTGGAGAAAGAGGACATATGATAGGACACCATAGGCATCCTATTCTGTAATGTGTCTGTTGCAACATTCAGATCCCCTTTTGCCTTACATAGAGTCCTATCCATCACAGAACCACAAAATCTATGCAAGACTTAACAGAGGAGAGATAGTATAACAAGATAAAGTTCTTTATGCTACAACAAGTCAAAGTCAGTCATTGGTTTTTATCATTTTCCTATACCACCATCCAATCTTGATTTTCCTAACACTCAGTGAGCACTTCAGCACATCTAGGTTTCTTGGCTGATAGAGTACCCTAGACCTTACCCCAAAGGGATTGGGAGTGATTACTTTACCCTTTTTAAGTCTGTGGTTGCTGTACTTATATGTTTACAATAATAATTAGGCATGGAAACATCAAGAGATTAATCTTTCGGGTTCCATGTGTGCTCTTTGTTGCTCTATTTTTGAGTTACCTTAGGTCTTTGGGTTAGTCACTCCATCCATATCTAAACGCATGTCATCGATTGTTAGTCGACTGACACAATACACAGCTCAAGTGGCTACACAATAGTCATAAGTGCAGGTTCAGTGAAACTCAAACTGTGTCCCCTTGTAAAAATGGCCTTTTCTAGGAACAAATGCTTCCAATTTAGCCTCAATTACCAATGCAGGATGCATACATTAAGAATTGGGGGAAGGATGATGTGAAGTTTCTACCTGTTGCTTCTTTGACCCATGTACTCTTATTTTTTGGACACAGTTTCATGTATAGATTGTTGGTATAATATAAATATTACATCTAAGTGAACAGCCCCTCAAATTTTAAGGGATATAGCAAGTGAATGCTTCAGTTTATTTTAAACAGAATATGCCATTATTGTATTAATTTAGCTACTTTCAGAGGTGTAGTATATGATAAGACAAATGGCCTCTATGGCCAGGTATGCGTACTTGTACCTTCTCTGACAGAAAATGGTCTCTTGGACAGCAGATAATTCATTTAAAATTCATGTTTTTGTATTGGGCATCCTATAAGACTTCAGAAAGTTGCACAAGCAGACACACTGGAAGCAAGATAGACATATGGACATCAAGAGTAGGTATCAATTCTGATAAGAAGAAAAGTACTGACCCTTCAAAGTGTTTGGCTGGAATTTGTAATATAAAATAATGAAGAGTGCTGGAATAGTGAGCTTTCAGCAAAGACAATAGGTGCCTTAGCTTTAGCAAGAAGACCATCTTTAGGGTCAGTGTTTTGGGGCCAGGTTGAGAAACATGGCATTAGAGGGTTAATTTACCTCTTATTTTGAATTGATAATTATCAGTGAGTGAGACATCCCATTCATAAGTAATCACATCACATTTATGTGTTTATGAGGGCTGAATAGTTCATGTACATTAAACTTTGTTTGCAAATACATGAAATAAGACATTGTCATTTCAAGTAGAAAAATCAAATATAAGTGAGTTTTTCCTAAAAGAGCAAAGGAATCTGTTATGAAGTGTACATTTTTAGGGTATAATTTTTTTTCGCATTTACTTGAACTAAAGAATTGAGTGAGTTTTATCTGAAAATGTAGAAATAAGTCTATTACCTTTTTTTTACTATGTTTCATAGAATCAGCACACAGGGTATGATTACAGAAAAGGTTTTTCTTACTTCAGAAATTTAGAGACCATCAACTTCTAGGATATACAAAATGTCAAGGGGCAGCTGAACAAAGCAAACTAAAATAAATTATTGAGAAGTATGCCTATGGGCAGGTGGTGTAAGGAAAAAATTGGTTCCAAATAGGAAAGGAAATGAAAAATCTTTTGCACCAAATCATGCCCTTCATATCAAATAAAATACCTTGATATGTTGACAAAGGATGACTGATGAGTTCTGCTGGGGTCACTATCTAAGACTGTCAATCAGCTAATACTCATCAACTATCAGTAAAATTGGAGTTTCTGCACTTTATTGACCCTTTTCCAAATACAGTGGTTTGTGTGTATCATTGATGTTTCCATGATAGCAAATTTGCTAAGCCTGAGAAAAATGAGAAAAATTATAGACTGTATTTATGTCTCATCTTCTATTCTCAAAATCAATCTTTAGTTTTGAGATTCTTATTTTTACAGTGCTTTTAACCAGAATAACAAAAGTATATTTTCACATATCTGAGCTATACACTAAGACATACAGGGATTCCAAATGAATGCCTACTATGTATTAGATAATGTGCCAGGCTTCAGTGAACAGCATAAAGGTATAAAGGTGCCACACTCTGGAGTTGTAACATAGAATATGTGACCAGTGCCAGAAGTCAGACTAAATACATATATATATATAAAATTAGAGTAAAGAATATCTGGAGTTGTTGATATGACAAAGTTGTGATTTTTAGATCATTAAGTCAGGGTAGGCCTTATTTGCAAGATCATATTTGAGTGAATGTTTGAAAGAGTTATGAGATTACCCATGTACAGGAAGAAGAAATAGCTTGTAAAAAAGATTCTGAGGCAGAATCATGTCTGATATACTTGAACAACAACAAGGAAGGCAGGATATCAAAGGAGAGAATAAGAGGACCTGAGTGAAGGTATAATAATGGAGTGGTAATGTAAAAAAAAAATTTAAGAGGTTAAATTTGTTTTGAAAGATCTGCTATCTTATGTTCTCAAAGATTTATAATTTTGTTATTAGAGACTTAACAATTCCTGCAGTAAGAAATATATTTGACATTTTAAAACACAATTTTTACCCAAAGTTACATGACCCAATTCCTGGCATTTTTCTCTCCCTATATTACCTTATGAACTTTCCCTGTCTTTCTCTGACTCTCCATACTCCCCTCCAGCCCCACATCTCACTGTTCTCTAAAGATAGTCTGGCCTCAGTCTTATTTCTAAGTCATTCTGGGTGATGAAGAGGTGAAATGTGTAGAGAGAAGTTATACACCAGAAGTAAAGAAGGAAACCAGAAGGAACTGGCTTGAGATATCTTCAGCACCTCAGCCTCTTCTTGAATTTTTGTCTAGAGCAGTAAATGTTGAGAGAGTCTAGATCATTCATAGAAAGTTTCCTTGCTCATAGGAGGCTACTATTCCTTGTGAATGAAGGAGAAACTCCCACAGATCTTTGTGAACTTGTAGGTTAACCTCATTCTCACTCTACCAAAGTGTCTTAGAGCAACTAATGCTCATGTGAGTTTTGAAGGGTCTCAAAAAATAGGGTAGAAAATAAAATATGGAAAATAATTTAAGAACAAAGGAAAGTGTATGTTTGCATTGGGACTCTGAAGGCTTTTATTATTATTATTTATGTTCTGTTAGAAAAGTAAGACATTATTATAGCAATGTTTATGCCAATGTAAATTGTTTGTCTACTATTAAATGGTGCAATCTCAAGTCATTACCATATGGGGATAGATAACAAGGTGAGGAATGGGATTAACTATAGAAGGAGTAATAGGGTCATCAAGAGGCTTATCAAAACCCCATACGTAAGGGGATGGTGGAACTTCTGGAACATTCACGGGAAGGGGTCATAGGGGAAACTAGCCTGTGCCTTCCTGCAGGCACAGTCAGGAGTGTCTCCAAGATCATAGCCAGGTAGAGAAGGGGCATCCAAGCCAAGTTGCTGGAATGTATTTCAAGACTCAAAATATTAATATTAGTTCATAAATTGCAAGCTCTTATGTCCAGATAAGGTAAAGGATCCCACAGAAGAGGACAGTATGAGATCAGTTTTAACAGAGATTTCCAATTGTGGCTATGTAATTACAAGCACATAGGTGCCTTAAATATATTTTTATGTTCAGGAATAAGTATATGCATTTATTTGGGCTTCTGTGAGTTTTTTTAAGCTATCCAGGTGATTCTGTTATTCATCAAGTGATAAAAACTATTGGGCTAGAGAGGAACATCAGCACTATATCTGATAAGACGTGTGGAACTCAGAAATTTTGGACAAAAGCTCTAGAGAAGCCTTGAAGAGCTGCGGTGGATAAATTATTCTTATTCCATTGTGAAGTTTAGATTTTAGTCTATGTGCAAAGGTATTCAGGAGAAATAATGAATGTTGTAATTTAGGCCTCTCTAGTGGAAATGCAGAAAAGGAAGAAATGTGAGAGGTAACTAGCAGCCAGGATGGATTTACCCAGGAACCCCAGAGCTTGGCAATATGGTTAGTAAGCAATCCTTAATTGAGAGTATATAGCAATAGTCGCTGCACATATAATTATTAAGAAAATGTCCTAAAATCTTACAGATGTAAAAAAACTAATAGTTTTCCTCAAATTTTACAGTAATCTGATTTTTTATGTTACCAAGTTGTCACACTTAAAGAAATATTTATGAAAAAATAAATCAGTCATGCTAAAGGAAAGTGAAAAAAGAGGAAAATATTTTGTTCCATCTATAAAAAGCATGACAAAATTGTATAAAGGGAAATCAAAGACTGAAAATTTAAAATGTTTAGTAAAAACATATCATAGAGTTCTGTAAAAAGAAGGTTAATTGAATAATTATTCTACCTTTCTGGATTTTGCAGAAGAAATATTACTTTTTTCTTTTTGTATTTGCCAACTTTTTAAGGATTGTATTTGTGATTACTTTCATCTTTCTAAATAAGTATCTACTTTTATAACTAATTTTATTTATTTATCTTTCTGAAAAAGAGCTTCTAAAGTCCGGGCCTAGCAAGACTGCGATACATCCCTATCGAGCAGGGAGAATCCATGGGGCTGACTGACTGGTGGTGTGTGGAGGCATGAGTCAAATTTCATCAGTTTCGTGATCCAAAGTGATGATACAGCTGATAATACATGTGTCTATTTAGACACTCTGTGGCCAATTTTAAACTAAAGAAAATAGAGTTAGTTAAACACACAAATCCTAGAAAGACAAAGAGAGTAGGCAGAGACTATTGGATAATTCCAACATAGTCTGCTAAAAGTTTCAATACATAATTTGCATTGCTTTGGTCATGCCTTTACCAACAGACCCTGATATGTCCTGACATTCCAGACTCTTCCAAAACGTCAATCTAAGAGTAATTCCACCAAAGCCTTGTCTTTTAAATCTGTAGTTTGCCAGAGGAAACCCAAAAGGTAATTTTTACTGGATTTGGAATTTTAAAAGTACTGACAATATCTAATTTTAAAAAAACAAAAATATTAAAGGCTATAATGAGAAGCATTCTATACTTCTGGATAATTTTTTCTGACTTTTTTCTTTCTCATAAATTTAAAGAAAGAAACTCTTCTCCAATACTACATTAATAGATGCAAATACTCAATTTACTCAACTCACTTTTAATTTTCTCTTCTTTTGGTAATTCATTCATTGTATGAGAAACCTAATCATTGAAAGCATTAGGCATAAAAGTTGGTTGCCTTAAGTTCTGCATATTATGAATAAGGCATAGCAGGGCTGTTAATGACTATAGCTAGGAATAGCCATTTTGAAATTAACTAATTAAAGATTTCATTTGCACTTCTCTAGAAATGAGTGTTTCCACTTTAAGAAATTATATATCTCTAACTTGGAAATTAATATGGAAAAACTAGATGGTTAACCCAAATTTGAACAATTAAACTTATCTACAGATGAGATAGAAATGATAATATAACAAATAAAATCACAAATGGTTATGAATTGAAAATGATCATACTGAATGTTTCTGTACTCAACCAGATATAAGCTATTTCCCTATGATGCTGTTATGCCATGTAATAGCAAATAGTAGTAGTAAAGAGTAATAGTGAATTGTTAGCTAAATTGTTATCAGAAAACAATGTTAGCATTAAATATTTAATCTCTAAAATCTTAAAATATTTTAGAAATTCAAGAATATAAGTCCCATAGACCTTCTAAGTTTCTTCTTTTTTTAGATAAACAGGCACTTACTGAGATTTAACTTGTGCTTAGATGATCAGCTGGTCATTTTAGCCAGAAGAAATTTGTGAATGATGATGTTTAAGAATCATACTTGAATGAGATGCTGAAAGTCTGGAGTACATTATGTTATATTATATTTATTATATGTTAAGAAAGAGGAATGATACAAGGGCACAGTTTTTACCCCAATAATGTTATTTTTAAGTCTATTTCATCTTATATTAAGAGTTTTATCAATTTTTATTTCTATGTTCTTAGCAGTATTACCTATTAGTAGAATATATTTGGAATTTATTTTCATTAGAAAACCATTTTTGTTTTAATTTTCTACTGTAACTGATTTAATTATATGAATATTAAATATTCGAATTTTTATAAAACATGTTATATATATGCTTTCTTTTTATCCAAACTTTCTAATTGATTTTTCTCCTCCTTCTCCTCCTCCTCCTTCTTCTTCTTCTCCTTCTTCGTTGCTTTTAATTCTATTGATGGCATTTTCTTTACTCCTTTTCCTTTCTTCTCTCTACTGGTTCAAATAATATAATGACATAAATAATAGTATTAATAATAGATAACAGGGGAACAGAGCACCATTCTAAGAGATTTTATAGATTACATAATTTAGTTATTAGAATAACTCTGTAATGTAAGCACTATTGCTATCTTACCCTTATTTTGTGATGAGAAAACAAGCCCAGTATACAGGGCTAAGCTACCCCTACAAAGAAGACTGCTCTATTCCTGCCATAACAAACTTTAAGAACACCTCAAAAGGATCAAGCGACACTCTAAGTAGTGTAACTGCCTGCCCACCCTCCCCGCAAGAAGGCCATATCACACTTTCAAAAAGGAAAATAAAATGTAAATATTAAGCAACATGCTATTAACAATATCCATCCCCTGGTCAAACATTACTAGATATAAAAATAAGCCAAATAACTTGACCTATGACCAGAAAAAAAGAAATTAGTCAGTAGAAAAAAGATTTAACAATGATAGAGATGACCAGATGGCTGACAAAGAATTTAAGAATGCTGTCTTAAATATACTCAAGTGTTCAAAGAATATTGTTTTAGAGGTTTCAGTATACAGCACACATTTGCCATGCATTTGGCTGGCCTAGATTCCAATGTTGTCCCCATTACTATGAAGACTTGTGAAATGAATTTTCAGCCTCTCTTCTAGATGCTATATAGTATTCTAAGTTAAAAGGAGGCCGACATATATGGCCCATGTGTCTGGGTATCTGATTCTCCTGAATCAAGGTCTGATCAATCATGTCTGTCTTGGTGGTTTAAGCAAATACTGTTTTCTAGGGTCTTCACTGGTACAGTTGTCTTGAATTACCATGTCTGCCATTCCTGAAATGAGAGAGCTAGCTTTGTATTTTAATAGACATATTTGATTTTAGAAGGCTGGAAGTTACTAATTTAACCACACACAGCCACCAAATAAAAGGAACTTAGAATGCTTTAAATCTTATAATACCTTCCATTCCAGTATTTTATTTTTATTACCTTGTTTTTTCACTCCATAAATTGAGGTCAACAATTCTCTATATTTGCTTATATAATTATTAAAAAGCACAAGTAATTTGGTTGCCATTCTTTCTAGCATCTTACTCCTCACTTCTGGGTTTAATTTTTTATTCTTAGTTGCATACTTATCTTTTATTAAATTGAAGAATAACAGAAAACTGTAAAGTACATAAGTATAATATTTTTGTGTGCATAGCTTAATGATGTTTTTATATGTTTACAGCCATGTGTCATTCACCCAGACAGCATATAGAACCTTTCTATATTTCATAAGGTATCTTACAACTTTTTAAAATCTATCCTTCAGAAGTATCTACTATTCCCACCTTTCTCATCATTGCTTGATTAAATAGTCCATATTGGTTAATAGTGTTGATCAGTTCATCTGTGTACCTACTCCAGATATTTTTGCCTCCTTATTCTATCATCTCCAAAAATTTTCGGCTATGAATACAGATTTTTCTGTTTCTCTTGTTAGTTCTACCTTTTTTGTCATATATATTTTAAGACATATTTTTAGATAAATACTTATTTAGGATTGTTATATCATTCTGTTTACTTGACTACTTATTACTACGTTTTATATTTAATTTTTTTCTGGATGGTTTAAAGATTCTTCTGTTTGTTTTGGTTTCAGGAATTGACTATGGTGTTTCAGCAGTTTTTTTCCTCCTTTTCTTAGGTTTTATTGTTTCATTTTGCCTGATCTTTATCCTGCTTTTTATGCTGAGCTTATGAAACGTGTGGGTAGATAGCCTTAATTATTTTTAAAAATCTTAATAATTGTCTTCAAATATTGATTCTGCTCTGTTTTGTTCTCTTCCCTTTGAGACTTCAGTCCATGTTCATTCAACCCTATTGTGTTTTATGTTTTAATTGTTATTTATTCACTGTTTGGATAATTTCTATCTTGAAGTTTACTAACCCAGTCTTCTGCTGTGTCCAATTTACTATTGAATGCAACCAATTAGTTGAGAAGTAAAGTTGCTAATCTTTTTAAATCGATAGAGAACCTCAATAGTAAAGTTCCACAAACAGAAGAAAGAACAACTACAATCGAAGTTATACCAATAGAGATCATGCAAACTGAAGAACAGAGAGAAAAATAATGAAGAAAAATAGAGCCCCAGGAAAATTTGGGATACCATTAAGTTCACCCATATATGCATAAGGGAAGGACCAGCAGGAGAAGACAGAAAGGAGAAGAAATATTTTTCAAAGAAATAATGGCTGAACACTTCCCTATTTTATTGAAAAAACAACAATCTACCCATTCAGAAAATTCAACAAACTACAAGACACAAAGAGATTCACAAATAGACACATGATGGTAAAAATATTGAAAGTCAAAGACCAGGAGAAAATCTGAAATGCAACAAGAAAACAATAACTTGTTTCTTACAAGTAAACCTCAATAAGATTAACAGCTGATTCTTCAGTAGAAACATTGAAGGTAAGATAGCTGTGGGATAATATATTTTTATTGCTCATTTAAAAATAACTATTAACCAAGAATCCTATGTAGTTATTTTTTGAAAGTGAACGTAAAATAATGACTTTTCAAGATGAAGAAAACTGATTATTTTTGTTGCTAATAAGCCTGCCTTACAAAAAATACTAACAGATGTTAAACAGGCTGAAAGCAAGAGATAATAACTCAAATCCACATTTGAAAAAAAGCATTGGTTAATAAAATCTAATCACATAATTGTAAAAGACAGTTTGATTCATTTTTCTCCTTGCTTTTCTCAATTTATTTAAAAAGAAATTAAATAAAATTACATGCATATAATTTCTTGTTGGGTCTGTAGAAATACAACATATGTGCAACATGTTTGCAAATGACAGAACAAAAGAGGTAGTTAAAATGAGCAAAGCTGTATTTTACAAGAGATAAAAATGTATTTTTAAATGTGAGAGTGAAACACTGATAAATGTTAAACATAAAATAATAGATGAAAGAGGGTAAGAAGAATAGAGATATATAGTCATAATATTTTCATACATCAATGGAATTGACTAATATAATATGAAGCTTATTTTATAAATTAATATGTATATAATTTAATATCAATAAATATAGTAAATATAATACAGTAAAAATAAACATATTAAGATCTGCATTAGGAAATATTTGTTTCATGTAACAAAAAACAGTAAAGGAAGAACAGTGGAAGGTAAATCATGTAGAAATAAAAAGTAGAATATCAGATACAAATACAGCTATATCAATAACACTAAATATTTAACTTGTATCAGTAATAATATTACATATGAACACAATAATTCCACAAAAAGATAAAAATTGTCAGGCTGGATTTTCTAAAAACCAAGCAATTCAACTATATACTGTCTATAGGAGACACAATTAGAGTCAAAGAAACAAATACTGAATGAGAAAGATATATTATTTAAAATGTAAGCATAAGAAAGCCAGAGTAGCTATAGTAATCAGAAAAAATAGACTTGTTTTGGGCTGAATTATGTCCCACACCATGCCCCACCCAAAACAATCACATTTTGAAGCTCTAAACCTAGCATTATACAATTACTATATTTGGAGCTAAGCCTTTACAAAGATGGTTAAGTTAAAATGAGCCCTTTTGGATGGTGCTAATTTAAGCTGACTGGTGTCCTTATAAAAAGAGGAAATTGTAAACACAGAGAAACACAGGGGTGTGCATGATCAGGGGAAACACCACATGAGTACATTTCAAGAAAATGACCAACTCCAACCCAAGGAAAGAGCCCTTAGAAGACATTAAAATTGCTAAGACCTTAATTTTGGACTCATAGCTTCCATAACTGTGAGAAAATAAATGTATATTTCTAAAGCGTTTTATTTTGTGGTTTTTTTTAGAGTATCCCTAAAAAATGAAGACAAGGTTTTAAAACAGAAGTGTTATTAGGAATAAAGAGGGATATTATATAAAGCTAAAATGGTCAGCAAATCTGGAAGACATAACAACTGTAAGCATGTAAGCATCTAATGAGAGATTACCAAAACACATGAAGCAAAAACTGACAAAGGGGAAAAGAGACAATTCAACAATAATCATTGGAGACTTTAATACCCAACTTTCAATAATGAATGGAAAAACTAGAAAGTTTAAAAATGAAACAGAAGACTTGAACAATACTATAAACCAACTAGACCTAACAGACACCTATAAAACACCCCACCCCAAAACAGGGTATACATTATTTTTAAGTGCACATTCTCCAAGATAGACCATGTGTTAGATTACAAAATGAACTTCAATGAATTTAAGAGGATATAAATAGTCAAAAGAATGTCTTCTGACCACAGTGGAATTAAATTGGAAATGACATTTCTGTTTATTTGTTTTCTCAAAGTCTGATGTGTTGGCAGGAATGTAGGGGAATGGCATAAATAAAGCTACACAATCAGGAATATTAAAGTTTCCAACCACATGGATCAGTAACAAAAAAATCACTTTTGAGAGTTTACTCTAGCAAATACCCAATGCATGTGATTTTTTTTTTATAATACAGAAAAAATAAAAGTATCTTAATTTGCTAAATTTAGGGGACTGCAGAAATATACTGATTTTTACACATTGGATGGAAATTCTACAAAGCAGCTAATGAATGAACTTTATATAAACATATCCACACAAATCCTACAACAATGTTGAGGGAAAATGGCAATTCACACAAAAAAATGTACAATATCATATCATTTTCATTATTTCAAGAGATGTGTGTATGTTTATTTATACACACACACACACACACACACACACACACCATTATTAAGTTAAAATCATGGATGGCAATGATGGGCACAAAGTTCTACTGGAAAGGTATGGAGATTGTGGTAGTTAGCTGTATCAGAGATATAGAAAAAAGAGACAACAAATAATATATACATATGTTAATAAAACATATATTTTCCAAAATATTAAATTTAGACCTAGGAAGCTAACAGTCTATTTTATAATTTCCTGTTTTTAATATGTTGGAAATGTTTCCTTACAAATGGAGAACAAAGGATTTTCAGTTGGAAGGACATCTAAATATTAAATTTGTTTGACATTTCCCAGTTTTCTTGAAGAGGTAAATCTGATTTAAAAAAAATGCTAAGAGGTTATGATATAATCAAATGTGCTTTCATATAGAATTTTTAGACATTTTAGCAATTATAGAAAACATAATATCTTTGATTAACCAAAATCCAGAAGACTCAGTAATTCAAATGTAAAATTTTTTCAAAACTGAAATATCTTTAGTCTAAAGCTTTTATTATATCTTGAGATTTCAGTAGCCTATTAAAAAGGTTAATGAAGAGACACGCTTTTCTATTTATCACTTAATTAACTTTAAGCTGTTTTAATTTTAAGTTGTTATAATGTGAGCATCATATCAAATATACAATGTATTTTCTACTACTACTGTATTAGAATAAAATGATAATAGATAATGTTGACAACTGATACTTGTTCCAGTGCATAAGTCATTCTTTGTCCTGTTACTGATAATTTATTAATAATTGGAATTACAGAATATGAAGTGACGTAGGTCCCTATTTGTAAAAGATATTTTGCCAAATTATTTTTTATACATAAAAAGCTGTGGTAAATGTAGTCATATCTCCAAAGTCCTATGTTAAGTGTATGTAGATAATGGCAACATGGTATGTTAAATAAATGTGTGAAGGGATGAAAAGATACCATTTATTAAATAAAAAAGCCAAAAAGATTTGTTTATATACATGAAAAGAAAAATATGAATACATTTGACTGTATAAAAGTTAAGCTGAAATTTAAGCTACAGAATGAGGGTAAATATTTTCAACACACATAAAAACTGTAATCTAGATCACACATAGAGAACACACTTACATGATCTAAAAAGTTATATTGTAAAAAAGGAAACCTGGCCAGGCGTGGTGGCTCATGCCTATAATCCGAGCACTTTGGGAGGCTGAGGGGGGTGGATTGCCGTACGGCGGGACTTCAAGACCAGCCTGGCTAACATGGTGAAACCCCGTCTCTACTAAAAATACAAAAACTAGCTGGGTGTGGCAGTGTGCACCTGTAATCCCAGCTACTCGGGAGGCTGAGGCAGGAGAATCACTTCAACCTGAGAGGTGGAGGTTGCAGCGAGCCGAAACACACTACACCCTGGGCGACAGAGCAAGACTCGTCTCAAAAAAAAAAAAAAAAAATGAAAAAAGAAAAAAAAGAAAACCCAATAGAAAAACATGTGCAAAGGATGTGAAGACATTTAGTAAAAACAGTAACAAACAAAACAACAGTTAAAAAACACTCAATGTCCAATAAATATTCATAAAGTTTATATCTCTATAGATGAGAAAAATGCCATTTCACAGCCATGGGGATAGTCATGCTATCCCCATATGCTGCGTTTCTAACCCATGAGACTTCTCATCTGAAGTGAAAAGACAAAATACAGTTGCAAAGACTCTCTGACCAGACCTGCGGCTGGTTCCTCTCGGCCTTCTTCTCTACTAGGCCTCAACCTTGACCTGTGGAAACTGTAGGCTGTTAGTACAAATAATTTGGCCCCCACTATCCCATTAAAAAACATGAACAATTTTCTAACAACTCAGTACTGCATCCCTAGGGTGACGACTGCAACTTCTGTAAGTTCCTGCATCAGAAATCTCAAGGCTGCCAGAAAAATTTGCTATTTGTTCCAGTCAACATCTGGAGACAGGGCCCCATACTCCTGCCCTCTGTGGAGGGTAGGAGCCTAATTTCACATAAGCCCAGTTAACAAATCCAGATCGGTTTCACTAGGACTCATACCCTCTTCTTGATTTTCATAAATGTCTGCTTCCCTGACTCAGCTAGGGCCTCCAGAGTTCCCGCTTCCAACGCCCTCTTACCTTGGAAGTACCCAGTTAACTCTGCACACACAGAAGCTGAATTCAGTTCAAAATGCATTGTCTTCCCTATTGCAACAGTTTACTACTGATTAAAATCTGCCCTTACCACTTTATTGTCCAGTTTTGTTTATCTTTGACAATGGTGAAGAGATTTTTATGTTGTTTTGATGTTTAAACTTGACCTTTTCAGCCTCTTGCCTCCTGGAATGTGACAAAATGCTTGAAGGAACTGGAGCCATGCTGTATCCACAAGGATGAAAGTCACTTGCTAGGGATAGCATTGAAGTAAGAAAGAAATAGCCTAGATCTTTGATAATATCCTCAAGTAACGACCTCTGAGGAGTAATTGGACTGGCTACTTTTAGATTATTTGTTACATAATGATAATAATAATAACCTTTTATTTAAGCAAGTCATTATAGCTGAATTTCTATATTTACAATGAAAAACAATGTTACCTAATATACTTTGTTCTAATCATGCAACTTAATTATTACCTGATGTTGAAAAAATTTCTATAAAAGTGAGGGAATTGGAATATGTTACTTAATAGTATCCCCTCAGTTCTGAAATTCTACTAACCATACAAATATTGTGACTCTAAAGACTTTTGAATCTTTCAGGGCAATATTAGAGAATATACTGATGAATAAAAACTCCTAGTAACTTGTCTGTGTCTTTCGAGAACCTTGCAAAGTTTTTGATATTTTTCAAGTAGACACTTTTCATCTGCTGATATCTACCTATAATGTCAGAGCCATTAGAAATCTAAATATGTGTTTAACTTAATTGTTTTGTATTTATCATTCCCATTACCTGCTGACTTCATTAACTTCCACTGAGTGTGACAATCTCTTAGAAATCTCACAATTAGTTTTGCATATGCTGTATTTGCTAAGTTTACGTCAAGGCATTTACACCTGAAGACAGACTCTCAGAAATAGACATAGACAGGGCATTTCTTATAGTTCATATGCATAGTCAAACAAAACCAGGTTTGGGGGGGCAGAATAGATAGAGAGAGAGAGAGATAGAGAGAGAGATAGATAGAGATTTTTTTTTTTTTTTTTGATGGAGTCTCTCTCTGTCATCCAGGCTGGGGTGTAATGGTGCGATCTTGGCTCACTGGAACCTCTGCTGTTCAGGTTCAAGCAATTCCCCTTTCTCAGCCTCCTGAGTAGCTGGGACTACAGGTGCATGTCACCACATCTGGCTAGTTTTTGTATTTTTAGTAGAGATGGGGTTTCACCATATTAGTCAGGCTGGTCTCAAACCCCTGACTTCAAGTCATCTGTCCGCCTGGCCCTCCCAAAGTGCTAGGATTACAGGCATGAGTCAGCACCCGTCCAAATATATTTTTAAAATATTTACTAATGCTAGCATATGCTTATTTTTGTCTTAGAAACTCCTTTTTTATTGTCTCAGTACTTACTCCCACCTTGATACTCTAAAGAAAATTTAGATGAGTCCAGCTTTGTAATGAATGTTTAAGAAAATGCTTGGAAAGAGCTGGAGATACATCAAGGTAGGAAACAGGGATACAACCCAAAATGTATGAGAGGGAGAAATGCAGAGGACTTGAAGCAAGTGGGCATGTGGTGCAGTGTAGAGAGAAGAGACCCAGAAAAGACAAATGTAGATTCCTAGTGGCCTTGGCAACTTAAAAATGATGGAACATTTCCTTGTGTGGAATTCAAAACGGAATAACAACACTAGTCCCTAAAATAAAGAAAGAACTTAAAAAAAAATCTTCCATGATTGCCATTTTAAACTAGTCATTTATTTGCATTGTGAAAATCAAATTATTTCAAATTGGCATTTACTTATTTATGTATGGTCTTGCTTTATTGATGGCATAAACACATGCTTCCTTGAGATATTTGTAGAAGCATTTCATGCCACTCCACAGACAGAGCTCAGTGCAAGGAGGCCCAGAGAGGGAAAAGTGGGGACTTGAATCATGGAATGCACAGCCAGGACTGGACAGCCCAAGAACTTGAACTCAAAATTGCCTGATTCTAATGTCCACTTTTCTACACTGTTCAATTCTTTCACTATCAAAGTAATTGCAACATCATAATTTTATGGTAAAGGCAAACTTGGAAATATGAGATACATGTAATGCTCTTTTCAGAAAAGACCAAGTGGAAAAAGCAGATGTGGAAGTTTCCAACCTGAAACCAGATGGAAGAAAAGTCAGAGTAAAGGAATGTGAAGGGTTTCAGAAAATGAAGAAAGAGGACAAAATCAACACGAGCCCCAAACCCCAAGAATTTTGACCAAGAATTCTGTTTGTTTGTTTGTTTGTTTGAGGCAGAGTCTTGCTGTGTCGCCCAGGCTGGAGTGCAGTGGCACCATCTCGGCTCACTGCAACATCCGTCTTCCAGGTTCAAGCGATTCTCGTGCCTCAGCCTCCCTGAGTAGCTAGGATTACAGGCGCCCGCCACCACACCTGGCTAATTTGTATATTTTTAGTAGAGATGGGGTTTCGCCATGTTGGCCAGGCTGGTCTTGAACTCCTGACCTCAGGTAATTCACCCACCTCAGCCTCCCAAAGTGCTGGGATTACAGGCATGAGCCATCACGCCCAGCTAAGAATTATTTTCTACAGCATATTATACCGTAGAAGCAAAGTTTGCTTCATTTCAAAATCAAAATCTCTCCAGCTTATTCCTCAAAATATTTTTTATTGTAAACTATCTCTATAAAAATATCACCCTGTGGCCAACATGACTGAAAAATACTGCATACTATATTATAACCCCATCCTACCTTATAAATTTCCAGTGGAATTACAAATACAAGACACTGAGCCAACGTGAGGTAAAGAAACTTGTATACTTTAACATTCTTTAGAATGGCTACTAATATCCTGTAGAACTAGTGTGTCACTGTGCAAAATTTGGGAAATATCTCAGGAGTTTACTTTTTAAATGTTATTTCTAGGTCCCTATGGGAGGTATAAATGCTACACAATAATTTAGAACAGAATCAAGCTGAGGGATATATGTTATATATTATTAGAATAGTTCACAAAATGTAATTGGGATGCAAATAAGAAAACTGTTTCTAAGTAAAAACACTAATTCTCAATCTAAATAAGAAAGAAAAGCTAAGAATTGGAAATAATAAAATAAAATGGCTAAAGGGCAGTCTACCATAACTGGAATTTTTTAAAGAACAAAAAATGCTAGCATTTCATATTTAGCACATGCTCTAAAATAAATTTGCCTTGAGTGAGATAATTAAAATGGTTTGTATGGTAATATTATTTTCTAGTGGTTCAAATCGTTCAGGGTAATTTGTATTTCCCCACAATACCTATTTGTGTAGTTGAATTGTTCATTAGTAGTAGATCACCCTTTCGCTGCATTTGAAAATGTAAACCACTAATCACTGTTGGTGTGCACACCCATTAGATTGTGCTTAGTCAACTCACTGTTACCAATATGACTAATATATATACATATACATATATATATAATTTCTAGTTAATGATATTCTTTCCTTAGTACAGAAGTATGCCTTGGAAGATTCTCAGTTATCTAAGACTCCAAACTAACTAAAAATCAAAGCAATCCATTTAACAACATTGAGCATTTCTTTTCGGATTCAAAAATTGATCCTACTAAACCACCTTTCAGTGATTTAGGCTTATTCTGATAAGTAAGCATTATGATTACATTGCCCATGTTTGAAATTCAATAATAAAAATTTTATTTGATAAACTACAATCTAGTTATGAAAAACAACCATTAATCCCTTCCATATCTCTTAAATCATATTCCTATTTTAATTTACTCCCCTTAGCTATAAGTTGCTCTCATTGGGCCAATTTCTGATTCATGAGTTTTCATAATTAACACAAATTGTTGGCATAATCATTAGACATACAAATAGCTGTGCCTTTTGAAAATTTCTTAATAAAAATGAGAAGACATATAATTCCCTGATTATTTAAACAAAAAATTAATAACACCAAGAAAAATGTATCTTCATGAAAATAATTTAATGAGAAGACTTTAAGACAACCTGTTCAGGATTAAAGCTATAGTAAAAACAATCAGCATTGCTGCTATCTAGTTTTTAAAGAATTATTTGTCAAGGGCTTGTCATATGCATTACTTATGTATGTAGTCATGAAAATTAATACTTGTACATAGGTACTACAAGTGCCTGATATGTGCAAATCACTGTGATAAGTGATGGATGAATAGACTGACACAAAGAAATAAAATGGTCATTGTCCATACACTGAAAGCAAACACCAGTGGAAGAAACTGAATATACACAAATATTGCCTAAAAGAAAGCAGTAATTTGGGGAAGTGGAATATAATAATATGATAGTAAAAACAATATGCATCTATCTGTTTTACATTTGTATATTAGTTTTTATTCTAGGGACATTACAGACATTAACTTTTTATTTTTTCATAACACTGTGAGTTAGGCAAAATTATTATCTTTATTTTACATTATAGAAAACTGAGCCACAGAGAATTCACCCGCCTATGATGAAGGATGGGACCAGGCACATACCCCAGCAAGCAGAGGGCCAGAGCCTATACAACTGATTATCTGGTTATATTGTATTTGGAATTTGAATGGAGGAGGATAGTCTCTGAAAATAACAACTCTCTGGCTTTCAGAGTCTTCTTAAAAGGTTTTTACATGGGTGAATTTACACAATGCCGAAGCAGTTTTGTAAACAGAAAAAATTTTGATCAGCCCACCAGAATAGATCTGTTTTCTAGGTATATCTCAAATCCATGTAGTTAATAAGCAATGACAAAAAACTCCAAACGCCAATCATTTACACAGCAGCATATCAAAAGAACTAAAATATAAATCATCAATATTCTCTCTTTAGGTAGATCTCCATTGGAAGACAGATTATAATCAGAAGACAGGTAAATTTCAGATAAGATTGAGTAAAATTAGTTCATGATGGGAGTGATAGATGGGATCACGATGTAATGTCCATACTGTATATTCATGTATAAACAATGCATGAGAGGCCAGGCATGGTCCCTCACACCTGTAATCCCAGCACTTTGGGAGGCAGAGGTGGGTCGATTGCCTGAGGTCAGGAGTTCGAGACCAGCCTGGCCAACACGGTGAAACCCTGTCTCTACTAAAAATACAAAAATTAGCTGGGCATGGTGACAGGCGCCTGTAATCCCAGCTACTCGGGATGCTGAGGCAGGACAATCCGGGAGGCAGTGGTTGCAGTGAGCCGAGACAGTGCCAATTGCACTCCAGCCTGGGCGACAAGAGTGAGACTTCATCTCAAAAAAAAAAAAAAAAAACAAAAAAAAAACAAGAATGCATGAGCATATGATTTAGTATGTATTTTGCCTGAGGCATAGAACTCAGGGGAATGTCTTAATAGCCTTCCCTAATATGTGTATGTATAACTGAAAGGTATACATTATATTTTCAGGAAAAAATACAGAATGTATGATAGCTTAAATAAGAATGGAAAAATTATTAATAATCATACCACACAGAGTATTCTCTTTCATAATATGCATTTTCTGTTTACTCATTTTAAAATAAGAAGTCAGAATAAACATTTATGTATGTCAATAAAATGGTCTTCAACATTCTCACTTTACAAAGTTTCCTAATTTGTTATTAGTATGTTATCATTTATTTACATATTTCCTTGTTTTATGTTTAATTTTTTATTTTTATAAATGTATGTGGTCCGAGAGCAATTTTGTTACATGGATAGATTGTGTAGTGGTGAGGTCATGGTGTTTAGGATACTCGTCACCTGAATAACATGCATCGTAGCTATTAAGTAATTTTTCACCATCTACCCCCTCCTACCTCCTCACTGTTTCAAGTCTCTATTGTCTATCATTACACATTCTATATTTCCAACATTATAAATCATGCTGTAGTAATTATTATTCTATAAATTTTCATTCAAATTTCTGAATTTTTATTCAGGTTGTGATCTTAAACATGGGATCAATGGACCAAAATATATAAATACAGTGCTTTATAACTTTGTTATAATTTGACATTTTACACTGATTTTGGTTAGTGTTACCTTATTAATAAAAAATATATAGTTTAAGAAGAAAACTGCTAATAAATCCGATGCTTACATCATTTGCATTTATTGAATTTCTAGTAAAGTTTACCTTTAGGTCCTTATGTTTGTATTAGGCATTTAGCACTTCTATTCTTTGAAACGTATTTTCAAATGTTGTATTGAAGTCGATTTACATAAACGGCTTTTTTAAGTTTTAGCTTTTACGTTTTCAGATTGAAAAGCAATAGATTTTCTAACCTCTTAAGTCCCCAGTTTCTGAACTTCCTCTTTTCCCTGTTATGCTTGCAAACAGTCAAATGCTTTTTTTGAAGTTGTCTGTTCTTTTCTGTCCATTGTCAAATGAAGTCAGCAGAAACCAACATACACCACTAATATTTGGTTTTCAACCTCTTCTAGACCTTAAAAATGTATCACGCTTATTGCTGGCTTTCCAAGTTACTGAGGGCAACATCATGTTTAGCTACTGCTGAAAATGGATCACTTTTCCTCCACTTTCCCTAAATATAATTTCCTTGGTACCAGTAATTTGGCTGCTAAGCTAATGCCACATGTTTTATTTATGGTAGCAACCCTCCTCTAGGTACCAATTTCTCTACTAATCAAGATAGGTTATGCTGAGGTTGCATTCCAACATTATCAGTATTTTAACATGATAAACATTTATTTCTAAGAAAAGCCTCTAACATGGAAGACAAACACCAAAAATCAAACTGAAATACATCAAAGTGGAAAAAATAGATACTCTACAAGGAAAAGAAGAAAGTCTCAAAAAGTAATCATTAAGGCAGTCAAAGAGATTTGAAGGTATAACAACCATGAAGCAAGAATGAAAGGTCATGAGTTTAAACATTAAAAATCCCTAACCATTGAACTCTTTAAACATTAACAATTGGTTTTTTCTCAGATTCGTTTTTTCATGTATTTTTCCAGCATAGTGTTTACATTTCAATTTATTCTATGATAAAGATTAATATGCTCTCCAAAAAAGGTATAATCTAGCCAAGAAAACTTCAGTAGGTAGAATTTCAGAAAGCTAGATTGAGCTTTATTTTTAAAAAGCACTAAATTCTGTGGTATGGCCCTTAAAGGAAATAGAATAATGACAACAAACAGAGAGATCAATATAGCTAGGAGCCTTTATGTAGTAGATGGGAAATTACATGTTTTGTATTTAGCATATATTTATTGATTGCCAGCTAGATGTTAGGCTAGCTGTGTACTGGAAATGCAAGGTGGAGATGGAAAAAGAAAACCAATAACTCTGGTCTCTAGTAATTTAGGTGAAGAGAAAACATTTAAACAAATAAAAGTACGTGCACGTGATTTGGATGTAATAGGTGTTATTCTGGTTACTTGGGCTTTCAGTATGAGAACAATTTGACACAATAAAAAGGGAAATAAGGGTAATTACTATTCGGAAAATAAACCAAGCCAAAGCATGGTTGCAGACATCAGTGTGATGTGACTTTGAACAATGAGGAATCTCTCAGGCAAAAGTAGAGAAAAGGAGACATCACATTTACTCTAGAAAAAATAAATAAATAAAGACAATTTTTAAGGGCATCAAATATCAGGATGAGAATCTTAGGCTTCATTCTATAAACATAGAGGACATAAAATGTTTTTGAACAATATTGGATTTAGAAACTGAAACACTGTCTTATCAATTTAATCAATGGCAAGTTTTAGTGAAAATATTTTAAATAATAGATTATTTTTAATTGTCCAAATACTGTTTAAATCTGCTTTTGATTATGTGTCTTCATAGACACAGAAATAAATCTCTTTTCAAAAAATGAATAGGTAAAAAAATATAAAGAAAGGTAGGTTGATATAGTGAAAGGTTATTGGTTTATATATACTTTCATTGTGTGTTCATCCGGCAGTTGAAGCCAGCATGTTTGTGAGCCTTAGAAATTATTAGTGTTTCCTATTCTGAACCTTTTGTTAATAAAATGTAGAAAATAATACCCAACTATTAGATATGCTTTGAAAACTAAGCACAAAATGAATAACACATTATAATATTAGCTAAAAATTTGTCTCTTTCTTTGAAGAAAGGCAGCTTTCAAAAATAGCCAATGAATCAATTAGGTGTGAGTCAAATTGTCAATTTGTATTTTCATGTTCATTTTCTTCTCATAGATTCGATTTAACTGATTAAGCCATAGATTTTATTGGATTACTAATTATAATGGTACACATATCTTAAGATTCAATTATTAATTTAATTTTCATATTATAAATGCAATTTGTATTTTGGTAATAATCTCATGGAATTGTATAAAATGAAACTTTTAATTTTATAAATATTTTGTCAGTTAAACCTCTTACCAAAAGAGGAGTTTGGTATGGATATTCTCAGATTAGTTTCTATGCAAATATAAATATTTAAAAATTGTTTACACACATTATTATTATACCACATATAACACATGCACATAAAAATAAAAGTCATGATAGTGTAAAGTGACATAAATTAAAAGACTAAAAATATTTTTCCTGCCAAAACTTCAATCACATTTATATTTTAATTTTAAGCTTTATAGTTTTTAAATATTTTGACATTGTATTAATTCTAATGTAATAAATTAATAAATATAGAGTTATAATTATTTTTAGAGATTTATGTGTGTGGTTGCACCTATTAATAGTGACTTTTTTTTATTGCTGTGTAATACCCCATTATATAAATATACCTGAAAGTAAAATCTGCATTTTACTACTAACAGATGTTTGAGTTATTTCCAGTTTGGAGCCATCATAATACAAATATTTTGGAAGCTGTTACCACTCATTTCTCTTAGTATATTGCTAGCTATGGAATTGAAGAGTCATAGAATGTAATATGACAACCTTTAATAACATAGCCAAACCATTTTCAGAAAGATTGTACCAATTACTATAAATCCTCATCAGACACTGATATTGTCTGGGTTTTATTTTTTTTTTATCTTGACATAACCTTGTGTTTGTATAATAATAACTTATGTTCTTGTATTTGCATTTTCCTTATAACTAATGTTAGCCACTGTCTCGTGTGTCTATTGTTCATTTGAACATCCTCTTCTGTACAATGACTCATCAGATATTTTGCTCAATTTTTATTGTCATTTATATTGGTTTGTACTAAATTTTATATGTCATAGACAAGAATCTATTATCATGTATGTACAATGAAATATAGTTTTTTACTTTCTGATTTATATTTCTATTTTCTTAATATATCAGTTGTTTAATAGAAGTTTATAATTTTAATAAATTATATTATCTATATCACTTTTAGTGTCCTATTTTCTTTTCACTTGAAAGTCTAGGATCATAAATTTATTTTGTGTGGTGTATAGGTATTATGTTATATTCTTGGGCCTACAGAGGCCTGAATGCTTGTACAGAACTGTATGGATGGCCAAGAAATACCTGTTAAAGCTTCAGTCTGACCTCAAGGGCATGTACAATTAGGAAGTGATGGCTAAGGTAGTGTTTTAAACTGCTTGAGCCTTGAAGAGGTGTTCTAACCTACATACAGAGTCCCCTAAAACAATGCAGAAATTTTGAGAAAATCGATATACAAGTATTGGCTGAGACTTCAATGGATGCACATTGCAGGGAATTCAGCTGTTATAAAATTAGTCCAGGAAAGACATTAAATAACAACAACAAACAGACAGCAAAATCAACAACAACCAACACCTTATGAGCAACAACAAACCCAAAGAATCTGCAGAATGTCATTTCCAGAGATGACATATTATTTTCTAATATTTCCATGATTTGAAAAAAATTATGAGGAATGCAAATAAAAAGAAAAATACGGCCAAGCAAAAATTAATCAATAGCCATTGTCCCTGAGAAAGAAGAGATGTTGAGTTTACTAAACAAATATTTCAAATTAGAGTTTATAAATTTATTGAAAATAGTAAAGAAAACCAAGTCTAAAAAATTAAAGAAAAAAATGACAAAAATGCCTCATCATATATATAAAATAATAGATGAGATAAAATTATAAAAGGACACAAGTAAAAAATGTGAAGTTGAAAGAAAGAAATTAGTAAAGAGGCTCATCAAAAGAATAAAGATGGCAGAACAAAACATCAGCAGAACTGAAGACAGGTTAACTGAAATGATCAAGACAGAGACACTGACAGAAAAAAATAGCAAAATGGCAGACATGAATTCTCCTTTATCCATAATCACAGAGAAATAAATGGATGACATACATGATTAAAAAGCAGAATGGCACAATGCATTTAAAAACAAACAAAAATTATATGGTTCAACTATGTACTTCAGATTAGAAATCACAAAGTTCAAAAGTAAAATGTTAGAGAAAGATATATCACACAAATAGTAACTAAAGAAACTGAAAGCTTCATTAATTTAAGACGAAATAAACTTTAAGACAAAAGTTATTGCTAGAGACAAGGGGGGAATTTTATAATGATAAAATAATCCATGGGAAAAATTATTAACATATACATGAAATAAAAAGAGCCCCAATGGGCATTTAAAAAATACCAGAATTCAAGAAAAAAATAGAAAAACTATAGTAGTTTCAGACTTTAATATCCTTGTTTTAATAATGGATAGAACAATTATCCAGAAGATCAAAAAGGAAATAGATTTAAACAATACTGTTCATCAGCTAGCGCTCACTGAAATCTATAGAATGTTTCAACAGAAACAAATACACATTTTCCCAATCACACTTGGAATATTTTCCAGGATAGACCAGAAACTAGGCCATTAAAAAAAAAATCTCAGTAAAGTTAAATTAATTAAAATAATGGAAAGTATGTTGTACAACAACGTAATTAATTAGAAAGTAAAAACAGAGGGAAGAATAGGAAATTTAATAATGTATGTAAATTATATAGCTCACAGCTAAATAATCAGTGAGCCTAAAATATTTAATAAAAGAAATTAGAAAATAATTGAGATGAATGTAAATAAAAACAATAAATATAATGTCTGAGATGTAGCTAAGCAGTGCTTAGAGGGGATTAATAATGCAAATGGCTATATTTAATAACAAAACAAAATATCAAACAGTAACCTAATTTTTCACCTTCTGAAACTATAAAAGGATGAACAAGCTAAACACAAAGAAGCAGAAGGAAGTAAAAATAAAGATTAGAGTAGACAGGGGGATTAAAGAGAGAAAAACAACAAAATCGGTAAATCAAATGTTGGTTCTTTAGCATAAACCAGTATAATTGATTTGTAAACATATTAGCTAATAAAAAGTAACTCAAATTATTAAAATAAAAAGTGCAAATGAGAGCATCGTTGACATTATAGAAATATAAATAATTATAAGAAAATACTGTTAATTATGACAAACAAGAAGTATTATATCCTAGATTTAAAAATGTGCCCAGACCTATAATGATTTCAATAATATATTAGCTATTTAAAACCATCTCACAAAGAGTTCAGGCTCAGATATGTTACACTGGTGAAACATTTAATGATGAATTAATACCAATCCTCCACAAACTCTTTTAAAAGTAGAAGAAATTGTTTCAACTAATTATATGAAGCCAGTATTTTTCTGATACCAAAATTTGCAAAGATATCACAGAAAAAAAAGCTATACACTAATATCTCTTTAATATAGACTTGAAAATTCTCAAAAAATACTTCTATATTGATCTAAGCAATATATAAAAAGAGATTATACACTATAACTAAGTAGAATTTACCCCATCAATGCAAGTTCTATTTAAAATCTGAAATGCAATACACAAATTAAAATAATAAAGGGTAGAAACACCCTGATTACCTCAATAAATACAGAAAAAACATGCAATTAAATCTAAAGCATTTTCAATAAAAACAGAGCACACTAGAAATAAATGGGAACTTCCTCAGTTTGATAAAGAGTACCTACAAAAACCCAAAGCTGACATCATACTTACTATTTTTCCACTAATATAAGAAATAAGAAAGATAAGGATGTGTACTCTTGCTACTTCTAGTCAACATTATAATAGAGATTCTAGCCAGGGTAATTAGACAAGAAGAAGAAATACAAAAGCCATCCATATTGTGAAAGAAGAAATAAACCTCTCTATATGCAAATAGCATGGTCTTTTGTATGGAAAATCATGAGGAATCCACAAAAACTATTCAAATTAATAAATAAGTTGAACAAAAGTTTGTAGGAAACAAGGTCAATTTACAAAACTGAATTATTTTTCTACACATTGGCAATGTATAATGCAAAACTAGAATTAGAAAACAATTCCATTTATAATAGCATTAAACAGAATAAAATACGTAGGAATAAATGTAACAAGCATGACAGGCTTGTACTCTAAGATCTAAAAAATGTACATAAAATAATTAAAGAAAATCTATATATATGGAAAGACATCCAATATTTATGAATCAGATTTAATATTGTTAATAGGGCTACACTCACCAAATTGATTAAAAAATTCAACAGAATCCCTATCTAAATCCTAGCTGACAATTTTGCAGAATATGTAAAGCTGATATTAAAATTTCTATGGAAATGTAAAGAATCTAGAATAAACAAACAATCTTGTGAAAAAAGAACAAACTTGTTAGGTTCACCCCTTTCAATTTCAAAACTTAACACAAAGCAACATTAATCAAAACAGCGTATGCACTGGCATAAGCATAGGCATGTGGACCAATGAAACTGAATTCATTTTCCAAAAATAAACCCTTGCAGTTACAGTCAATTGACATTTGATAAGGGCAACTAAACATTTGATGAAGAGAAGCAAATAGCCTTTTCAAAAAATGTTGCTTGAAGTACTGGATACCCACATGCTCAATAATCACACGAAGCCAGTCAGGTAAAGCCTTTGTAATTGCTACAGTAATATGCCTAAGTAAGATTTTCTTTGTGTTTACTCTTTTTGGTAGAGGTAGTTCTAAAACTACCGGCTTAATATATTTCTATAGCATTGAGCATCTTCTGCATTATTTCTCCGGTATTGCTATTGCTCCATGTGCCTCTTCTCTCCTTATGGGAATCCAGTTACACGTAAGCTAGACCTTCTGTATCTTATATTTCAGTTATGCTGTTTGTTCTTCTCTGCTTCCACATCTTTTATTTTTCTGTTTTAGAGTAGACCAATTCTATATTGTTCTTAGAAAAACCTGTTGTTAAAAACAAATGAGATTTTACATTCCCATCCAATGAAATTTTACATTCAGGTATCTGAGCTTGAGCTACTAGAATGTCAATTTCATTCTTTTTATGTAGATTCCAAAATCCTATTCAAAATCTCCAATTTTTTTTACAGATTAAGCCTCAATTTTCTGATCATTTTATCATATCATTTAACTCCGAATTAGGCAAAATGACTAACAAGTTAATACTTTTGAAAACACTTTGGTCATTATTTCTCTTCATCCTCCACATTGTGTCAGTTGTCATGATATTTACATTATTATTACACAATGTATCAACAATTTTCTTTTTGGACAGTTTAATTATTTTGAGGAAATGCCTCTTTTGTCTGAAAAAAAAAATTACAGTTTCTTTCCTCTTCTGATCTCTGTTTGAGCATGTGTCTTCCATGTTAAATCATTCATTGCAGTTCATTGCCATGGCAACCATAATCACTGGAGGCCTATGCAACAGATCTTCCTGAGTGAGAACAATGCCTGATTCCACTGGGGATTCCAAGTTTGAAGACTGTAAATCTTGAGCTGGTAGAAGCTACCTTTTCTGCAATACTCAGGAAGCTTAATTGTAGGATGATATTAATGAAAGAGAAGATTACAGCTAATATGAATAAATAAGTAGAACTGAACACGTAATAAGGGTCCTTAGATTCAGCAATTCATAAATAAAGGTCCACCCTGGGACTTCCAAGTCAATTGAGTCAAGTCCTTATTATCATGACTATACTTTGAGTTTTTATTGCATTATGCACAACTAAAATGTTTGAATTAAAATAAATATGATTTACACTTATATTATTTGAATTGTGGGTCCTAATATATATTATTATAATGTAGATGCTACTCACTGCAGGACCAAGTAGTGAGACAGAATATTCTTTACTTCTTTGTCATCCAGTCATTGCTATTCAAAGGAGGTATGACAAGTGTTATACAACAAATGTGTTAAATTTATATCACTGTAAGGTGATCAAAATGATGTCACAATTTAATTTGCCTCATAGTTGGACCATTATTTCTTTTCCATTTTTTCTACCAACAACAAATATCAAGCCTTCACTATTTTAGTCATGCTATTTTTTATATGAATATGCATTCTCTTAGAAGACATTTTTCTCTCACCATCCCTCCTCAGAGTTTCCCTTTTAATAAGCTAATTATATTTTACATTGCCTGCATAGGTGTGATCCTAAAACTTCTGTTACTGACTTTCCTGCCTAAACTATTTTTTCTTGGATTTCCATTTTTTAACTTTTTTTCAAGTGAGTGACAAATTAACTGAATTATTAAATAAACAATTATAATGCATTTTAACATTTAATTTGCAATATTTTATTTAATATGCTTACATAAATATTCATTTATAATCTTTACTTTTGATTTATAATTCTCTAATTGTAATACATTTGTGTGTTTAGGAGCCACTAATGTACTCATTTCAAATAATCTATTCACAAAAATATGGGCTTCATCCTTTTGTTATTGGTCTTGGAAAATAGAGTGGTTGTCCTATTATTTGGCTAAGAATATTTGCCAGTACATGAAGCTATCACAGGGGCTGAGTATATATACATATGTGTACATATTCGCATATTTTATGTTTCTATGCTTTTTATCAATATCATAATCTATATATGCTTATAAATCATAATTACTTTATAAACCATTCTTTTGGAGGTAACTATTAAAGAAAACATCTGAATAGCAAGAAATGCATTTAGTGAATATTTGGCTATTGCATGTCAGTTGCTGTTCTAGGCATCAGGTTACAATTGTTAACAGACATAAATGCTTTCAGAAAGTATACTTTTACATAGCTGTCTATATCGTGAAGACGAAGATTTTTTTCATTTTAAAAACATTAGCAGGTAAAAAAAACCTACTTATAATTTTAAGTAAATTTTATGGAAATATTGTATAGTATTTTACTACTGAAAGAAACATTCCTGTTAAGGAGAGTGGGGCCAGAGGATTGTGGAACAGATATGACTTATCTGTTCACAGCCTTAAGGGATTATTCTTTATCTATCTATCTATCTATCTATCTATCTATCTATCTATCTATCTATCTGTCTATCTATCTATCTTTCTATCATCTATTTATCTACATGTGATCATTCTATTTATGTATGTGTACATATATGTTATCTTATTTAATTTCATTAAAAAAGTTATAAACTATAAGGTGGCATTATTATATTTATTTTTACATGTAAGGAAGTTATTTGAGATTTTATACTTCATCCAGGTTATCCAACTGGTTTCAACCTGTAATTTTAATCAACGTCTCTGTGACTCCAGGTGTATTTTTATGGCCTAGTATGTTGCATGTAGATGAACTGAGATGATATTATTTGAATGTTTGTCTTCTCCAAAACTTATGTTAAAACTTAATTGACATTGTAACCACAGTAAGAGGTGGGACTTTTAAGAGGTCTTTGGGTCACAAGGATTCTGCCCTCATGAATGTACAAATATTATTATCCGAGAAGTGGGTTCCTTATGGTGGGAGTGTGTTCTCTGCCTCTTGCTCATTCTCTTTTGCTCTCTTGGCACTTCCACCCTGTGACATCTTCAGCTATGTTATGACACAGCTAGAAGGCCTTAGTCAGAAGCTGGCACCTTGATATTGTACTTTCCAGACTCCTGAACCTTAAACCAATCAATTTCTGTTCATTGTAAATTACCCAGCCTGTGGTATTCTATTATAGCAGCACAAAATTAACGAAAGCATAGGAGTTCAAATTATTTTTAATCGAGTTTGAAACTTGAAATTCCAAGTTAAATATCTGCAACTGATAATAACATTACCATGTTTCCTGCTTTCTGCCTATATCTAGATTAAAATATGAATAAACTTATTTTATTGCCCCAAATAAAACTTTTTACATGTGTCCCATAGTTTTAGGATACAGGTTAAGCTAAAATATCATTTAAAATGTACCATATGATTTGTATCCTATCTTTCTATCGTCTCATTTTTGTTATACCCCCATTAATACACTAAGATGCAGGTACATTCAGATTTTCTCCGCTTCTTGAACTTTTCATGTTACTTCCCCATTTTTAGAAGGTTGTATATGCAGTCCTTTATATATGAAACACCATTGTCTCACCTCTTCATCAAGCTAACTCTTAACTGACCATTGAGTCTCAGCTCAACCATTGCCTGCAAAAATAACTTTTTCTAAATTTCTAAGGCCAGATTATGTATCCTTTATACATATTTTATAGCACACTGTACTTTCCTTTCTACTGAATTTATTACTCTGCACTGTGATTGCTAATTTAGTTTTTGTATCATCTGCTTAATTTGAGATTCCAAATTAAGAAAAATCCTGTTCCTTTCTTGTTCAAAATTCATCTCATGTACTGAGTCTCATATCTGATTTCAATGGATACTTATTGAATGGTGCAACTGTTCATTTGACAACAGCAAATAATTTATTTTGAATAAGGGCCATCTGAGTGCTAAGCTTCTGAGTAAAATAGATAACAGCAATGAATTCTACTCCAAAAGCATAATCTTCATAAAAAACTTGCAGGCAATTTCAGTTGTAAGATTCTCTATATCCACAGTTTGAGTTTATTGTATTATGGAACAATTGATATTTCAAATGAATGATTTTATTTATGACTCTCTGTATATATTAAACATGCCAGGATATTGTATTCTATGTGTATGAAACATATTTCAATTGTACAACATAAGTCTGTGGGGTTTGGAGAGTAGGGTACCTTAATTAACTTCATAATAAAATACTGAATCTGTTCCTTTCCTTTCTGTGTTGTGTAATCATGGAAACTTTTTGGTTTGAATAGACACGAAATGTCAATTACGGCAAAAGGATGTACATTTTAACGATTTTACCCAAAACAACATTAAGGTTGGATTATATCTCATTTAATTGAGTGTGGTTCCTGATACTTTTGTTAGTGGTTGACAACACAGAAAGAAGCTGGCTCACTTAATACCACTTGTGACCTGATAAGAAGAGTCAATTCTGAAATGTGCATGTTTTTCAAAATATGAAATTATTTCTGTCCTGGGGCAACATATTCAGAAGGAAAGTGAATTTATGTCACATTTTCAATGATCAAGAGGAATTGTTCTAATTAACAAGATCACACAAGGAGTGGAAAAAATCAGTAATGTAGTCTGTCATTAATCAACTAATTTCAATACAAGAGGCAGAGTCATTGATTCTTGTTGCACATTGTGCATGTTTCCAACACTGATGAACTGTAGTGAACTAAATTTCTAATTTATAGCACCTACTCTACAATTTATGACTTTCAGCTTTATTGGAGGAAATCTACTTGCCCAATTTTAGGTTCTATTTTTAGTTAGTAAAATATATTAATGTTGTTGCCATTATTTTATAATACCTAAATGATATACATCAATTTAGTATACAATTACTCTCAGAAGAAAAACATTGTATTTTTTCTTTCTTCTTTGTTAACAACATATATATTAAAATCATCTAATAAGAAGTAAAATATGGTATTTATTTAGCAAAAGAAATATTATAGCAATGACTTAAAATATTCATGATTACTGGGAACATTTACAGATTTAAGGTACTTGTGTCACTTTTTAAACTTCTAATAGTTTTTAGCTTTATAATCTACACAATAGAAAAAATAATGATAGTAGCTTCTTAGGATTATACTGAGAATTTAAGGAGCTATGCAGATAAGTACTTAGTATAATGCTTTACACATGGTAAACTCCCAAAAGAGGCTATTTGTTATAATTGAGATTAAAGATTAAGATTGTGTCCTCCAAGCAAAAAAGCCCAGGACCAGATGGATTCAAAGTCAAATTCTACCAGAGATAAAAGAGGAGCTGGTACCATTCCTTCTGAAACTATTCCAAACAATATAAACTGCAAACTAGTTCAACCATTGTGGAAGTCAGTGTGGCAATTCCTCAGGGATCTAGAACTAGAAATACCATTTGACCCAGCCATCCCATTACTGGGTATATACCCAAAGGATTATAAATCATGCTGCTATAAAGACACATACACACATATGTTTATTGTGGCACTATTCACAATAGCAAAGACTTGGAACCAACCCAAATGTCCAACAATGATAGACTGGATTAAGAAAATGTGGCACATATACACCATGGAATACTATGCAGCCATAAAAAAGGATGAGTTCATGTCCTTTGTAGGGACATCAATGAAGCTGGAAACCATCATTCTCAGCAAACTATCGCAAGGACAAAAAACCAAACACCGCATGTTCTCACTCATAGGTGGGAATTGAACAGTGAGAACACATGGACACAGGAAGGGGAACATCACACACTGGGGCCTGTTGTGGGGTGGGGGGAGGGGGGAGGGATAGCATTAGGAGATACACCTAATGTTAAATGATGAGTTACTGGGTGCAGCACACCAACATGGCACATGTATATGTATGTAACAAACCTGCACGTTGTGCACATGTACCCTAAAACTTAAAGTATAATAAAAAAGAGAGGGATTCCTCCCTAACTCATTTTAGGAGGCCAGCATCATCCTGATACCAAAGTCTGCCAGAGACACAACAACAACAACAAAAAAAAGAAATTTTCAGGCCAATATCCCTGATGAACATTGATGTGAACATCCTCAATAAAATTCTGGCACACCAAATCCAGCAGCACATCAAAAAGCTTATCCACCAAGGTCAAGTAGGCCTCATACCTGGGATGCTAGGCTGGTTCAACATATGCAAATCAATAAACATAATCCATCACATAAACAGAACCAATGAAAAAAACAACATGATTATCTCAATGGAGGCAGAAAAGGCCTTCGATAAAATTCACCACCGCTTCATGCTAAAAACTCTCAATAAACTAGATATTGATGGAATGTATCTCAAAATAATAAGAGATATTTATGACAAACCCATAACCAATATCATACTGAATGGGCAAAAGCTGGAAGCATTCCCTTTGATAACTGGCACAAGACAAGAATGCCCTCTCTCACCACTCCTATTCAACATAGTATTGGACGTTCTGGCTGGGGAAGTCAGGCAAGAGAAAGAAATAAAGAGTATTCAAATAGGAAGAGAGGAAGACAAATTGTCTATGTTTGCAGATGTCATGATGGTATATTTAGGAAATGCCATTGTCTCAGCCCAAAATCTCCTTAAGCTGATAAGCAACTTCAGCGAAGTCTCAGGATACAAAATCAATGTGCAAAAATCACAAGCATTCCTTTACACCAATAACAGACAAACAGAGAGCCAAATCATGAGTGAACTCCCATACACAATTGCTGCAAGGAGAATAAAATGCTTGGAATACAGCTTATGAGGCATGTGAAGGACCTCTTCATGGAGAACTACAAACGACTGCTCAAGGAAATAAGACAGGACACAAACAAATGGAAAAATATCTCATGCTCATGGATGTGAAGAATCAATTGTGTGAAAATGGCTATAATGGCCATACTGCCCAAAGTAATCTATAGATTCAATGCTATCCCCATCAAGCTACCATTGACTTTTTTTTTACAGAATTAGATAAAAACTACTTTAAATTTCATGTGGAACTAAAAAAGAGCCCATATAGCCAAGACAATTCTAAGCAAAAAGAAAAAAGCTGGAGGCGTCTTGCTACCTGGCTTCAAACTACACTACAAGGCTACAGTAACCAAAACAGCATGTTACTGGTACCAAAACAGATATATAGAGCAATGGAACAGAACAGAGGCCTCAGAAATAATGCCACACATCTACAACCATCTGATCTTTAACAAACCAGATAAAAACAAGCAATAGAGAAAGGATTCCCTATTTAATAAATGGTGTTGGGAAAACTGGCTAGCCATATGCAGAAAACTGAAACTGGATCCCTTCCTTACTTCACACAAAAATTAACTCAAGATGGATTAAAGACTTAAATTTAAGACCTGAATCCAAAAAAATTCTAGAAGAAAACCTAGGCAATGCCATTCAGGACATAGGCATGGGCAAAGACTTCATGACTAAACCACCAAAAGCTATGGCAACAAAAGCCAAAATAGACAAATGGGATCTACTTAAATTAAAGAGCTTCTGCACAGCAAAAGAAACTATCATCAGAGTGAACAGGTAACCTGCAGAATGGGAGAAAATTTTTGCAATCCATCCATCTGACAAAGGTCTAATATCCAGAATCTACAAAAGCTTAAACAAATTTACAAGATAAAAACAAGCGACCCATCACAAAGTGGGTGAAGGACATGAACACACACCTCTCAAAAGAAGACAGTTATACAAACTTTTATACAAAAGTTATATGAAAAAAAGCAGTTATACAAAAGAAGACAGCCAACAAACATATTTAAAAAAAGCTCATCATCACTAGTCATTAGAGAAATGCAAATCAAAAGGACAGTGAGATACTATCTCACACCAGTTAGAATGGCCATCATTTAAAAGTCAGGTAACAACAGGTGCTGGAGAGGATGTGGAGAAACAGGAGCACTTTTCCACTGTTGGTGGAAGTGTAAATTAGTTCAACCATTGTGGAAGGCTGTGTGGCAATTCCTCAGGGATCTAGAGCCAGAAATACCATTTGATCCAGCAATCCCATTACTGGGTATATGCCCAAAGGATTATAAATCATAAAGACACATGAACACATATATGTATTGCAGCACTATTCACAAGAGCAAAGACTTGGAACTAACCCAAATCTCCATCAATGATAGACTGGATAAAGAAAATGTGGCACATATATACCACGGAATACTCTGCAGCCATAAACAAGGATGAGTTTATGTATTTGCAGGGACATGGATGAAGCTGGAAACCATCATTCTCAGCAAACTGACACAGAAAAAGAAAACCAAACACCGCATGTTTCACTCATAAGTGGGAGTTGAACAATGAGAATACATGGACACAGGGAGGGGAACATCACACACAGGGGTCTGTCAGGGGGTGGGGGACTAGGGGAGGGATAGTATTAGGAGAAATATCTAATGTAGATGGCGGGTTGATGGGTGCAGCAAACCACCATGGCACATGTATACCTATGTAACAAACCTACACGTTCTGCACATGTATCCCAGAACTTAAAGTATAATAATAATAAAAAAAGATTGTGATTATTAATATTGGCACCTTTTCTTTTTGGTTGAATTTTCCATTTAGCACTTTCATTCTATTTTGTTAATAACAAGGTAATTGTATATATCTATCATTCAATAAATGAGCAGATCTCAGTATCTCAGAATCTAATCATGATTTATTTTATTGCCCAAAGGTAAGGATAATTCAAATGTCCCCTCCTTTTTTTTTAACTTACATTTATAACCACTTCTCTGTAGTTTAGCTGTAGTTTATTTCATTGCAACAGTGCCTTAACTTTATTTTCCTCTGTATTCTTTGCTAATTAAGTTAATCTTCTGCCACACAAAGAACCACTGAGTCCTTTGTCACTTTTGGTGTTTTATTTTTTTAAATGTCATAATCATAGCTGCTTGGAAGATGGGATTCTCCTCTCAGGAACGTATCACATAAATATAGACACTTAAGAAAAGGAAAGATTAGAGAATAGCATATGGAAAAAATAGGAGAAGATTGACACACATACCTAAGAATTTTAAAATGTTTTGAAAGACTAGTTCTTAAACCACTAGAACATGAAAATCATCTGGTATCTTTTTTAAAATAGTAATACTTTGTGTCTTAATCAGTTCAAGATCACATAGCAAAATACCACAGACAGGGTGGCTTAGACAACAAAAACTTATTCCTCATGGATCTGGAAGTTGGGATGTCTGAGATCAAGGTGCAGCATATTCTGTGTCTGGTGAGAGTCTGCTTCCCAGTTTCCAGATGATCGTCTTGTTGTGTCTTCACATGATAGGAAGTAGAGATGGGAGGGTAGAGGGCATCAGGGTAGGGAGAGAAGGGACACTCTTGTGTCTCTTCTTGTGAAAACTCTATTCCCATCATGAGGGCTACACCCTCAGTATCTCATCTAAACCTAATTACCTTCGAAAGCCCCACCTCCTAATATCATTACATTAGGGCGTGGGGTGTCAACATAGGAATATTCCTGGGGACACACACTTTCAGTCCATAATACCTGGTCATTCCTGGGCCACTTCTCCTTCATATTAATAAACCATAATTTTTCAGTAGGTTTCTGCAGAATTTTTTCATTAATCATTTTGCATGCTATTCTTTGTGCTTGGAAGACTCCTCTCCTGCAATGACAGAACTTCTGCTAAAGGATATCCCCAGACTATGAGTTAGAAATATCCTCACTTTTAGGCGCAGTAGCCCTTGTTCAAAAATGTTATATGCCATGAAACTACACATTCACAGCCAATTGATTTTTGACAATAGTGTCAAAAACATATATTGGGAAAATAACTCTCTTCAATAAATGTGCTGGGAAAACTAGATATCCATATGCATAAGAATCAAGCTAGACCTCTCTCACCATACACCAAAATCAATTCAAAATGGGTTAGTGATTTAAATGTAATAGTGAATACTCTGAAGCTACTAGAGGATACATAGGGGAAACACTTGAGGACATTGGTCTGGGGAAAGATTTTTCTGGCTAAGACCTCAATAACACAGACACCAAAAGCAAATGTAGAAAAATGGGATTGCATCAAACTAAAAAGCTTCTGCACAGTAAAGGAAACAACCAACAGAGTGAAGAGACGAGCTACAGAATGGGATAAAACATTTGCAAACTATACATCTGACAAAGGAATAATATCCAGAAAATATAAGGAACTCAATTCAATAGCAAATAAACCAAGTAATCCAACTGAAAAATGGGCAAATGATCGGAAATAACATTTTTCAAAAGAAGGCATACACATGGCCAATAGGTATATTTTAAAAATGCCCATCACTAATCATCAAAAAACTTTAAAGCAGAACCACATTGAGATATCACCTCACCCCAGTTAAAATGGCTATTATTAAAACTCAAGGTAAGTTAAAGACTTAAACGTAACACCTAACATCATAAAAATTCTAGAAGAAAATCTGGGCAATACAATTCAGGACACAGGCATGAGCAAACCCTTCATGTCTAAAACACCAAAAGCAATGGCAACAAAAGCTAAAATTGGCAAACGGGATCTAATTAAACTAAAGAGCTTCTGCCCAGCAAAAGAAACTATCATCACAGTGAACAGGCAACCTACAGAATAGGAGAAAATTTCTGCAATCTATCCATCTGACAAACGGCTAATATCCAGAATCTACAAAGAACTTAAATTTACAAGAAAAAAATAACCCCATCAAAAAGTAGGCAAAGGATATGAACAGACACTTCTCAAAATAAGACGTTTATGCAGCCAACAAACATATGAAAAAATGCTCATCATCACTGGCCACTAGAGAAATGCAAATCAAAACCGCAATGAGATACCATCTCACGCCAGTTAGAATGGTGATCATTAAAAAAATCAGGAAAAACAGATGCTGGAGAGGATGTGGAGAAATAGGAACACTTTTCCACTGTTGGTGGGAGTGTAAATTAGTTCAACTATTGTGGAAGACAGTGTGGCAATTCCTCAAGGATCTAGAACTAGAAATACCATTTGACCCAGCAATCCCATTACTGGGTATATACCCAAAAGATTATAAATCAGGCTACTATAAAGACACATGCACACATATGTGTATTGCAGCACTATTCACAATAGGAAAGACTTGGAACCAGCCAAAATGCCCATCAATGATAGACTGGATAAAGAAAATGTGGCACATATACACCATGGAATATCATGCAGCCATAAAAAAGGATGAGTTTTTGTCCTTTGCAGGGACATGGATGAAGCTGGAAACCATTATTCTCAGCAAACTAACACAGGAACAGAATACCAAACACAGCATGTTCTCATTCATAAGTGGGAGTTGAACAATGAGAACACATGGACAAACAGAGGGGAACATCACATACCAGAACCTGTTGGAGGGTGGGGGCCTAGGGGAGAGATAGCTTTAAGAGAAATACCTAATGTAGGTGATGGGTTGATGGGTGCAGCAAACCACCATGGCATGTGTATACTGATGTAATAAAACTGCACGTTCTGCACATGTGCTCCAGAACTTAAAGTATAATAAAATAAATACATAAATAAATAAATAGACAAAAGTAACAAATACTCGTGAGGAAAAGGAGAAAAGGGAGCTCTCACACACTGTTGGTGGCAATGTAAATTAGCAGAGCCATTATGAAAAACAATACAAAGATTTCTCAAAAAATGAAAAATAGAAATACCATATTATCCAGCAATCTCATTACTGAGTATATATCAAAAAGACAGGAAATAAGTATGCCAAAGAGATATCTTTGTTTATTGCAGCACTATTCACAGTAGCCAAGACATGAAATTAAACTGTGTCCATCAACAAATGAATGGATAAAAAAAATGAGACATACATACACAAGGGAATATTATTCACCCACCAAAAAGAATTAAACGATGTCATCTGTAGCAACATGGATGACCTTGGAGTTCATTATGTTAAGTGAAATGAGCCAGGCACAAAAATGTTTGTTTACATTCTCTGTAGATTTATACTGGGAACTTAAAAAGTTGATGTCATAGAAGTAAAGAGTAGAATAGTAATTACCAGAGGCTAAGGAATGGAGGGAATAAAAGGAATAGGGATTAATTGGTACAAAATTACAGTTAGACAGGAGGAATAAGTTTTAGTGTTCTGTAACACAGTTTGTAACTAGAGTTGTATTATAATAGTTTATTTTCTTTCTACTGAGCCATGCTCTCTGTAAAGATCTGAATCTTTTCATCACTGTATCTCAAGACCTTGCTATTTTGCCTGATGTTTGGTAGCTGATCGCTAAACATTTGTTGATGGAATAAATAGTCTTGCTATGAGGCAGGGACACATGCCCTACCAACACTATACATTATAAATATAAAGTGGGGATTATTGGGAAAGTGTTACAAACACAGACATAGAAGATAACATACTATCCTCTGAGCTCTCAGCGTGCAGAGTTGTACTTAGGTCAGGAATAAAGAACCTGGCATAGCATGAAATAAGTTTATTAGAGTAACATGTCTCCTTAACGTTACATATTTATATACAAATGGAAAAGTGAACTCCTAGACAACGTTGTAATACCTAAAACTTTGATTGAGAAAGCAGCCAGTTAGAAAATAAAAGGCTCTGGCATTAGCCTTTTAAATGCGCCAATTCTTATATTGACCTCAGATGAGCAATTCAGCATTATGTTACTAAATGAGGGGAGGAACTAAATTTCCAAAACCAACTTTTGTTTCCTCCCATCAGGAATATTCTCCATTTCAAGAAAGCATCACTTCCTGTGTGTGAAACACTCTCTGCTTTCTTGTGGGTGTGCACTCTTCAATTTGTTTAGACTAAGCTGCAGATAAATTAGGACTTAAGGGATTCTTTTAAATATTCAGTAAGAAATAAGAGGAAGAGAATTTTAAGTATTTAGTCTGGCAGTGAGAACTTCCCTGGAATATTTTAAAGCATTACATTTAATTGGCTTCCTAAGTATAGGTACCAGTTTTGTTTTGTTTTGTTTTTTTCTTGCAAACATGTTGTATTGTATACACACACACAACATACACATATTTTTCTCTGTTTATTCTTTATAATAGGAAGTTCAAAAGATAAAAGTGGGTAATTCCTGCGAGAAGCAATTTGGGTCAAAGATATGCATTAGAAGAGAGATAGGCAGAAAAATCCCTTTTGAGATTTGTGAAGTTTGCCTCTGGTCTTGAAATTGTCATGTGTGAGAATTAACTCTTGCCATTTGTATAAATTATTAGGTATTCAGATGAGTGATCAATGAAGTCAATACAATTTAATGTCTCTCTCAGGGTTTTGAAAAATACAGAAAGGAGACATTTGTTTGCAAAGTATAAAACTTACAAAGAAAATTAGAATAATTGAAAGATGAGAAGTCCTGGGACCTAATATTAGTGTCCTTCCTAGTAGTCTAGATGTCAATGTGTACATTTATCTCCCCAGGGCTGAACAAATAGGAATATCTTTAAAATAAGATTCTATGACCAATGGCAACTTAAACTTTTCTTAAAATTGTTAGTTTATCTGGTGCAATGCAAACTCTTTTTATTATGTTGTCAGTTTGTAGACAGAATGTGTGTGTGTTTCATTAATTAGCTAGAATTTTTCAGAACCTAAAACTTGATCAATGCAAATAAATAAATACATAAATACATAAATATATTTATTTATAAAGAAATAAATATATATTTATTTATAAAGAAATAAATATATATTTATTTATAAAGAAATAAAGAAATAAATATATATTTATTTATAAAGAAATAAAGAAATAAATATATATTTATTTATAAAGAAATAAAGAAATAAATATATATTTATTTATAAAGAAATAAATATATATTTATTTATAAAGAAATAAAGAAATAAATATATAAATTTAGAAGGAAATTAAACAATTTTCAAACTTTTAAAGCTGATTTTTGTATATGTTTTACATTCAGTCTTTTATATGTTAGTATCTTTAATCATATAGAAAATGATTGGCATAATATTACATAAAGCTTATAAAAACTTCTGTAGCATGACCTCAAAAACATTAAAATGAGATAGGTAACAACACCATAAGCCTAGAAAAACCATCTGAATGTTGACCATGTTTAAACCTGGGTTATGTGATTATGGACAACTTTTAATTTTTTAACATATCTATGCTGTATTTTTATATCTCCACTTTAAAAATTTCAAAGTCTTTAAAATTAGCCTGTATTATTTGGGATTCAGAAAATATCTTTTTAAAAAACGCAGCATATTTCATGTATTATTTTTCAACTTGCTATTTTTTCAATAAAGACAGGCCTAGGGTATATTAGTGAGAAATATGTGGGACGAGATGCCATGTTTCTACCAATTTGACACTGAACCTCTGCGATTGAATGAGCTTACTTACTTTTGCTGCCATGGAGACCCACTAGTCACATTCGTATAAAATGTGAATGTGGGAAAGGTGCTGTAAGAAGATTCTTCTACATTCCCTTGACAAAATGCAGGATAAACAATGCTTGAAATAAAATGTTAGAAGGCAAAATTGAAATCCAATGAATGTGCTACTAACTACAAGTAACTTCTGCCTTCAGGTGGCAGTTTATCAAAGGCGTCGCAGGATCACATAACGCTTTCCAAAGAGACCAAAAAATGAGGGAAAATGCCAAGTGAAGAACTGGAAAAGAAGTTTGAGAAACTACTTCAATTTTAGTTGCAATAGAAGCAATAATGTATACTCATATTTCTATTATAATTTTTATTGTTATATAATTAGTGTTGCTATCAGCCAGCACTATTCAAAGGTAGAAGTGGATTTCTTCCCTATAGACAATAAGTTCCCTCTCACTATGTGTATTGAAACATCTGCAATGTCACTTGATGGGATGTTCTGGGAGGATAAAGGTAATCAGGCAATAATTGAAACATCTTGTTGTTGTTGGGTTTTAGGTACTGTTCACATATTTCTGTATTTCCATGCATTCTTACATCTATTTTAAAAAATCTACTGAGATAAGAATAATTTTTGTCTTTTAAAAGATGAGAATATTGGACCTTAGCTAATTATTGGGGTAACTGAAATGCAAACATTAACAGATCAACTAAAGACCTTTATGTTATATTTCACTATTAGGTTTGGTTGTCCATTTCCAAAATGTTGCAGCCTAGATTACTTTTATTAAATGAAATTGTACATTTACACAATATATAACAGATAGAGGAAAAGTGTTTTAATAGACTAGGAAGTGGGGGACCTTGAATTCTTACTGCTCATTGATTTTCCCCAAATGGATAGTATCATGGATCACTGGTAGCTGCTGCAGAGTGCAGTAAGAAAAATATGCCACTTAGTGACTTCTCAGATCATTTCCAAACATCTAATTTTTTAATTTTGCAATTCCTCTTCAGATTTAATTTAGGAAATATTTTTCCCCCACCACAATATACTACCTGTATTAGTCTGTTTGGTCTTGCTGTAAAGAAATACCTGACTTTCTTTAGAGTAATTTCTTTAACAAAAGTAGTTTATTTTGCTCATGGCCCTTCATGTTGTACAAGCACTGTAGCACCAGCTTTCAGGAAGCTTGAAGTCATGATGAAAGATGGAGTGAAGTAGGCATGATGCAGTGAGAGAAAGGGAACAGGAGAGCGGGGAGGAGGGGCCAGGCGTTTTTTACAATCACAGTACAAGGGAACTAATAATGTAATATCGCACTCATAACCCTGAGGAAGGCATCAAGCCATTCATAAGGTATCTGCCCCTGCCTACCCAAACACCTTCCACCAGGCCCCGTATATAACATTAGGGATCAAATTTCAGCATGACATTTGGAGGGAACAAATGTACAAACTATATCACAAGCATTTAATCTTTTTATTAAATCTCACCGAACTTTTCTAAAATGTAAAAAGGGGTAATACTATCAGCCCCAGAAGTTTTATGGTTATTACATGAAGTGATATTTTAATACATTTAATAACTTTGCTGCAACATACTAATAGTAAACATTGAAAAAAAATGGTCGATGTTATTAACATATTTATGTCAAGTAAAATGCAGATTAGAATTAAGTAAGATAAAGAGACCATGTAAGAGTGAACTAAAGTAAGAAAACACATTCCGAAAGGCATTAACTAATAAATATATGTATAAACAAATATTCTATGAAATTTCACAGGAAAGTAAAAGCAATTCAGACATAGGTAATAAGTGGTACTGTGAATAAACAGATTGGAAATGGGTCATGGGTATATTATAAATATCATAGGTGAAACTGGTCAGAAAAGAGAGAAAGTAGGCTTTTTATGATGAATCTCATGTTGGAAATATGTTATTATTTTATGTTAACTGAAAATAATTTATGTAGTCCACAAATATGAAAATTGTAGAAATCTTCTGAAGATGTTACCAGTACCTTATAGTCTCAGGAAATGTTCCCTTTAACCTCACCACACTGTGATATAAATTTGACATCTAGGCTCTACCTTTTCTTAGGAAATAAGAGAATCCCTTTAAGTCTCAACTCCCATTTCTGTAAAATGAATAGTGCCCATCTTATAGGGTTACTACACAGATAAAATAAAACACCATAAGGAAAAATCATGGCACATATTAGATTGTCAACAAAACAGACAAGACTATTGGCCTAAAGGCAACTTCTTGCTCCATTCTCATGGTGGAGCTCATATTTAAGGGCCAACAAAAGAGAATTCCCTTTTTCTTCACTAGTTTATTTTGGTAGAAAGCTCACCATGTCAACAAAACCACAACAACTTTGATGGCTGAAATGTGGCGTCACCATTATCTCCCAATGTAGTGTTAAAATATGGGCTTATGTGCATGTTATTCTCTCATCTTGGGGCAATATTTGTCTGCCCAAGATTTGTTTAGTGAAAAAAGTTCATGTGCTGATGAGCTACCAAGTCACATTTGTTCTTTAGAATCTAGCACTATGAAAAAATTCCTCTCTCGCTGCAATTGTTTTCCCTCCTCATATTAGGGGCCTTTCTTATACAGTGGCTCAATCACTTTGACACAGATTCAGAAACAAGACGGCAGCTTTCAACTTCTCGCTAAACTATAAGAGGCCTAATTGATATTCTTAAATCAGTGTGTGGTTTATTGATGTAAGATTCTTTGATAGAGATGGATGATCACTGCTACTTGAAGTGTATTATTGCTTTTATTGTTTAAATCACTGCTATAGGCCTGAGGTATTCAGGTGAGACCCACACATCTTAAATTTTAATTAGAAAAGGGATAAGAGATTCATCAAAAAATTAGGTATCTAATTAGGTCTCTAAATTAGAATATTCTTCAAATATAAGTGAGAACTAAGAAAAGTAGATCTTTTTCTTTTTCATTGAGAAACGTTACTTAAAAGAGAAAAATAAATTGTCTTTTTTTTATTTTAAGAAGAAAATAGAATAAAGGTTTTTGAGTATTTTCTTCCACATGCAGTTATTACCATGCTACTTTTAGAAAATTTGGAAAATAGTTTTTTGTATATTTGCCCTCTACCTTAGTCAGTCATTTATCTTGCACATTTTTCCCAATAAACATTATTCTACACTATCCCTTTGAATGGCTACCTGGTAGTTGTTGTAGAGAACACTTAGTTTAACCAATTAAGCATTTATGTTACAATATTTTCACTGCAATGCAGAGAAAATACCAATTTAAAGGCCACATTATTACATCTTCATTAACAAAGGAAACCTCTCCTCATTGTCCAGATTTGTGGTCTGAGATGACAGCATCAATATTAGGTGATTCTCTATGTGGCATGATTTTGGGTCTGCCACTCTTTTAAATTTTTCCACAATGCATTCTTGAAGATCACTCTACTAATATTTTATTGTTATTGTTAAAACTCAAATTCCTTGTGAAAGTAGTGCCAAGCTCTTAACTGCTTACACAAATATTAAGATCTGAGGGGTAATATGTTTGGGGGAAGAGGGCTCGATACAGACTTGATATCACAGCATCACAGCGGATTGCAGGGATATAGTAGCCAGAGGCATGTTTCCCCGATAGAGAATTTTGTACAGTCAGTGGAGGGCAGTCTTATGAAAATCAGCCCAAGTAGAATGAACACTTCTGAGCCTATAGAATGGCTTTTCATTTTCCTATGCATCAACCCCAAATCCCACCATGGCTCTGGAATTTAGGTTTGTGGTCTCAAACTCATTTTCTCATTGTGAGGTTGATATTTTGCTTCTGAACAAACTTCGAGTTTACAGACAATTTTTTTTAATTTATATGTTTTAATGATTGCAAAGTGGTATTAGAAAGGAGTAGACTCTTTCTTTTCAGAAGAAAAAATAATACAGACATTTAACAAGATTTGTCTTTGCATAAAATAATGAAATCTGCTTTTTTGGATTAGGAAATGCAATAACTCAGCTGAGTCCTGGCACAAAAGATGTTCCCCTGTTGAATCCCCTTCTGTTTCAGGCTGAAAAAGTAAAAGAATTGGAAAAGCGTTGACATATTTAATGCATGTAAAACTGTAAAGATAATACATTTTTAATAAGCCTCTGTCTGCCCTGTCACTTTTTACAGTGATAGTGCTATATCGCTTTCATTTCAAAGCAAGAATGAAGTGGAGAGCTGATTGTGCTCAATTTATTATATATTTTTTTTTTTATTTTGCCAAGCATTCTTTTATAGATATTTAATCCAACAAGCATGAAAATGGCTCAGAGAGATAAAAATAGAAGGAAAATATGATTGGGTCATTGAATCAGATTCTAAAATCAAATTCGCCTTCAAAATAGTAGTAACTAAGCAGAACTGACCTTTTAATTCATGAAACTGTCTCTGTCAAAAATCTAGATTCATAAACTCTAAATTACCTTTTGATAGGCAAAGCAAAGTTCCTGTAAAAAGTTCAAATCCTTACAGTATGTTTACTTTGTCATAGCAAATAATCATTAAAATTCTAAATAATTGAACTTCTTACTTGCTTTGAATTTTTCATATTCTTTGTTAGAAGATTTGGATAATCTAACATGAAGCAAAAAATAATAGAAGATTGGGAAATAATGATACAGAGGAATATCAAATCCATTTTGAAATTGGGACTAGAACTCTAACACAATAATATCCAGGCTATAGAGAAATTCACAGTTTTTAAACCAAATCATAAATTTAACTCTGATATTTGGAAGGCCAAAGCAAAAATGGAAGCAGTGAGTTACATGATTCATAATGTCCAAAGGAAAATCATGAAAGCTTTTCAAGGGAACAGTTATTTTCTTGGCATTTAAATATGATGGTTATTTTTTTCTCTTTTTTGGTCTTTCTACAGAAGACACTAAATGAAGCAATGAATAATATTTTTATGACTTCCTGATGAATTGGAATGAAATGTTTTGTGTGAACCCCCTAACATTCAACGTAAGCTAAAAGAAAGTTTTATAGTACAAGTCAAGGAGAACCATTTATCGAGAGACCAAGTGGTCCTTGCAGAGATAATTTGGTTCTCTAAATTGGTTCAATAGCACCCTGACAATGCAAAAAAGCATCAGATGTCTTCCAATTATGCAAGTGAGCCTTACTCTGGGGAGAAAAAATTGCTAAAACTTGATACAAGCCACTGCCATATTCTTACCAAAACCCAGATCTGGTACCAATCTCTAGTCTTATTGTTTTTATAACCTAGAAATAATTTTGGCTTTGACCCAAGCTTGTTACATACAGATCAGAGAACCTAGGGTAAGCCATGATCTTAGAGAGATAATGCATATAACATTAATTTTTAAATGATAGAAAATGCTACAGAAGTAGCATTTATTGGTCCCTCATGTATGGCTAGTAACAGTTCTTGATATGGAAAAGAAATGACTAGAGATAGCAGTTAAATGACTGAGAGGGAGCTATGTTTGTTTGGATATATACTATTTTCAAAAGATATAACCAAGGTTGAAACATATATTTTCACTGGGTGAAATTATCAAAGTTAGTGATATTTATAGCATATTATTGTATCCTTGCTTAAACTATTCTTTTCTCATATTGGTGTTATCTACTTAATAATTGGGTGCACTGTCCTAGGTTTGGACTTTTGTGTGTCTCAAACTTCTTAGCACATATTAAATATTCACTATTATTAAGAAGAGATTCAGCAAGTTAATACCTTGATCTAACTCATGTATTTTCTCAGTTTTTCTTGAAATTTTCCTTGTATTTGGTGATGCACCGCAAGAAATTGCCTTAGTCTTAGTCACATGAGGATTTTTATGTGAAATTTAGCCATATGGAACACTAAAAAGAAAATTACTCTTTCTGCCCTTACAGAATGAGTTCATATTTAGCTTCTGTTCTGTAGACAGAAATTCAGTTTTATGAAGCAGTTAAAGGAGAAAGTGCATGGCGTGCTTTTTGCAGCACTTAGATATTGATATATGGCTTTTTTTTCTTTTCCCAAGGCTAAGCAGAGAAAGCTACAGTAATATGACTTTTTAAATGTGAGTGAAACTCTCATTTGAAACCTTTCCACTACATAACTCCACTCAATTGGTTTGATGGCTCAAATACACACAGGCTGTAGGTTAAAATAGGAAGAGAGGGCTGAAAACTCTTATAATAATGCTAAAGTTGAGGCAGAATAGCACATAAGCAGGTTTGCATTTCAGAGTTCTCCTTACGCAACCTTCACACCAGTTAGTCCCATTACAACTCCATTATGATCAGACCCAAGAGCACTGGGCATCAGAGGTACTAACCTTCTTCCTAGTGCATGCTCCTGGAAAGTTTACATCATTGAGCCAGTCAAGGCTTACCTGGGATGTACACTGGCCAACACCTATAGCCCCTTTAAAGAATAAAAGCTCTTTGTCATATCTTTGGCTCAGTAATTGCAATAAATATACTTGATTCTTCACTACTTAAAATGGAAAAGCTACCTTTTCCAAAAAAGGTCACATAAATACACCAGTCTATGTATATTCTTTCATTTTACTTTCCATGTCAAGCTGAAATAAACTTATGTACCTACTATGTTTTATTCACTGTGTTGTATGTTGAAAAAATTACATAACATTTTACATTTGATCACTTAGTTTCTTTGCATTTTACAAATATAAGTCATTACCTGTCTTTGTTGTTAACATGGGTTGGTTTTCTTCCTTATTGTCACACCAGATGGGACTTCCAGATAATTATTAAGGGATGATAGCTTAGTGTAAAAGTAAACACTTTTATATTCTCCCTCTAATAACTTGTTTTCTCTTTCTCACAGGAAGAGAAGTAGATAATTAATTGATGACAGTCATACATCTCTTTGGACATATATCCACCTGAGATGAGATCACTGCTTAAAAAGGTAATGCATGCCCATTATGTTTAACTTAATTCTTTTTGAAGATGCCGTTTTTTCTTAAAGCAGCCCATAGTAATACTCAAAAGGTAAGTAGAAAGGTGTTAAGAAATGGGTTTTTCTTAAGGTATAGAGCTTACACTATCAATTGTAGTTGTATTTTTTTCTTTATTCTGGTTCCCATATTTGTTCTAAAGTATTTTGTGAAGAAGAGTGGGGAGACAACCAGTTTCCAAACTCTTTTTTTGTATTTATTAGCCAAATGAGCAGTAAAGGATGCTAAGAAAAAAATAAAGAAGTGGCCTCCACAATGGCCACTGTAAATCAAATAGATGCCGTACAATAATACACTGTTAATCCAATTTCTTTTCCAGTTAAAGGTCTCAAATCCTAGATCCTGGTTCATCCACATTCTAAGAGAGATTAGAGGTATGGAAAGGGGAGTCTTGAGATTAACCTAACGGAAGGTTGTGTTGATTTGCAGTCAATGCAATTCTAATAGATAACAACAAACATCGCATAAAGAGTGTTTGGTATGTTGAACCATCATTGCATCCTAGGAATAAAACTCACTTGGTCATGCTGTAAGATTCTTTTAGTGTGCCATTAAATTCCATTAGCTAGTATTCCTTTGAATACTTCTGTATCTATATTCATCAGGGATACTGGCTTGTAGTTTTCTTTTACATTTGTCTGGTTTACATATCAGGGCAATGATAATCTCATAAAGTGAACTTGGAAGCATTCTCTCCTCTTCAGATGTTTGGAAGAGTTTGAGAAAGATTTACATTTCTTTCTTAAATATTTAGGTGAATTCAGCAGTGAAACCATCTGAACTTGGACTTTGTTTTGTTTGGAGGTTTTTGATTCAACTCTTTATTGTTGGTCTATTCAGGTTTTATGTTCCTTCATGACTCAGTCTTCATAGGCTGTATGTTTCTAGGAATTTCTTCATTTCTTCTAGATTATCTAACTTTTTGGCATTTATTTATTCACAATAGTCCCATCTGATACTTTGTATTTCTATGGTTTCAGCTTAATGTCTCCTCTTTCATTTCTATTTTTTTAATTTGAGTCTTCTGTCTTATTTTCTTACTGTAGGTGACAGTTTTCCAATTTTATTGATATCTTCAAAACAAACTTTTAGTTGCATTTTTTAGTGTTCTTTTTATCCTCTATTTTGGTTATTTCTACTATAATTGTACTACTTTTTTCTATCTGTTAACTTTCAGTTTAGTTTGTTCTTATTTTTCTAGTTATTTGAGGCATAAAGTTAGATTTTTATTTGAGATTTTTTCCATTTTAATGTAGGCATTTAGTATTATACATTTCCCTGTTAGTACTGCTTTTGCTGCATCCTGTTAATTTTGGTATGCTGTATTTTAATTTTGCTCTTCTCAGGATATTTTCTAATTTCACTTTTAATTTCTTCTTGACCTATTGTTTGTTCAAGAGCGTGCTGTTTAATTTGTACATATTTGTAGTTTTTGGTTTTTCTTTTACTATTAATTTCTAGCTTTATTCCATTGCAATGAGAAAATACATTTGATATCAAGTCAATTTAATTTGCTAAGACTTGTTTTGTAACTTAACCTGTGATCCATCCTGGAGAATGTTCCATGTGTACTTGAGAAGAATGTGAATTCTGCCAATTATTTTTGGATGGAATGTTCTATACATGTGTGTTAGGTTCATTTGATCTACAGTGTTGTTCAAGTTTTCCATTTTCTTATTAATCGTCTGTCTGGATGCTCTATCCATTATTGAACATGGATTATTGAAATTTCCTACTCTTATTGTGTTGTTGTGTATTCCTCTCTTTAGTTCTGCCGACATTTCCTTCATTTATTTAAATCCATGCAAAAATAAATCACTGTAATACACTGCATTAACATAACAAAGGATAAAACAAATGATCACCTTAATAGATGCAGAAAACACATTTGACTAAATTTAACACAATTTCATGATAAAAACACTCAACAAACTAGCAGTAGAAGAAAATTACCTCAACATGAAAGGACCATATATGAAAAGCCCAGAGTTAACATTTTACTTAGTGGTAAAAAACTGAAAGCCTTTCCTCTTAAATCATGAGCAAAAAAATAAGGCTCATTCTTACCATTTCTATTTAGTATCCTAGCCAGGATGGAAATTAGGCAAGAAAAACAATAAAATGAATTCAACTTTAAAGGCAAAAGTAAAATTATCCCTGTGTGTAGAAGAAATGACTTTATATAGAAGAACTCTTTAAGATTCAAATTTTTAAAAAAACCTTAAAACTAATAAATTCGGTAAAGTGTCAGGATTCAAAATCAACATACAAAAATTTAGTTGTGCATTTGCGTTTATAACCATCAACAAATTGAGATGAAAATTAATAAACCAATTTAATTATACACTAATAACAAAAACTTAAAAAATACTTAAAAATAAACTTAACCAAAGAGGTGAAAAACTAGAACAATGAAAACTACAAAATATTGACAAAAGAATTTAAGAAAAAAAAGACATTGCATATTCATAAACTGGAAGCCTTAAAATTGTTAAAATGTCCATATACCAAGAGTGATCTACAGATTCAGTGCAATCCCTATCAAAATCATAATGGCATATTTTATAGAAATAGAAAAAAGGCAGTTCTAAAATTCATATGGCTACACAAAGGATGCTGACAAGCCAAAAGAGTTTCGTGGAAAAACAAAGCTGGAAGCCTCAAATTTCTTGATTTAAAATATATTACAAAGCTAAAATAATCAAAACAGTGTGGTAGTGTCATAAAAGTGGCCAATGGAACAGAATAAAAAGCCCCAAAATGAACCCACATATATATACTTTTAGCCTTGTTTTTCACAACGGTGCCAAGAATACACAATGGGGATGGGATTATCTCTTCAAATGGTGTTAGAAAAACTGAATATTCACAAATGAAAGAATAAAAATGGACCCAGATCTTAAATGTAACACCTGAAATATGAAATTTCTAGATCAAAACAGGTGAAAAGTTTCATGGCATTAATCTTGGTAATTTTTTTTATATGACAATGAAAATTCAGGCAACAAATACAAGAATACACAAGTGGAGCTGCATCAAACTAAAAAGCTTCTACAGAGCAAAGAAAAAAAATCAACAGATTAAAAATGCAACATACAGAATAGGGAAAATATTTGCAAACCATGTATCTAATAAGGGGTTAGTATTCAATATATATAAAGAACTACAACTCAATAGCCAAAAATAAAAATAAAATAAAACAAAAAACAAATAAAAACCAAGCAAAGAAATATAAGCAAACATAAAACAAATAACCTAATTATTAAAATGGGCAAAGAACATTGCTATAGTTTGAATGTTTGTCTCTGGCCAAACACATGTTGAAATTTAATTGGCACTGCAACAGTACTGAGATATGGAATCTTTAAGATTTAATTAGGCCATGAGGGGTCTGTCCTTATGAATAGATTAATGCTGTTATTGCAGCAGTGTGTTTGTTATCATGAGAGTGGGTTCCTCATAAAAGGATGAGTTCACCTTCCTTTGGTCTGTCTCTCTCATGCTCTCTTTGCCCTTCCACCATGAGATGATGGGCAAGAAATCTCTTGCCAGATACCAGCCCCTCAATATTAGACTTCCCAGCTTCCAGAACTGTGAGCCAATAAATTTCTGTTCATTATAATTTACCCAGTCTCAGATATCCATTATCGCAGCACAAAATCAACTAGGAGGGATGTGTATGGACATTTATTTAACAGAGACATATAAATGACCAATAGGTATATGAAAAGATGATTAGCATCATTAATTGTTAGGGAAATGCAAATTAAACCCACAATGAGATATTACTTCACACATATATAATGGCTTTTGCAAAAATAAAATAAATAAATAGGCAATACGTTAGCAAGGATATTTAGAAAACGAAACCCTAGTAAATTAGTATAGTCATTATGGAAAACAATAGGGAGGCTTCTCAAAAAATTAAAAATAGAATTATCATATGATCCAGCAATTTTAGTACTGGATATTTGTCCAAAAGAATTGAAATCAAGATATCTAAGAGGTATTTATTTACACAGCTGTGTTCATTATAACATTATTTACAAAAGCCAAGATGTAGAAGAAACCTAAATGCCCACTGGCAGATGAATGCATAGAGAAAATGTATATATGATATGTATATGATATAAATGATATGTATATGATATATATGATACATATATTATATACATGCATCATATATGATATAATACAATATATGATATATATCTCATAGACATCTATATCTATATATATAATTAAGCCTTTAAAACATGGATCCCTAAACTGTGGCCTCAGATTGGTATCAGTGTGTGGCCCATTAAGAACCACAACAGGAGGTGAGTGTCTGGTGAGGCAGCAGTACCACCTGAGCTCTGCTTCCTGTCAGTTCAGGTACAGCATTATATTATAATAGGAATGTGAACCCTATTGTGAAGTGCACATGTGAGGGATCTAGGTTGCAAGGGTTTTTGGTTGCAGGCTCCTTATGAGAATCTGATGCCTGATGACCTGAGGTGAAACAGCTTCATCCTGAAACCACCCCACACCCACCTCATCCATGAAAAAACTGTCTTCCAGGAAATTGGTCCCTCATGCCAAAAAGGTTGGGGACCCCTGCTTTAAAAGAAGGAAATCTTATCATATGCCATAAGATGGATGAGCTTTGAGAGCATTATGCTAAGTAAAAAAAAAAAAAAAAATCTCAGTCACACAGCAGGATAAATACTGCACTTATATGAAGTATATAAAATAGTCAAATACATAGAAGTAGAAATTATAATGATGGGTGGTTGCCAGGGGTAGGGGAAGAGGGAAAATGAGTTATTGTTTAATGAGTGTAAAGTATTAGTTATAAAAGATAAAATAATTCTAGAGATCTACTGTATAACATCATGATCATAGTTACCCATAATGGACTGCATATTTAAATATGTGTTAAAAGGGTAGATCTAAAGGTAGATCTAATGTTACATGTATGTGTGTGTATGTTTTACCAAAAAATACATTTCCAATTATTAGGAAAATGCAAATCAAAATCAAAATGACATGCCATTTACATGAATTAGAATATCTACTATGAAAATAGAAAATAATAAGTTTTGATAATGATGTAGAACTATTGAAACCCTCATGCATTGCTGATGGGAGTGTAAAACACTGCAAATAGCATGAAGAATAGTATCAATATGCTATTAAAAAAATAAATATAAAATAGAATTACCATATAATCCAGAAATTCCACTTGCAGATATAGGTATAAAAGACAACTGGGACTCAAAGAAATATTTGTACACTCATGTTCATGGCAACATTATGGATGTAGACAAACGAAACACTAGTATATATTTTAAATATCAATATGCCTATATTTAATGAAGAAGAAATGTTTAAAGTCAATGACATATGCTACCATATTAAAAAAATTAAAAATGTGGAGAAACAGAGAAAAACTAAAATTCACACATCTCCAGTTTGTGAAAAAGAAGACTTTTTACTAATTTTACTGACATTAAAAAAAAATTAGGAATGCCTAGAAAAGTACTACTTAAAATTGACGCACCATGAATAATAAAATGCATAACTTTACACTCCTTAAAGAAATAAATATTGGATTATTAAAAGCATGCGCACATACAAACATCTAATTTACCCACATAAATGAAATGTGTTTACTTCTAAGTTTTATCAAATATTTAACAATAAAACAAAAGTATCTTACACCAACTCTTTCAGAAAAATAGAGAAAAAGCAACTTTTCAAAACTCACTTTATAAGATTAACACAATCTTTATTTAGAAAACAGAAAATTAGAATGACATAACAGATGATAGCAAAGTGAGAAGCTCCAGAACTTAGTACCTTTACCAAAACAGTTATTGAACTGACAAGAAGTATCTAGAGAAACTACTTTGGAATTCTCGAGTCTATTTGGACACTTGTAGTCTCCAGATGATAGCTTTATGAAGAAAGAGTCAGGGTTCATTACAGTGAAATTCACTGTTTTCTATAATGGCCCCCATTCTCTACCCTTCAGTCCCATAGTGAACAACCACGTGGATGGGGGCCAACAATTCCAGTGTGGCTTGCTGGTGCTAGGGTGGATGATAGGTATATTGTACTTCAAAAATTACGGTGTATGTTTTGACAATTGCTTGTGATTGCTAAGTGTCTGGCACAGAGACTGGCCACTGTTTCAAGACTTCAGGCTGAAGCAGCTTTACCAGTAATATCAGTCTAAGAAGGTATGAAAAGATAAACACATTTTAAAAAAATTTTACATTGGATCCAAATAATATAGGAAATCTCTGTTAAAGCACTGCTCGCCGTGAAGTAATGGAAGAGAGTCATCATTGACTACATATAATAAGAAAAATAGTTTTTGTGAAAATAATTTGGAAAAGCCACCAATAAAAAGATGATTGCAGGGGCATCAAGTAACATCGCCAATCCATGGGAAGGAAAAGAATCTGAATTTTGAGAGTTATATCATTACAGTCAAAAGATCCAGTTCTCAATGAAAAATACAAAGCATACACAGAAACAATAAATTATGGCCCAGTAGAAGAATAAATTGACAGGAAACCATTCTAAGAAACCCAGACATTGATTTAATAGATACAAATGTTTAAATTACCTATTTAAATATGCTCAAAAGCTGAACGAAACCTGGACAAAGTACTAAAGGGAAACGGGAGAACTGTGTGTGAATAAATAGATAATATCAATACGTAAAGAGGTGGACATTATAAAAAGTATTCAGGAGCAGAAAATACAATAAATACAAAATTTACTAAAGGATGCCCAAAGCATAGTTGAGCAGTCAGAAGAATGAATATAACTAAAGAAAGAGCAATTCAAATCACTCATTCTGAGGAGCAAAAGAAAAAAAAATAAAGAAAAATGAACTCCAAGGGAGCTAGGAGACACCATCACACATACCAATATATTCATAATTGTAATCCCAGGAGAACAGAAAAGTGGAAAAACAGATATATGAAAAAATAGTAGCTTAAAACTTTATAAATACAAAAGACGTTTATGCCCAAATTCAAGTTTCTCAATGACCTCCAAACAGAATAAACAAAAAGAAAGCAACATTGAGACTTTTTATAATCAAATTGTCAAAAGACAAGAACAAGGATAACTTGTAAGCAGCAAGACAAAAGAGTCTTAGCATATATGAGGGATTCTTAACAAGATTTCTCATCAGTAACCATGAATTCCAGAAGGCAGTAAGAGGATATATTTAGAGTGCTGAAAGAAGGGAAAAACAAAGGAACTGTCAACCAAAACTTTGTATCAAGCAAAACTATTTTTCAAAAATGAAAGGGAAATTAAGATATTACCTGCTAAACAAAAGCTGAAGGTGTTTATTGCTGGCAGACCTTTTCTACAAGACACACTAAAGAAATTTCATTAAGCAGAAACAAAGAGATACTAGATGGTACCTCAAAGTCATATGAAGAATGAAGATCTCTTTAAATATATAGATTAATATAAAACCTAGTATTGTATTTTTGCTACATAACACTATTGCTTTCATACATAAATTAAAAGACAAAGCTTAAAACAGTAGTTTTAAGTCTACATTATCAGGAGCTTAATGTATATGCTTGTAATTTGTGATAATAACTTAAAAAGAAGAGCTGTATTTAGAAAAAAGCGTAGTTAATACATGCTATTGAAGTGAACTCGATGTCGACTTAAACTAGATGTTGTAAATTTAGAATGTTAATTATGAATACTCTGAAAATAACTGAAAACAGACATAAAAAGTAGTTTTGAAGTCATCACTCCACCCTAACAACAAGTAAAAAGCTGAACAAACTGAAAAATTAATAACAGATGTGTTCTCTTAGACACATCAGAGATGTGAGTTTACAGATTAAGCCACTGCCTCCAAACATTGATGAAACAAAGAGCCAAGTACAAAGATTCACAATTGACTGATGGATAACTCATCTGAAAACTCTGTGGGAACAAACAACCAGTATAGGAAAACCTAAACTGTAACTGAAAAATGACTGTAGGCTTAGGATAGACAAGTCTGAGTGTTACAAACTCCAGTGGAGGCCAGGCAAGTTGGGGCACTCACACTTCTTTGACTTTTCCCTTTAGGAGCTGTATCTGGTTCCCATTGTGAAGATTAGAACAAAATATCCTCCTGATTCTAGCAAGAAGAGGGGAGAAGCAACCAGTTTGAAATACATCAGATAATTCTATTCTTAAAAATGCTTCCTTCCAGCAAGAGAAAGTTTTACTGGTGTGGCCAAGATGGCCAACTAGGAGCAGCAGCCAGTGTGTGTGGTTCTCCAGACAGGAACAGAAGGGGCGAATAAATACAGCACCTTCAACTGAAACATGCAGGTACTGGCATTGTGTCTCATCAAGGAAACAACTCTACCCCTGGAGAATGGAGAAAAGCAAGGCAGGACAATGGCCCACCCAGGAGTGACATGGAGCCAAGGAAACCTCCCCGACCCAGGGAAGTGATGAGTGAATGTACAACTCTAGGAACTCATGCTTCTCCCACAGATCTTGCACCCCTTGGGTCATGAACCCACTCTACCAGAGCCTTCGGTCTGACACACAGAGCTACATGGAGTCTTGGCAGAGCAGCCACTCAGGTACATGCAAAGACCCAGGAGCCTTAGATACTGGGATTTTGTGGGCTTCCCAGAAAAAGTAGTTGCAACTGCAAAGTAGAAGGTTAGACCCCTGTACATACCCCCTAGGAAAGAGGCTGAAGCCAACGGGGTGAGCAGCAACAGTGTGCAGGCTCCAATTCCACAGCACCTGACAGCATAAGACCCACTGGCTTGGAATTTCAACCAGCCACTGGTAGCAACATTAATCTCCCTGAGAGGAAGCTTCCAGGACAAGGGCCAGGCCGCCATCATTGCTGTTTGGAGAACTTAGCTGTTTCAAACTTGAGGCTTTGGAGAGTCCAAGCCAACCAGGAGTGGAAGGAATGTCCCAGCATAGCAAAGCTGCTCTGCAAAAAATGTGCCCAGATTGCTTTTTAAAGCAGGTTCTCAATCCCTTTCTTCTTCATTGGGCGGGACCTCCCAAATGGGGCCTTCGGTCACCCCTGACAGTGTTCTCCAACAAACAGTCTTGAAACCTCCCTGGGACAGAGCTCCCAAAGGGAGGAGTGGCCTGTCATTTTTGCTGTTTGTGTGACTTAGCCATTCCAACCTTCAGGCCTTGGAGGATCCAAGCCAACCAGGGGAAGAGGAAGTCCTCTTGCACAGCACAGATGCCCTACAAAAACGTTGCCAGACTACTTTTTCAAGAGAGACCCCCATGCTGTTCCTGTTCAGTGGATGAGACCTCACAACCGGTGTCTCCAGCCCCCTCTTATAGGTGCATTTGGGCCAGCAACAGGTTTGTACCTCGCTGGGACAGAGCACCCAGAGAGAGGGGAAGGCTGCCACCTCTGGTGTTTCACAGCCTTCGCTGGTGATACCTCCGAGGCTACTAGGGACTGGGGCAGACCCCCAGCATACTGCAGCAGCCCTACGGAAAGGTGGCTAGACTGTTAAATGGATGCCCATTCCCGTATCTTCTAACTGGGCAGGACCTCCAGGCCTGGGTCTCTAACCACCCCCTGCCAGAGCTATTGAACCAATAGCAACTCAGTAACTCCCTGTGCAGAGCCTCCATGGACAACTGAAAGCCTCTCCACCACTGCCACTGTAGTGGAACTTTCCTCACTAGCTTAAGACTAATGCCAGAACAAAGACCTGAAGCGCCTTATCCACACCTCCAACAAGCTGCAGTTGACCCAAGGAGAGGAGGCCAGTGTGCCTCCCATGGGTCCCACATATCCCGCACTGCTCATCACTAGACTGGGAACCCCTGGCTTGGGTCCAGAGCACAGACCCTTCATCCTGGGCTGATTGCTTTGAGCAATTGCTGACTCACATCTTTCTGGGGTGGGGCCCCCAGGAAATAGACAAAGTGGTGGGGGCAGTAAGCTAGTTGATGTGGAGCCCAGAGGGATTGGTGCGGAAACATGTATAGTGGAACACAGCCATGGATGGCCATCTCTCTGGGGTTGACTTAGTCCCAAAAGAGTCTTTAGCCTTAGGGGAACTGTCAGACTTAATCTCTGCACGGTGGTCTTGCACATCAGATGGGGCTGGTCTGATCTGAGCACTCCTTGGTCTACTGGCTCTCCCAGGGCCCCAGTCTGGCCTAGCCTGCTTGCAGAACAGACTTAGGTGCCCTAGGGACCCACCTCATAGCTTCTGTACTGGTGGACCATGCATGAGTGGTGGAGAGCTCCAACACGGGATCCCATAAAGCTGTGCATCAGCCCACATGTTCCCTCCCCACACTGCAGCTTCCCCAGAGTCCACGGCAACTCCCCACATCACTTTGCTGGCATGTGTCTGTCCAATCAGGTTTTGCTTTAGTTGTAGCACCAGTATGCAGGAGTGCAGTAAGCCCCCACCATCCCTACTGAACACCCTAAAGATGGATCCTTGGCAGGAAGAGCCTAAAAACCCCTCCTTTGCCAGCACGCTGCCCTTGCACTAACTCTAGGAAGAGAACAGGAGATTCTCTCACAACCTGAGCAATCACTCCTGCTTGTGGGGCACAGATCAGCCACCCAGACCTGTGCTGGCCAGAACCCCACCCCGATCCAATACCATCTCCAGTGCAACAGCACACACAGTCTCCAGCAGGGGCCCTCCACCTCCCTTCAAGCTTTATTGCTTCCATCATTGTGATGAACACCTGCAGAGAAGCAGGTACCCCTGTATCTGCTAGCACTCTTGCTGCGGCTACCACATTTCTGTCCCCCACCTCCAGCACAATGAACTCCAAACCTGGAGGAGCCAGAGGACAAAGTCAGGGCCACTCAGCTGAAGCCACCTTATACCACAATCAAACCCTCAATGTCATCAAATAGGATAAAAGAAAAGAAAAACCATGCAAAGTTCAGCAACCTCAAAGATTGAAGGTAGATAACTCCACAAAGATAAGAAAGAATCAGTGCAAGAACCCTGAAAACTCAAAATGTTAGAGTGCCCTCTTTCCTCCAAATGACCGCATCACCTCTCCAGTAAGGATCTGGAATTTGACTGAGGCTAAGATGGCTGAAATGATAGAAATGCAATTCCCACTAGGGATAGAAATTAAACCCATTGAGCTACAGCAGTATGTTATAACAGAATACAAGGAAGCTAAAAATCATGATAAAACAATGCAGAAGCTGGCAGACAAAATAGCCAGTGTAGAAAAGAATGTAACCAAACTGATAGAGCTGAAAAACACTCTTCAAAAATGTCATAATGCAAACACAAGTATTAATAGCAAAAGAGACCAAGAAGAGAAAAGAATATTAGAGCTTAAAGACTGTCTTTCTGAAATAAGACAAACAGAGAAGAATAGAGGACAAAGAATAAAAAGGAATGAACCAAACTTCCAAGAAATATGGAATTATGTAAAGAAACCAAATCTATAACTCACTGGTGTAACTGAAAGAGATGGGGAGAATGAAACCAAGTTGGAAAACATATTTCAGTATCTCTTGCATGAGAACTTCCCCAACCTAGCTAGAGAGGCCAACATTCAAATTCAAGAAATGCAGACAACCCCAGTATGAAACTTCTTCAGAATATCATTCACAAGACAAGCAGTCATCAAATTCCCCAACATCTTAATTAAAAAAAAGACACATTAAAGGGAGATAGAAAGGTCAGGTCACCTACAAAGGGAAGCCTATCAGACTAACAGCATATGACTCACCTGAAACCCTAAAAGCCAGGAGAGAATGGGGGACAATATTCAACATTCTTAAAGAAAAGCAATTCCAACTCAGAATTTCATATCCTGCCAAAATAAGCTTCATAAGTGAAAGAGAAATAAGATTTTTTTTCAGACAAAAATCTGAAATTTTTTTGAGGGAATTTTTTACCACTAGACTTGTCTTACAAGAGCTCCCAAAGGAAGCATTAAATGTGAAAAGGAAAGACCATCACCACCCACTGCAAGAACACTCTAAGGTACACAAACCTGTAACACTATAAAGCAACACATAAACAGGTCTGCATAATAATCAGCTAACATCATGATGACAAAATCAAATCCACACATATTGATACTAACCCTAAATGTAAATAAGCTAAATGCCCCAGTTAAAAGACATAGAGTGGCAAGCTGCATAAAGAAACAAGACCAACTGGCATGCTGTCTTCAAGAGACATATCTTACATGTAATGACACACATAGGCTTAAAATAAAGGGATGAAGAAAAATCTACCAAGCAAATAGAAAACAGAACAAAGCAGAGATTGCAATTCTAGTTTCTGATAAAACAGACTTTAAACCAACAAAGATCAAAAAAGGCAAAGAAGTGCATTACATAACGGTAAAATATTCCATTCAACAAGAAGATCAAACTATTCTAAATACGTATGCAGCCAACAAAGTAGTGCCCAGATTAATAAAGCAAGTTCTTAAAGGCCTTCAGAGATACTTAGACTCCCACACAGTAATAGTGCGAGACCTTAACACCCCATTGGCAATATTAAATGGATCACGGAGGCAGAAAATTAACAAAGATATTCAGGATCTGAACTCAGCACTGTTCAAATGGACCTGATAGATATCTACAGAACTCTGTGTCTAAAAACAACAGAATATACATTCTTCTCATTCCCACATGGCACATATGCTAAAATTGATCGCATAATCAGAAGCAAAACACTTTTCAGCAAATGCAAAAGCACTGAAATTATAACAAATAATCTCTCAGACCACACAGCACAATCAAATTAGAAATTTAGACTAATAAAGTCACTCAAAACCATAAAATTACATGGAAATTGAATAACCTGCTCCTGAATGACTTTTGGGTAAATAATGAAATTCAGGCAGAAATCAATATTTTCTTTAAAACTAATGAGAACACAGATACAACACACCAGAATCCCCAGCACACAGCTAAGGAGCTCTTAAAAGGGAAATTTATAGCATTAAATGCCCACATAAAAAATTAGAAAGATATCAGGTTAAGAACCTAACATCACAACTAGAAGAACAAGAGAATCAAAAGCAAACAAATTCCAAAGTTAGCAGAAGAGAAATAACCAAAATTAGAGCTGAACTGAAGGATAGAGACATGAAAAATCATTCAAAAATTCAATATATCCAGAGAATCAAAAGCAAACAAATCCCAAAGTTAGCAGAAGAGAAATAACCAAAATTAGAGCTGAACTGAAGGATAGAGATATGAAAAATCATTCAAAAATTCAATATATCCAGAAGCTGGTTTATTGAAAAAAATTAATGAAATAGACTGTTAGCTAGACTAATAAAGAATAAAAGAGAGGAGTTTCAAATAAACACAATCAAAAAAGACAAGCAGGATATTACCACCAAACCTACAGAAATACAAGAAACCATCAGAGGATATTATGAGCAGATCCATGCATGTAAACTAGAAAATCTAGAAGAAATATACAATTCCTGGACACATTCATCCTCCCAAGACTGAACCAGAAATATATTAAATACCTGAACAGATCAATAATGAGCTCTGAAACTGAGGGACTCATAAATAGCCTACCAGCCAAAAAATGCCCCAGATCAGATGGATTCACAGCTGAATTCTACCATATGTACAAAGAAGAGCTGGAACCATTCCTATTGAAACTATTACAAAAAAATTAGGAGCAGTGGCTCCTCCCCAACCCATTCTATAAGGCTAGCATCTTCTTTTTACCAAAACCTGGCAGCATGGCACTGGTCCAAAAACAGACACCTAGACCAATGGAACAGAACAGAAAACCCAGAAATAAGACTACACACCTATAACTATCTGATCTTCAGCACACCTGGCAAAAATGAGCAATGGGGAAATGATTTCCTATTCAATATAGGGTGCTTGGATAACTGGCTAACCATAAGCAAAAGATTGAAGCTGGACTCTTTTCTTATGCCATATACAAAAATTAACTTAAGATGTAAAGCCCAAAACTATAAAACCCCTGGAAAAAAACCTAGGCAATACCATTTAGACTTAGGCACTGGCAAAGATTTTATGACAAAGACACCAAAAGCAATTGCAACAAAAGCAAAAATAGACAAGTTGGATCTAATTAAACTAAAGAGCTTCTGCACAGCAATAGAAACTGTCAACAGAATAAACAGACAACCTACAGAATGGGAGAAAAATTTTGCAAACTATGCATTCAACAAAGGTCTAATATCTAGCATCTATGAGGAACTTAAACAAATTTACAAGAAAAAAATAAACAGCCCCATAACAAAGTGGGCAAAGGACATGAACAGACACTTTTCTAAAGAAGCCAACAGTCATGAAAGAAAGCTCAATATCATTGATCATTAGAACAATGAAAATCAAAACCACAATGAGATACCACCTCATACCAGTCAGAACCGCTATGACTTAAAAGTCAAAAAATAACAAATGCTGGCAAGGTTGTGGAGAAAAGAATGCTTATACACTGCTGGTGGGAGAGTAAATTAGTTCAACTATTGTGGAAGAAAGTGTGAAGATTCCTCAAAGACATAAAGATAGAAACACTGCTTGACCCAGCAATCCCATTACTGGGTATATAACAAAAGGAATATAAATTGTAGGGTTTTTTGGAATATATGGTTGGGTTGATTCTAAAGTTGTTATGGATATCCAAATGACAGAATAACCAGCTATCCTGAAAAAGATGGGGAAGGTTGGGATATTTACTCTGTTTGACTTTTAAGGTATAAAATAAACTACAGTAATCAACACAGTATAATATAGGTGATAGGATAAACAAGTAAATCAACAGAATAGAGTAGAGCAGAAGTAAATCTACACATAAATTTTGGTATACAAGGACAGCACCAATATAAATTAAGGCAGGAGTTGTGGGGAGGAAAACGTTTCAACAAATGGTGCTGCAACTACTGAGTATCTATTTTGAAGGGAAAATAACAACAAGCAAACCTTGACCTTTACCTCGCATGATATATATGTATAATGCAAGAGAGAACAAAGAACTAAACTTTAGACCCTAAACTATTATGTTCCTAGATGTAAAGCATAGGATATATTTGTGTCAGTCTTGGTAGGCAAATATTTATTAAATAACACATTGAAAGCATTACTTATTAAAATGGATAAATTGACTGCATCCTCATTTAAACATTTTTGTTCATCAAAATATATAGTTAAGAAAAATATACAGGTGAGCCACAGACTAGGAGAAAATATTCACAATACAATATAATACATGTATTTAATAAAGAATTTGTATCAAAAATGTATAAAGCACTATTACCATTCAATAATAGAAAAACAAAAATTGGTAAAATACTTGAATAGAAACATCTTGAAAAAAAGATATATGTATGGCCAATGAGTTACAGGCATTATTCATCAAGAAAATACCAACTAAAACCATGATGGGATACTGCAACACACCTACTAGAATAACTGAAATTTAAAGTCTGACAGCTGAAATTATTAGTGAGGGTAAAGAACAGCTAAAACTCTCATACATTGCTTGTAGAAGTGTAAAACGGAACCATCAATTCAGAAAATAAGTTGTTACCTTAAAAAAATTCAAACAAATACCTATTTGGCATATGACCCAACAATACCCCTCAGGATTTTGATTATGAGAAATAACATGCATATGTCTGTCTGCAAAACTTCCTGTACGTGAATGTTTACAGCAATTTTATGCAAAAAAGCCAAAATTATCAGTCAATAGGTAAAATGATAAATGTTCTGTGGCAGGTTCAAACATTGGAATTCTATTAAATATAAAAGAGAGAAAATAACTTAACATGGAAGAATCTGAAAACATTATATTTAGTGAAAGAAGCCAGACCCAAAAAAGTACATACTGTTTAATTGCATGAATTTCTAGAACAGACAAAGTCATCCATGGTGATTTTAATCAGAATAGTAGTTGTTTCGGGAGTGGCTGATTGCCTGTAGAGGGGAAAAAGGGAATGTTCTGTGGTTATGAAAATGTTCCATACAATTAACCCTTAAATAACATGGGTTTGAACTGCAAGAGTCCACTTAAAGTTTTCTTCTGTCTCCGCCACCCTTGAGATAGTCAGACCAACCCCTCTTCTTCCCCCTCCTCCTCAGCCTACATTATGTGAAGACGGTGAGGTTGAAGATCTTTATGATGAGCCATTTCTACTTAATCAATAGTAAATACATTTTCTCTTTCTTATGATTTTCTTAATCACATTTTCTTTCCTCTAGCTTATTATAGGAATCCAGTGTATAATTCATATAACATAAAAAACATTTGTTAATCAATTGTTTACATTATCAGTAATGCTTCTGGTCAACAGTAGGCTATTTGTATTTAAGGTTTTGGGGAGTTAACAGTTATATCAAGAATTTTCTACTGCATGGGGGTGGGTCAACTGTATTTTGAAAAAGGTGTGGGTAAACTCATTTACACACATGTCAAATGATCAAGTTCTAGCTTGGCATGGTGGCTCACTTCTGTAGTCCCAGTGACTCAGGAGACTGAGACGGGAGGGTCTGTTGAGTCTAGGAGTTTGAGAATGTAATGAGCTATGATCGCACCACCTCCCTCCAGCATGGGTGAAAGAGAGAGAGGGAGAGAGAAAGAAAGAGAGAGAGAGAGAAGAGAGAGAAAGAAAGAGAGAGAGAGAGAAGAGAGAGAAGAGAAAGAGAAAAGGAAGGAAGGGAGGGAGGGAGGGAAGAAGGAAGGAGGGAAGGAATGAAGGAAGGAAGGAAGGAAAGAAAAGATGATCAAATTATAGGCATACCTGTTAATTTTGCTTTATTTAAAGCATACTGTAAAAAAACTGTATTTCCCTTTGTTAATTTCATTTACTCCTAAAAACCCCTCCAATTGCTACTATAATGCTTTCTCTTGGTACCTATCAAAACTTCCCTTTGGGGATAGAATTGGGAGAAGAAAGAAACAAAGCTTAAGCTTCTTCTAAAGATAAAGATGTTTGAGTAAAACATGAAACAAGATAAAATTATGAATGATGGGATTCAGATTAAAATAATATAAAATGCATAAAAGAACATAAGGCTAGATGTTAAATTACTGACAACCTACTACAAGTCATAAGCAATTGCTAGAGATGGGCTGTGAATTTGAAATTAGATGTATTTTTCTTGTTTTTCTTCATAATGTGGACATTGATGGAATGCTAATAAACATTTTTGGTGATTCAGAGCCAAAGGACATTTAATATGTCAGCCTTTTATATTCTTTACCTTACTTGGGTGACATCAATTCACTTGTTTAAACTAAAAAACCTACGATTCCTTCTTAATTCCTCTCTTCCTCACTTCTCATATCCAATCCATAGCCAGTTTTCCTTTTGCTACCTCTAAAGTATGTCCTCTTCTTTCCCATGACTATGCCTCCTCTTCAACCTCTCATCCTTCTTGCCTTGGCTGAGGCCATAATTCTGGCTTGCACTTACGAATTTAAGACTCAATTCTGAGAAAATATATTTTCTATCCCCAGAGTAATTGATAAAATTAATAATAACCTGATCATGTTAAGCAATATCACATAAGGTTAAGAGTGGGGGCTTTGGAGGCTGACTTTCTGAATCTTAACTCCTCCATTTACTAACCTTGTGAACTACAGTAAATTAAATAAACTCACTGTTGTTGCATTTTTCTCATCTCAAAATGAGTTAATATTCACTGCTAACTCATAGAGTTGGTATGAATATTTAATAAGTAAGTTCAATTAAAGTGCTTAGAAGACTATCTGGCACAAAGTAAGAAGACCATAAGCATTAGCTCTCATTATTATCTATTGTCAGACATAACAAACTGAAATCCTATAATAACTACTTAACATATTTTACAAGATCTTCCATAATCTAGAGCCTCTCTTTTCTCTTTAGTTTTAGCTCTGCCACCCTCTACCTATTACAATTTACTCCAGCAAATAAATACATTACAGCTTTCTGTGTATGGCAAGTTGTTTTAAGATATCCCTTTGCTTATATTCTATCTCTTCCACTACAATCTCTTATATGCATGTTTTCATATGTCTGTGTTTTTGGTAGATAAACTTGAGGGTAGGTACATGTGTGACTCTTCCTATGTATTATAATTATTTACATATATTACACACTTATTAATGGCTTAATTGAATAAATGATTTTTAAAATTCTAGATTACAAAAAAAGGCAAATCAAGCAAACAAAACAACTACTTAGTAGCTAAATACAGGGTATAAAAGGATTTCTAAAATTACATCCAGAAGATAAATCATAAACCCATTACTAAAAAAAATTAATCTATGAAACATTTGAATTTTGCAAAAATTGAGTTTGTAAACAAGATAAAGAGCAAATGCGTCATTTGGATTATCAGGAAAATGAGAATAATTTTCCAAATGTATGCTAAAAGTAGCTTTCTAAAATGAAGGATCTGTTTGTTCTCTGATCTCATAATCAGGTAACCAAGGAGTTCTAGCTACATAGCACAGTGATGAAGAGTATAGGTTGTAGAGCCACATAGCAGGGGTTTGAATCCTGGATATAGTGTTCCTTAGATGTATGACCTTAGACAAATTACCTAAAGACTCTGTACTACAATTTCTTCACCTGGAAAACTGGGATAATAATAATAGCTACTTCTTATAGAAGTTATAATGATTTAATGAATTAAAATTCCTAAAGCACTTAGAAGATTATTTGACATGCATGAAGCATGTATATAAATGTTTAGTAAAATAGAATATTTTGGGATCTCAATCATTGGGATCTTATATTAATATAAATGTTTACTTACAAATTAATACATTGGCTCTTTTGCATTTTTATTGCAGTAAATTATACGTAACATAAAATTACCATTTTAGCCATTTTAAGTGTCCAATTCAGTGCCATTAAGTACCTTCACAATATTCTGCAAATATTACCATTATGTATTTCTGGAATTTTTTCTCTCTTTTTTTTTTTGGAAATGGAGTTTTGCTCTTGTCACCCAGGCTGGAGTGCAATGGCGTAATCCCAGCTCACTGCAACCTCCACCTCCCATGTTCAAGTGATTCTACTGCCTCAGCCTCCAGAGTAACTGGGATTACAGGTGCCCACCACCACGCTCGGCTAATTTTTGTATTTTTAGTAGAGACAGGGTTTCACCATGTTGTTCAGGCTGGTCTTGAACTCCCGACCTCAGGTGATCCGCCTTCCTTGGCCTCCCAATGTGCTGGGATTACAGGCATGAGCCACCATGCCCGGCCAATTTCCGGAATTTTTTATCATCCCAAATAGAAACTCTATCTATTAAACAATAACTTCCCATTTTTCATTCCCATGTCCCGTGTAAATTGTTATAATTTCATCTCTACATGGTTGCCTATTCTAGGTACCTCATATAAATGGATTCATACAATATTCTCTCTTTTGTGTTTGGCTTGTTTCACTTAGCATAGTGTTTTCAAGTTTCATTCATGCTGTAGAATTTATCAGAATTTTGTTTTGGGGCTAAGTAATATTTTGTTATAAATATATATCACGTTTTGTTTATCCAATCATCTCTTGATGAACATTTGGCAATCTTTGGCTATTGTGAATAATGCTGATATGAATATGGGTATACAAATATCTGTTTGAGCCTGGATTTCAGTTCTTTTGAACACAGAATACAATAAAGCTCTTCTATTTTAACCTTCTAATTTTGTAATATTCAGTCCATCAGGACTGAGTCTAATTCAGACAGGTTAGAGCAGGCATAGACAATATTTTGCAAGTAAGATCTGTTCTTTTCCTATTTGTGTGAGGAAACTAGGGACCAAACTGCTGTTGCTCAAAACCATGACTACTGCCCTACCGGTGACATGATGGCCACAAAGGTGAGTAAAAAAGTAAAATTTCCTACCGGGGGAAAACATAGCTCTTTTTTTTCTATGATGTTATTCAAATTGGCGAATCTCAAATTTCTTGGAGCATGATATTGAGCTTAATTATTAACAAAGTAAGTATGATTTAACCATTTCTAATGCCTCAGACTTTACCTCTTTTTACGTGAAAATATTTGGGATCCTTTTGCCACTTTTATTGAAATTATGTGAGAAAGAGTAGAGTGAGCAGCTTTGATTTCTCTCCAAATTTTATTGCTTGCCTAATGGGGCCCATTTAGGAAACATTAATATGAAGTTACAAGCTAACTCAACTTGTCCCATTAACAAATTAATCAAGTACTAAAAAAGGCTTATAAAATAATTCTGTAATAATAAATAATGTGGTGAAACAATTTTTCCTAAAAAGCTGCCAGTCCTTTCACATTCAAGTCACTAAGAATTTAGGGGCAAAAACTGATAATAAAAATTAACATTTCTGCTCCATATGCACAAATCAGAACCTGCCAGATGTGAAATCTTATGACTTGATGAAATTGAGCCGCTTCTCTCCCTTAAAATCAATCCAGATTCTGACCTGTATGTTCTTTTCTGCTGTTTTAAACATTTTTGGGTGAAGAATTTCATAGCCCATTCCCAGGTGTCTTCTACTTCCTGCACTGCATTTGAGTTCTGAATTAGATATCGTATTTATGAAAGACATTGAGTTGAAAGGGGTCAATCAGAATTCCTTATTGTGGAAGAATTATGAGCTAGAGTCAATGCTAAGTTATCCACCTCTGACATTTTGGGAGATTGCTCTTATATCACACCTGAGAAAAGGGGCTGTAAACTGCATTTTACCAAGCTCCTTGCATTACCTCATAAGAACCATCAGATTAAGATTCAATAAAGAAGGCTTCTAAAAGACGACATAAAGTTTGTGATAAATGTGTTCATGTGTAGCTTTAGCTATTTCCTATTGGAAAAGTCAATGAAATTTCAGTTTTTATCTAACTGTTGGATTTTATCTATCTCTAGGGAGATAGATAAAAATGCATGTAATGCATTTTGATCAAATGAATTCACCATTAAGTAGACCAAGTCTTGCTTAGGATCCTAGAAATTCTCAGCCAAGTATGCGTAGAAGTGTCATAATCAGTTGACAAGCCTGGATAGGACCTCTTCCTCATCATCTTTCCCTGGTAACAAGACCTCTACATGGACCCTTCTGCTCTGTGAAAAGGGAACCTTTACAAATGGCATTTAGCAAATATCAAGTATTATTTTATTATCCATTTTGAATAGGAAATTCTATAAGTATATATGTGTGTGTGTGTGTGTGTGTATATACACATACATATATATATACACACACATATATATACTTACAGAATTTATAATATATATCTGCTATATATATACAAATATATATATACTATATATAGTATATATAATACTTTTTTATACAAAAATGTGTGTATATATATACATACATATGTATATATATGTGTATATATATGTGTATTGTATATACACACACACACAGACACACATTTTTGGTGTTTTTAACAGATTCAGCATTGAAGTAACATTCATGAAATGTTGTTTCTTTAATAATATTTTAACCCAAATGTGAAAAAGGTATAACAGTTGCATTACAGAATGAATGAAGAAATACAGTATTTCATGAATGTTATAGGAGTGAATGAATGGGTATTCAAAAATGAGAATACTTGATGCCTGTAAACCCAGGGAACGCCATAAGAATTAGCTACAATATAAACTGCATTGGAAAGAGAGGTTAAGGTTTAGTTCAATCTCAAGATGAGGGAAGAGCTTGCAGGTTAAGGAATGACATGGTATGAAGATAAGAATGTGCATGGTGTTTTTCATAAATCAATGAAATGAGCAGTTCCTTTGGAGTAGATGTTTGACAGATGAAATAAACTAATATAATATTGAAGGTAGGTAGAAACCTATTACATAGAGTTTTTCCCATAGAAGAATCCATGTTACTTTTTACTTAGAACCATGATTAGATTAACATAAAATGTAGGCGTTAACATAAGCTGGAATTATCACTTGCAAAGAAAAGGGACCCAAAATATTATGAATTTACTTAGGTAAATGAATCCATCTAAATGAGTAGGGATCTGTGTGTGTGTGTGTGTGAGTGCATGCGTGCATGTGTCTGTGTGTGTGTGTCTTTAAAGTTTTACTGCACCTTTATAACTTTAAAATATTATTGGGACTAGGTTATTCTTAACACTTAGCAAAGTTGCAAAAGCAGCATAAAATAATTTTCTTTAGATGAAATATTAACGTTTCCTTTTTTTGAAGGTTAAGTTTCAAATCCCCTGGGGTTTATACAAAATTGGAAGTGAACTTACAGAATAAAGTTCATGCTCAGGTTGTTGCTTCAAGAAAAGAGCACCATCCAGTAATAAGTAATAAGCTCACATAACAAATGACCATCCAATGTTATTAATTTTACAGTTTGGAGTAATGAGAGGAAATACCTCAGAACCTCACTCTAAGTTGTATGGACAATGAATTACCATATAAGTTCTGCTTTTCCAGTGTAAAGGGCTGCTTTCAAGCCAAGCTTTCTTCAGCTTTCAAGGAACTGCAAAACTGCTTGGACTCTAAGGTATTTATTATAGTCAGATAATGGAATGCAGCTGGTGCCCATACCCAGCCTGCTGGCACACAACAAATAGCATCCATCATCTTCATGCTTGTATTTTAAGAAGGTAGTGCCTCAAGAAGGAGTTGCTCACCTGGAATGAAATACACACCATATTCAGGTGTCACTAAATTCTGCTGAAGGTCTCCATGGATGGATCAAGAGTGAAGGACAGCCTGAGCAATTAGACACCAAAAAAAAGAAATAAAAAGAATTCAAATTTGATAGAAAGAAGTGAAACTATCTCTATTTTACAGATAACATAGTCTTTCAAATAGGAAACCCTACAGATCCACCAAAAATTTATTTGAACTTATAAATGAATTCAGCAAAGATGTAGGATACAAGGTTAATATACAAAGGCCAATTGTGTTCCTATACATTTACAGTGAAAAACGAGAAAATGGAATTAATAAAACAATTATATTTACCATGTTATTAAGAATAATAAAATATTTAGGAATAAATTTAACACAAAAGTGCAAAAATTATATTCTGAAAGCTACAGAACTTAAGAAGAACTAAATAAATAGGAAACGGTTCATAATTATGGAGAAGAAAACTTAATATTGTTAAGATGGCAATAGAATCCAAATTCATCTACAGAGTCAATGCAATCTCTATCAGAATTCTGCCTGACTTCTTTTAGAAATGGTCAAAGTGATCCTGAAATATGTATGTAATTACAAGGAACTCAGAATAGATTCAATAATCTTGAAGGGAAAAAAAATAGTGGATTTATACTTCCGAATTTCAAAACTCACTACAACGGAAGGGTAATTGAGACAGTATGATAGTAATATTAGAATAAATACATAGGTCAATAAGAATTGGAGAGTCTATAAAGAGATCTATGTGTCCATTACCAACAGATTTTTGATAAAGTTGCAAAAACCATTCAGGAAGGAAATAATCATATTTTCAACAAATGGTACTAAGAAAAGTAGATATCCACAAAATAAAAAATAAAGTTTGCACCTATCTCACAACCTATGAAAATTATAACTCAAAATGGATAAAAAATCTAAATGGAACGGCTAAAAATATAAAATGCTTACAAGACAAGTCAGAATAAATCTTCATCACCTTGGAATTGGTAATGAATTCTTAAATATAACACCAAAAGTAGGAGCAACAAAGAAAAAATCTAAATAATTTTTTTTTTTTTTTTTTTTTTTTTTTTTTAGACAGAGTTCTGCTCTGTCACCCAGGCTGGAGTGCAGTAGCTCGATCTCAGCTCACTGAAATCTCTGCCTCCCGGGTTCCAGCGATTGTCCTGCCTCAGCCTCCCAAATAGCTGAGATTACAGGTGCCCACCACCATGCCTGGCACCTGTTTATTTTATTAAAATAAAATTTTAAGAGCATTCTTCACAGGACACTACCAGAAAATAAAAATACACCTCAGGAGATAGGAGAAAATATCTGCAAATCATACATCATACACCTAATAAGGGACTTATATCCAGAAAATACAAAGAACTCTTACAACTCAATAATACAAGGAAAATAATTCAATTAAAAAACTGACAATGGATATGAATAGACGTTTCTCAAAGGAAAGCATATAACTGGCCAATTAGTACATAAATAAATGTTCACATCATTATTCATCCAGGAAATACTAATCAAAAGTACTAAGAAATACAACTTCATACCCACTAGAATAGCAAAAGCAAAATGAAACAAAACAAAACAAAATACCACCACCACCACCACCACCAACAACAAATAGAGAATAATGAACATTGATGAGTATATAGAAAAATTGGAACCTTCAAACACTATTGGTGGGAATATCAGTGTGACCAGTTTGAAAAGCAGTCTGGCAGTACATGAAGTTATTAAACATAGCATTATCATATGACCCAGGATTCCTACTCCTAGTTATGTAAACAAGAAAAATGAAAACCTATGTTCACATAAATTTTACATAAATATTTATAGTGCTACTATGTATAATATTCAAAAGGAGGAAATATGGCAAATGTCCATCAAGTGATGAATAAATAAAGTGTGGTATATCCATCCAATGGAATATTATCCAGCAATAAAAAGAAATGAGTACTGATACATCTCACCACATGGATGAACCTTGAAGCAATATGCTTAGTGAAAAAGCTGGTCAAAAAAGGTCACATATTGTAAGAATCCATTTATATTAAACGTCCAAATGGGAGAAGCTATGGAGACGGAAAGTAGATTAATGGTTTCTTAAGGCTCTGTTGGGTGGGCGACTAGGGGGATGGTAGCTAAAGGGTAGAGGGTTTGTTTCTGAGGCACAGAAATGTTCTAAAATTTCTAAAAGTGGTGAGGATTGCACTTATATGTGAATGTACTAAAAACTACTGAATTGTACAGTAGGTGAATTTTATGGTATGTATGTGTAACATGTGGATTTGATTTTAATAAAACTTTAGGATGCTTTGACATTTAATTTTGCCGATCTGGCTTTCTGAGATTTCCTCTTGCACAATAAAGCCCAATTCTTAAACCATACCTTGTAAGGTTGTGGAATCCATTTTGACCACTTGCAGAGGAGATGATGTCCCAGAAGGCATTTACCTGACACAACACATAGTTAGATTATTTGGAGTCTTTAAAATTTGACCCCAAACACATTTTTTTTAATGCTGAAGTTACAACTTATGCACTTCTAACCAATATTATCAATGGTCTTTCAAAATAGCAAAAAAGACACACAAATATATCTTTTTCTGCCTAAACCATTTATTTCTTACAAAGAAATACATTATTTGATTAAAAGCAAATGCACAAACACAAATCACAAATGGAAACAGAGAGGAACCTCTTGCACAAGAGAGAATCAATACATATATGAAAGATTTGTTAAAAGATGGAAGACACTTAGCACATGACTCAGAGCAAATAAATGGCCGCCTTTATATACCTGTGTGGTATATCTTTGATGGTGATGGTGTCTGCTTCCTGCAAAACCCTCACAAGCCTCTGGGCTTTAGGAAGTCTGGAAAGATGAATGGAATATCCAATAAAGAAATGTCCAAAAGTGTAGATATTAGTTTAATCATTCTATATGGAAGAGTAAACATTATGCCCTTTATCCACCTCCATCCACAAAACCCAACATCCAGATGTTAAACCCTACACAAATACAACAAAAGTTTATTCTTTAAAAATGCGTAAAGCTGAAGCATACCGGGGCAGCTAGTGGTTGTTAGCATCCAAGAGCTGTGTCTTCCATCCTGCGTGGCTGAGGGGAAGCTTACTGATTGGCTCCCTAAAGGTTCATTCAAGAAAGGAATTTATTAATTGACAAGAACATAGAACTCTCCCTCCGCATTTCAATTTTTCTAGTCTTGAATGTGAACAGAAATTTAAGAATTATCAGGCATTTGATAAAGCATGCAGCATGAGAGACAGAAGGGGAGAGAAACAAAGAGAAAATCTTGTCTGGAAGAAACAGAGGTTTGCCAAGAAGAGAAATTACTAGCAAAATAACAGGAAATTATGCTTATTATAAATCTTATATATTAGTATGAAAAAGTCCTTATGTTTCTACTATTTATTATTTTAGTTATTGGGTGTAATAAAAACACTCTTTGCCTATTTTAAACACAAACACGCATGCCCACAAACACATTTTTTTGTTACTTCCTGCAATCATCTTAGCTCAAGGCCAGTATGGAACTACATAAACCTAGCTAGCTTGGGATATGTGATTGTGTATTCTTTCCTCTCTCACTGAAAATAACATACTAATTATCTTACCAAAGACTACTGAATTACCTAGGATTATTGGAGCACTTCTATTTTCTTCCAGAAACATTCAGCATTTGAAAATTTAATTCACACTGCATATTTTACATGCTAACATAGTTAATCTGATATTGTTTCAATGTTTTGCACGTATTTTATTCTCTCAGTAACCCAATGACATATATTCAATGCTCCATGCAGATACGGCAACCAAAGTAGAGTAATGTGACCATAGTCAGAGCCAGATTCTGATCCCTGATATACTGGTGCCAGAGAGCTTGGTCTCTAGTTGCTTTAATGACCTGCCTCTAATGTAGAACCCAATACATGTTAAGGAGTTGACTCAAGATCCTTAGATAATGTGCATTGTTGTCTTTTACCAGAATGCCTAAATAACTCAGCATCAGAACTATATTCAATTTCTAGGTTATGAATACATATTATTGTTCCTAGGTGCAACTATGAAATGGTTTGTATGTGTGTGCCTGCCCGAATCTCATGTTGAATTATAATCTTTGATGTTGGAGGTGGAGCCTGGTGAGAGGTTATTTATTCATGGGGGTGGTTTCTAATGACTGAGCACCATCCTCCTAGTGCTGTCTCATGATAGAGTTCTCAAAAGATCTGGTTGTTTAAAAGAATGTGGCACCTTCCTCCTCACCCCCTTCCTCCTGCTCTGACCATGTAAGACATGCCTGCTTCTTTTTCAGCCATGATTGAAAGTTTCCTGAGTCCTCCCCAGAAGCCACTATGCTCCCATATAGCCTGTAGAATGAGAGCCAATTAAACCTCTTTCCTTTATAAATTACACACTATCAGGTATTTCTTTATAGCAATGTGAGAATGGGCCCTCTAGCAATGTTACATGTTAGTGTTTATTTTTTTCTGAATAATTTTCTATAGGGAACATTTAATGACCTATGTAGTTTTGCTTTGTAAGGCAATAGAGCAAAGTATTGTGATAACAGTCTCCAGAGTATATTAGCTTAGTTCATAACCTGTAATCATTTAGTGCAAACTGTTTCATCATGGGAAAAATCACCTAAATTTTTTTGTAAATTAGTTAAGTCAAGTGAAGAAATGTCATTCAAATTTTAGCCCATTCATGAACTTAGTTGGCAATTAAATTATATCATTCATATAAAGCCATGAGAAAAATGTCTGGCACATGATAAGCCTTAATTAAATATTAACTATGTGTCCTACTATTTTTGTTGTTGTAATTCCAAGAAATACACTTCTATGTTACTTTGGGAAAAGCCATATAAACAATTTGGATTTCAAGGATTGAGTGCTGGGGATGAGCCAGTTTGAATATCTGTTAGGCAATCTGAATATATCTAACAGCAAAGACACACATAGCAGGTTTGCCTGGCTGACATCACAGTCATGACTCCTATATACTGTTTTATTCCACGTGGCTAGGGGAGATGGGTTGTTCTTATCTTCCTTGGTTGTTGGACATCACAACTAGATTCCCTGGCCCACATGATTCACTATGAATTATGGTTTCTTGTTGCAGTGTACAATTAGCCAGGAAACATTCACTTAATGTCACCTCAATTGAGAAAGAGCATGGGAAGACTGCCTTGTGTTCTATTTTTTAAATTAAAATTTTTATTTTGACTTACATGAAGTTAAAATAAATAATACAAAGAGAAACTTTGTACCCCTTACTGAGTTTCCCCAAATGGTAACATCTTACAAAACTATAGTACAGTACTACAACCTGGATATCAATATTAATACAATTTAGATACTGAATAGTTCCTCACCACAAAAATCCCTAGTACAGCTGCACCCATTACTCGCCCTGTCATTGATCCAGGGCAATGATAACCTGTTCACCACTTAGGTATTCTTCTCAATTAATGAATTATGTACACATGAAATCATACAGTACTTGATCTTTCAGGATCGATTTTTTTTACTCAGAATAATCATAAATGTTATCAGGTATATTGTTTGTTTCTTTTGTTGTGGAGCAATGGTATGGATGTACCACAGTTTGTTTAACCATTCATCCATTGAAAGACATCTGAGCAGTTTCCAAGTTTGGCTATTATGAACCAAATTGTATGAATATTCATGTAGAAATGTTTGTGTACAAAACTATTTTTTTTCTGCTGAAATATACACCAAAGAGTAAAATTGGTGGGTCATATGGTAGCTGCATGTTTTGGTAATTGAAGCAGTTGACAAGTTGTCTTAGCCACAGCCACCAACAATAAAAGAGATCCTGTTGTTCCAGATCCCTTCCAACATTTGGCATTGTCATTTTTTTTTTTAAGTGTAACCACCTTATTAGGTGGGTAGTGGTATCTCATTATTGTTTTAAATTATAATTTTCCAATGATACATGATGCTAAGCGTCTTTTCATATGCCAATTTGCCAATGGTATATTTTTAGTGTGAAACTTATTCAGATCTTTTGCTTATTTAAACAAATTTAGTTGTTAATTTTCTTATTGTGAAGATTTAAGAGTTATTTGTATATTTTTGGTAATAGTGCTTTATTATGTAGATGTTTTAACATATTTTCTTTAGTCTTTGATTATTTTCATTCTCTTCAGTTGCTTTCACAAAACTACTTTAATTATAATAAATCTAACTTGTTGTTTTTTTATAGATTGTGCTTTCAGCATTGCCTAAAAACTCATCATCAAAATAAAAAATAAGATTTTCATTTATGTTACACTATAGATGTTTTATCATTTTGAATTTTAATTTAGGTCAATAATTCATTATGCATTAATTTTGTGAAAGATGTAAAGTTTATATCTGGATTCATTTTTTTTCATTGTTGATGCCAGTTGTTCCAGCATCATTTGTAGAAAAGTTTACTCTTTCTATATTTAATTGCCTCGGCTCCTTTGTCAAATACCAGTTGATTGTCATTATGCAACTGTAGTTGATTATTTCTGGGCTCTCCATTTTGCTTCATTGATTACTTGTCTTTTATTTTGCCTTGATAATTGTAGGTTTTTAGTAAGTCTCGAAGCTGAATAATGACTCTTCTTTTCCTGTTTTTCTCTTTTTCCTCCATTTTCTTGTTTTTTAGTATTATGTTGGTTATTCTGTGTCTTTTGCCTTTTCACATAAACCTTAGCAACACTTTGCTCATATATTCAAAATAAATTGCAATAAATTTATCTGAGATTGCAATAAATCTATAGAAAAAAATCAGAAAGAATGACATCTTAACAGTATTGATTCTGCCTATCAATGTACATGAAATATCTTTCCATTTATTTAGAGGCTCTTTGATTTTTAATCATTTGTAGTTTTCCTTAAATAAATTTTAGACATATTTTATTTGATTTAAGTATTTATCTCTTTTTAGTTGCCCTATAGTTTTCAGTAAACATTTCCAACTAATCTAAGTCCACTTTCAAAAAATGCTGTAATAATTCACAGGGAGTACACTGACCTTATAAAAGGATATTCCAAATTCCTTCCTTCCTCCATTATAACACTCATGGTATTAATTTCATTTATCCATAAGGTCTACTCACCCAACACAGTCTTGCTATTACTATTTTAAAGGAAAACGTGTTATCTATTAGATCAGTTAAGATAAGGATGAAAAAAAAGTACATGTTACCTTCATTTTTTTCTTCTCTAACGCTTCTGTAGACCCAGAAATCCATGTCTTTGGTGTGAACTATTTTCTTCTTCTCTAAAGAACTACTTATAACATTTTTTTTCAAAACAGGAAATGTCTCTCAATTTTTGTCTAATAATATTTTTTATTTTTCTTTCACATTTTGTGGATAATTTTACTAGATATAAAATTCCGGGTTGGTGTTTTGTTTTTTATTGTTTTGTTTCTACACTTTAAATACTTCACTCTACTCTTGTTTGCATGATTTCTGAAGATGAGTTTAATATAATGTTTATTCCGTTTCCTCTATAAGTAAGGTGACCCTGGCTTATTTCAATGTTTTTTCTTTGTCTTCGATTTTCTGCTGTTTGAGTATGTTGTAATTGGGTTATGGATTTTTAAAATATTTTTCTTGGTTGCTGCTTTCTGAACTTCCTAGATCTATGGTTTGATATCTGTTTTTAATATTAGAAAATTATCTCTTATTATTACTTAAAATTGTTATTTGTATTGTTCCTCTCTTTTATCTCTTTTATGTAGTCTCATTATGTATATGTTACACCATTGTAATTTTTCCAAAGCTTCTTGGACATTACATAATTTTTAATTAATGTTAAATGTTATCTTTGCATTTCAGTCTATAAATTTTCTATTGGCATATCTTCATGTTCATTGGTTCTCTTCTTGGTGGCATCCAGTGTACTTCCTCATTCCTATGAAAATGTTTTTGATTTTTAACATTTCTTTCTTTTTTTTTTGAGATGGAGTTTCCCTCCTGTTGCCCAGGCTGGAGTGCAATGGTGCGATCTCAGATCACCGCAGCCTCTGCCTCCCAGGTTCAAGCAATTCTCCTGCCTCAGCCTCCCAAGTAGCTGGGATTACAGACACCTGACACCACACCCGGCTAATTTTGTATTTTTAGTAGAGACGGGGTTTCTCCATGTTGGTCAGGCTGGTCTCAAACTCCTGACCTCAGGTGATCTGTCCACCTCAGCCTCCCAAAGTGCTGGGATTACAGGTGTGAGCCACTGTACCCAGCCAACATTTCTTTTTTATTCTTTCTTAGAGTTTCTATATTTCTGCTTATAGTACCTTTATGTTCTTATGTGTTGTCCACTTTCAAAAGTGGAAATCTCCAGCATATTAATCATAATTATTTTAAATTCTCCAGTCTGATGTTTTCCAAATCTCAGTCATATCTGAATCTGGTTGTGATGTTTGCTTTACATATTCAGACTGTGTTTATCCTTGACTTTAAGAAGGCCTTATAACATTTTGTCAAAAATCAGACATGACATATCAAGTAATAGGATGAGACAAATAGATCTTTCATATGAAGTTTTATTTAAACTGGAAAGAAGCTGGGCAGCATTTAATGTTTGTTATAGCCGTAGGTGTCAGAGGCATAAACTTCCTTTAGTTCATGTTTTTCCCTTTGGGTTTCCCTAGAAACTCCTTCTTAAATAGTATATGTCTTTTGCAAATTTCTCAGTTTCAGTCAACTATTATACTAGATCTGTGTTGCTATGATGATTAGATATTGGAGAGGGAAAGCATTATATAATATTTTGATTAAATCTACATTCTTTTAATAAGCCAAAGTCTCTAGCTGTGACCTCCAGAAGAGTTTCTTAACCTTTTTGTCCCCTTATGGGTTTTGGTAAAACATGGGGTTGGAGTGATTGACTAAATTTCCTTCCCTTGATTTAAATAAGGCTTTGTTAAAGTAGTTTCCCTTGATAGCTAGGCTTTATTATGTAGAACAGAATGCTCTCGGCAATTTTCAAAATGGCCACTTTTCCTCTGTATGTGTTTCAGAATGGTTACTTTCTTTTAGTTCTGCTCAAATTCAAATCACTAGAGATTATTCTCTTATCTTCATGAGAAAGTAGTGTAATGCCTGGAAATAAAAGCCATAAAACAGTCAGGATCCCTCTAAGATTAGGCTGCTGGGAGTTTTTAAGCTATTCCACACACAGCCTTCAGCAATTTATTAATAGCCATTGAAGTGTGTCTACCATTTACTGACTCCAGCAGCTTTTGCTGGAGGTAAGCTGTGATTCTCTGTATTTTACTATCTTTCTATTTTTCTGGTGGTGGGGGAGACAGTTTTTTATATGAACTCAATTCTCTGATGGAAAAGTCATTTATTTTCAGCTTCTTTAGCTTTTGTTATTCTTGTGAGAATAGGAGTGATGACTTCCAAGTTCTTTACTTATTGAAGCAGAACATGGAACATTGACACCACATATACACACACTCTCTCTCTCTCTCTCTCTCTATATATAAATTATATATTATACAGATATAATATTATATATATATTATATATTATACATATGTAATATTATATATATAAATTATATATTATACATATGTAATATTATATATATATAAATTATATATTATACATATGTAATATTATATATATATAAATTATATATTATACATATGTAATATTATATATATATAAATTATATATTATACATATGTAATATTATATATATATAAATTATATATTATACATATGTATTATATATATAAATTATATATTATACATATATAATATATATATAAATTATATATTATACATGTATAATATATATAAATTATATATTATACATATATAATATATATAAATTATATATTATACATATATAATATATATAAATTATATATTATACATATATAATATATATAAATTATATATTATACATATATAATATATATAAATTATATATTATACATATATAATATATATAAATTATATATTATACATATATAATATATATAAATTATATATTATACATATATAATATATATAAATTATATATTATACATATATAATATATATAAATTATATATTATACATATATAATATATATAAATTATATATTATACATATATAATATATATAAATTATATATTATACATATATAATATATATAAATTATATATTATACATATATAATATATATAAATTATATATTATACATATATAATATTATATATATAATTTTAACCATTTATTTTTAATGTGTATTAATATCTCTGTGGACTTTCAATTTTCTTTTATATAATAGCTGATGATGTTTAGCATCTTTTTCTGTGCTTGCATGCTCTGTGTATATCTTCAGGGAAATGTGTAATCTTGTCATTTTCTCAATTTCCAATTGGATTGCTGTTTTCTTTTTTTTTTTTAATATTGAGTTTTGGGAAATTTTTTATATTACAGATATTGTATCTTTGTAGAAAATGTAGATTGAAAATACACTTCCCAGTCATTGCTTTTAATCCTTTTCAAATCGGCTTTTGCAGAATAAGTTTTTTTTTATATATTGAGGTTGAAGTTTTCTATTTTTTAATGGATTTTTCTTTTAGTGCCAAGTTTTATCTAACCATTGATCTCCAAGCTTTTCTCATATTTTTTAACAAAAGTATTATAGTTTTATGTTTTACATTTAAGTGCATAATTTATTTTGACTTGGTTTTTATGCAGTATAAGTCTTAGGTTGAGGTTGATGTTTATGCCTCTGGAATTCCAATTACTACAGCATCATTAGTTAAACAGTTTCTATTTTCTTTCCTGAATTTCTTTTGTTCTTTTCTGAAAAATTACTTCAGCATACATGTGTAGAACTTCCTGTGCTCTTTGACCCTCTATTCTACTCTATTGATCTATATGTTTACCCTTCCACCAATACTATACTGTCTTAATTTTTGTTGCCATAAAATGTGTTTTTAGCCTTTTGATCTTTTGTTCTTTTCTGAAAAATTACTTCAGCATAGGTGTGTAGAACTTCCTGTGCTCTTTGGCCTCTATTCTGTTCTATTGATCTATATGTCTACTCTTCCACCAATACCATACTGTCTTAATTTTTCTTGCCATAAAATGAGTTTTTATCCTAACGAAACTATTCTTTCTACTTTATTTTTATTTGTTAATATTGTTTTAGCTATTCTAAGGCCTTAACCTTACCGTACAAAAAAAAAAGCAAAAAAACCCTTTTTGAGGCTTTGATAGAAATTCTCTTTAACCTATTGACCAATATGGGAGGTCTCAAAGATTTTCTCATAGTTTCAATAAAATTATTATAGTTTTACATTTTACATTTAAGTGCATAACTTATTTTTACTTAAATTTTATATGGTATAAGGCTTAGGTTGATATTTTTACTATTTTGAGGCTTCCAATTTATGAACAAGTCATGCATCTTCATTGATTTCTTTTATTCATATATGTAATTTTCAGCACATAGTTTTTGTGCATGGTTTTATAAGCACATCAAGTATTTTATTTACCTTTAATGAATTATAAATGGTATTTTGCTTTTATTTTGGTTTCTATATGTTCACTGTTAGTATATATAAATGCATTGATTCTAATATGTTGATCATGTATCCTGTAATTTGCTGATATCATTCGTTTGATTTAGAAGACTTATTTGGGTTTTTTTTCTTTTGTTTTATAGATTCCTAGGGACTTTCTATGCAGACAGTCATGCTATCTTCAATAAAAGCAGTTGTATTATTTCCTTTCCCATCTGCATAGCTTTTTTTTTTTTTTTTTTTTTTTTTTTTTTTTTTTTTTTTTTTTTTTTGCCTTTCTGAACTGGGTAAAACTTCCGGTACTTATTTCAACAACATTGGTGAGAGTAGATATTCTTGTCTTGTTTTCAATCTTATAAGGGTTTTTACCCTTATTTATACTGGCTGTAGGTTTTGCTTACTTGTCTGTTTGTTGTTTCTATAAATGGTCTTTATCGATTTGAAGGCTTTCCCTTCTATTGGTAAGAGCTTTTTATCATGAATCGGTATGGGATTTTAATAAAAAAATTATAGATCTTTCATCTTCAATTGATAAGAGCACGTGATATTTCCTTTTAAACTTGTTGATATGGTGGGTTACATTGATTTTTAAATATTGAAACAGTTTTGCATACCTGGAATAAATATCACTTGGTCATGTAGTATAATGATTTATACACAGTTGGATTGAAATTGCTAATATGTTGTTGAAAATTTTTGTATCTAATTTTATAAAATCTACTTGTCTATAATTTTCTTTTTTCATGCTATCTTTGTCTGGTTTTAGTATCAGAGTAATACTGGCATCATACAGAAAAGTTGACATGTTTTCTCTCCTTTTCTATTTTTTGGAAGAAATTTTTTAAAATGAGAACTATAGGTTAGAGCTGATAGAACTCATTGGCCTAAAGTTAAAGTGTTGCAGGACCGTGTTTCTTCCTGGTCTAGGAAATAATATGTTTCTATGCCCTTTCCAGTTCCTACAGGCCAACCACAATCCTTGGCTCATTCATTCTTCCCTTATCTTCAAAGACAGCAACTTTTGGTTATATTTTGTTTTATTTTTTTCAGGATTCTGCTTGTCTGGTTGCCTTTCTCTTCCACTTTTAAGAAATTTCCTAATTACATTGAGCTCATTTGTATACTGTGGAATATACTCCAAGCTGGCAGTGTTTCTGCTATTACAAAATTCTCAAGAAATATGTGGGTCTCCTGTGTATGTCACTGGGATTCATTCCATTAGATAAGAATCATCTCCATGGAAATTCCCTCCTCAATTTTTTGACCTCTGATTACATGGCTGGGAGTATCCATGAGTCACATGCTTAATTTATTAGAAGAGACTTTTGAATGACTGCATACTCTGGCATTTTCATCTTTTTGAGGTATTAGCAAGAGGTTCTCTAGCTTTATCCCGGCTTTTTCCATAAAGCATGCTTTCTGACAGTGAATCTCTTAATTTTCATGCTTTCTGCAATTGGATAGGCTGAAAACTTTCCAAATCACCAATTTCTGCTTCCATTTTGCTTAACAATTTGTATCCCAATTTATCTTTCTTCTTACATTTTACTATAAGCAGCGAGAAGTGACTAGACTACAAGGCTTTGCTGGAAAAATTTCAGCTGAATGTCCAATCTCACCCTTTTTACAAGTTCGGCTCTACACATTTTTGCTAAACTTTCTGCCATTTTATCACAAAGGTAATATTTTCTTCAATTTGCAATAACATTTTCTTTATGTTCTTCTGCGCCTTCACCAGCAATGCCATTAATGTACTTCTTTCTATCAATAGTCAGTTCATAATAATTTCAGTATTCTTGAAGGGAATATGCTTTAAAGGTTTTGTTTACTGAAACGTTATTCTTCTCTATTTTTTTTTCCATTCCTCACCAACAGTGCCTTTAACATCTGTATTTCTACTAACATCAGAAATGTCAGGTCAGTCAAGGCTTTTTCTATCATGCTCCTGAACATTTCTCCAGGCTCTTTCCACTGCGAAATTCTAAAGCCACGACCACATTTGTATGTATTTCTTACAGCAGCATTCAACTTCAATTAGAAACTATGTATTTGATCCTTATTGCTGCTGTTAACAAATTACCATAAACTTAGTGGCTAAAAACATAACAGATGTATTAGGTCACAGTTCTTTAAGTCAGGAGTTTGACTCTCGTTTCACAAGGCTAAAATCAAGGTGTTGCAAGCCTGTTTCTTTAAGGGGCTCTGAGAAAGTCTGTTTCCTTGCTCTTTTCAGTTTTTTGAGGCCACCCACCTTTCTTGGCTCTTGCCCTTCTCCCATTTTCATCAGCAACTTCAGGCTGTCTTTCTCATGCTGCCATGTCTGGTTCTCTCTCTCTCTCTTTCTTTCTCTCTTCATTCCCCTCTTCAACTTTTAATGAGCATTCTGACATCATTGTAACCACCTGGGTAATCCTAGATCATCTGTCAAGCCTAATGTCAGTTTAGTAACTAAGGATTAGGAATCTCACTTCCATTTTTCAAGTGTCTTTGACCTGTAGACTAGCATATTCACAGGTTCCAGGGATTAGGATGTTGACTTCTTTGGAGTGCTATTAATATGACTATACAAATACCAAAGACAATAATAAATATGTGTACATAGCCTCTCATTATAGTTCTGCTTCCCACAGAAGCTTCCTTGGGGACACTTAAGGACAAATTGGGCTGAAAATATGAAAATTAAAGTTGACAACGGTTTTCTCTGTCCCTCTCTAAGAACATACACATCTGCAGAGGATGATTTCTGGTTAACTAGTCTGGAAATTTTATTATTTATTATTTATTTATTTATTTATTTATTTATTTTTAACCAAGCTTTAAACTTTGACACATGTTAACTCAAGAACTCGAGAAGTCATAGCCGTGGGTTTTAGCTTCGGTGTTTCTCTCTTTTGGCAGCAAGTCTGCATCAGCTGGTTTTATTTTATTTTAAACAATCTCATGGTCCCACACTCTTTTTAATCATTTTAAATTGAGAGGAGCTTTATTTAAGCCATTTTTTTTCCAACGTCTTTGATATCTACCTAGTCTTATATAAATATTAAATTTACATGATGCAATTAAAGTAAAATTTTGCAGACCAAACAAAGCATATTTGCTGGTTGAGATTAAACTACAGGCCACACTACAACCTCTACCTTAGAAACACTTGAACATGTTCTAAATCTTTGATACAACCACATGAGAAGCAGCATTCTTATAAGCTGGTGTGATTTTTATATGAGAATTTTATTCATGTTTTATGATTCTTAAATTTCAATAGATATAGAGGTGAAAAATAAATACATAATATTATCCCCATGATTTTCTAAAATTTCAATTTTCTTTTCAAGTTACCAATGTTGGAAAAATAAGCCTTATCAAAATACTTTCTACCCAGTTCCCATTTCCCATCCATGCTGTCTTTTCTCAGGGCATTTCTGAGTAGATCAGAGATAAAGCATAAGGCAGGAGTTATGTAAATCGCCGAGTTTGCATTCTTTCTTCCCAAGTTTCTATTACCTGAAAATGATTACATTTTATTATAGAAACTATTGCAAGGAATTTTTAATTCACTGAGTTTTTTTTAACATATAAATAACTTGCCAATCAAATAAGAGAATAGAAACCACACATTATGGTAATAAATGAGAAACTTTGAGCTACTCAATGAAAATATAATCTTTTCTGAAATACAAGAAAGATGATAGACTATGGAATGCCATCATACTGAATTCTCTCATATTACAGATTATTAGAAAAAGGATCAATAAAAAGAGTCTTGCTAATGTCATCAGAATTGCATGCTTTGATTTCCTTTGACACTTTTCCAGTAAAATTAGGAAAAGTTACCACAAAAACACACTCACAGAAATATATGTTAGACAGATTATTATCTGTTTAATGTGGATTTCTATACAGTATCTTCATCTCTTTGCCACTCCAAACTAATTTATCATTTATGAACTCAGATTACCACTCTAGCCAGACTAACTCAGATCAACTGCTGGTGGTCTCTTAATTAAATTTCCCATAAAACATGTTAAAATTTACCCTTTTTTATTTCAGAAAATGCCCTCATCTAATCCTATCAACTGCCTTCTCCATGTGGGGCACTGATAGTTTTGTGGGGAGAGTGAAGCTCATGGGTTTAATGCTAATTCTAACTGCAATTTACCAGTTCATGGCTGTAGCACTGATCTTGTGTAAAATAATAATGACAGTGGTGCCTTGCGGGGTTCTGAAGAGACTAAGTGGATCACGTGTGGGCATGTTTAAGGTGCCTGGCATGACACCTGGATTAGAGCAATATTCAAAAAATGTTAGTTTCTCTTCTTCTTTCTTCTTCTAACATCTGACTCAAGATTTAGCTACTCCCACTTGTAATGACTGGTTGACTTTATTCCTCTTTCGTCACTACTTTTATATAATACTGTTTCAGTGCGTATGTTTTCATTGGTCACTGGATTATACACATTTTCTAGTTATTGTTTTTAGTGTTTCTTGATATACACTATTGTGAAATTTTTGTAATTCAAGTGTCCTTATACAGTAGTCCTTCTTTATACACAGTTTCACTTCCCATGGTTTCAGTTACCCACAGTCCAGTGGGGTCTGAAAATATAAAATGGAAAACTCCAGAAATAAGCTATTCATAAGTTTTAAATTGTTAGCTGTTCTGAGTAGTGTGACAAAATCCCCCACGGCCTCACATCCTTCTACCCAGGACACAAATCATTCCTTTGTCTGACATATCCAAGCCGTGTGGGTTACCCATGCGTTAATAGCTTAGCCTTCTCAGTTACCACATTGTCTCAGTATTGCAATGCTTGGGTTCAAGTAACCCTCGTTTTTAGTGAATAAGGACCCCAAAATGCTAGAGTAGTAAAGCCAGCAATTCAGATATGCCAAAGAGAAGCTGTAAAGAGCTTGCTTTAAATGAAAACGTGGAAGTTTGGACTTAAAAAAATAAAATTTTAAAAAACCCTTTATTTCAGTATTTTATTATATATCCTGTTTTATTATGAGATGTTGATCTGTCACTGTGACTAATTTATAAATTAAAGTCTTTAATAGGTATGTATGAATAAGAATAAACATAGTATGTACAGGGATTGGTACTCTGTGGTTTTAGGCATCCACTGGGGTCTTAGAACCTATCCTCCGTGCACAGAGTGACACTGTGTTACTTCCACTGCCCTCAGACAGAAAAGTGCTACATCAGATGGTTGTGAGTTATGAAGAGAATTAACAACATTAGAAAGCACCATATTTGGCCTTATAATTTTAAGAATTATATTCTTAAAAATGTTCACCAAGTAAAGAATACATAAATAAGACATGCATGTCCTTTCTCACTTGGTAGGATAAAAATTAGTAGTATACCTCACCACCTTACTTCCGATAGGCTGTTGGCATGCATTTATGACAAGAGACATAAATGAACTCCCTTAGGGTCATCAGTGAAAACACGCCTTCCTTCACTGCACTTATTTGTTTTGTCTAAGATTTCAGGACATAAGATTTTGCTGCTTCTTACTTTTAGAGACTTCCCAAATAACTATAACAATAGTCATGACTTACACTTAAAAGTAAACACAGGCTGTTCAGGAAATCTCCTTTCCTTGAGATAGGTACTATTTTCTGAGTTACAAAAATGAGAGAACTGAGGCTCAGAATAGTGAAAAAAAATTGCAAAGTCAAAGGCAAGAAAATGTGAGAACTAGGCTTTCCGTCCAAATCTATTAAGTTCCAAAACCCATGCCCTTCTCCCTGTCAAACACAGATTCTTCCCCATGGATCCATATTTTCCTCTTGGCTTTAGAGTCCTTGTTTATGTCTCTCTGCTTAAAATGACCTTCCACCTAGATTGTTACTCTCTGCCAGATATCTGAAACTTAAGTAAATTTCTAGATTATTCCTCTCCAGGCTTGCCTTGTGCTTTTGCTGCCAGTGTTTCAGCTCATGAAGCAAGATCCCATGGGAACAATCAAAAAAAAAAAAAAAGAAAGAAAGAAAGAAAGAAAAAGAAAAGAAAAGAAAAAAGAAAAGGAAACAGATTCTAAGAAACCATGGCAATGGGTGTTTGTAACAGCTCAGATATATAGCCCCATTGCTAGGGAATTGCTATTGGACTGCGAGTCACACATTGAAACAGATTTTAGTTAAATCAAGCTCTGACATGATTGTAACAAAAACCAAATGAAACGTCTGCCAAAACAGAAATTGTGTCAAATTCCTAAACAAGGAAGAATGTCTATAATGGGTGCCACATCTGAACAGCAGTTAAACAAGTTTTGGTAAAGTTTACAAAATTCTCAATGGATTTTTTGGTGTCATTAGACAATGTTTTTCCTATTTATTTTAACTCATCTTGGAAATTGTTTTTTCAAATATACAAGAAAGAAGTAAGTTGGAGCATCAAAATATGGGATAAGGTTAAGTTCAATTTATTCATTGATTATGTAGTGTCATTCACGAAGAAATGGAACACAACAGTTCGGCATCTGACCCCACAGTCTGCATTAGTTAAGTTGTGTCTAGGTGGGATCATACTTCCAGAAGAAAAGGACTGAAGCTCACGTATGTCCAAATAGCCTGCAGACTTACTGGATTTTTCCAATTTTCTCTTAAAGTCTGTGTTTATATAGACAGATCACATGACAGCAATAGCCAAGTGAGTCTTAGTTGGCAATACTGAGCTTTTCTCTCATGAATAGAGTGCATTTTGTACAACAGAACAGTAATATCATGTAATAGGAAATCCATAAGAAGCTTTGATTGTGATGGACATTGCCCTTACAATAGCTTTACTAACATGGTTGTATGATAGCTTTCAAATTTTTAGGTGCAATATGCAGACATAGCAACATCTATAATGAAAAGAGGGGCCATCTGTTTTTATGTCTTTATGTTTAGGAGCAAAGACAACTTCCTCAGCAACTTTGATGTTGTGTCATGTTGGACTGGTTGGCCATCTGAAGCTAGGCACTAATAAAGGGAATGGGATTATTGGGTTGTGTTAGATTAATGATCCAAGGAGCGATGATGTGGGGAATCAACCAGCATGACCATCATAGGCATGAAACTGCAGATCTCCTATGTCTTGGGAATCAGCACTGGGAGGCTTAAGAAGCAGTAGCAGCAGAAAGCAGCAGGCATGGTTGACAAAACCAAGAGTAAGAACAAATGCTCTGAGCAAGAATTTTCCTTTTTCTAGGTTGATTTCCCAAGCAATTAATTAAGAAGGAGATTAGGAATCACTAGAGGATTTACCTTTACAAAATATATCTGGTTAGCATAATCTCTTCTCTAACTTTGAGCAAGATAATTAATTATCTATGCCTCAGTTTCCTTGTCTGAGAATGAGAGCTTTAATTGTTCTAACTATGTCATAGTCATTCACACAATTTTATGAGTTACATGAGCCATTATTCTGAATTCAGTGAGTTTTTATCAAGTTCTTCCTATGTACCTGAATTTAAAAATGAAGAAATGCAGACTATTTTATGCTTTTGCACAATATTATTATTTTTATTATATTAACATTAGTTTTTATTGAATGCCATAATCAGTTCAATTTTAAACACCAAAATAAGTATATGGACACAAATTATTTTTGATGCTCTTCAATTTGTATCTGGGTATTTCTGAAAATCAAAAAAATAATAATTTGGATTCTTTCCAAATAATATACCCCACCTTCAATCAAAAAAAGAGCAAAAATGGGGGAAGAAAAACAAAAAAAAATGTGAAGAAATCAAGCAAGACACTTCATTAATGTAAGCTTTAGTTTCTTCCTTTTTTATTTCACTTTACACAATTTCCTTTTGTACACAAGTCTGCTTCCTCAACTGCAAATTTCAAGGATCAGCAGCCAATGTTTACAGCTCCTTTTTATGGACTCAAGAAGTTACAAAGAACATATTAAGTACTGAACTTTTGGACAATTCGTCACCACTATTATTGCAAAGATATTTTTGTTATTAGAAGAGTTTAATAACTCATAAAATTCCTGTATAGTTATATTTGTTTGGATTATAGATACCTACACCCTGTTCAAAAAGGCTAATGCTTGAAAGCTCTACTCTTCACACTGAACAAGTATTTACCCACAGAAATAGTGAACACACTTCAATTTCTAACACAACCTTATCTGAATAGCTTTAGAATATAAACAAAATATGCCAAGAGGAAGTTTACTATTGCACTCTATATTTCCATCACATAACAAAATCTACACTTGGAAAGAAATGACAGAAACTGACTATAAAGAATTAGATCTTGCTTTTTTTCAGTAGATACTATTGACACCCTTTTTGGGGTACTACTAAGCAGTAATATGAGAAGTAAGTAATTCAGCATTTATCTTTTTAGAAGGCAGGTGGATATTGTTAATTCTCACCCCACTGAACACCTCCTGACCAGTCTCCAAACCTACCGTTTCCCATTACCACGAAGAGTATTGTCAATATACACATCATCATGTGAATAGCTTGCAGTGAGCTAAATACATAATTCCATCTCCTTTCAAATGTTAATCACTAAGAGATGTTGGTAGTTTATGTCATGGAATATCTCAAATTTGTTGTCTCTTCATCTTCTCATTGTCATTGAATTACAGTCTCTTAGCATTTTTTCTACATCCAAATCCCTCTTCCCTAATTCATTCTGGTTTTCAGCAGATTAATCTTCAATTATTTATCATCACTATAGTCTTCTTCGTAGTCATCATTTACATTAAGCATTCACTCTCTGCTCATTGTTATATAGGTATTTTACATATGAGAATCCACCACACTAGCCATAAATGACAGGTGTTATTACCCCATTTACCATACTATTACTTAAAGGATCAGAGAAGGAGACCAACTTCCCCAACATCACACAATTAAAAGGTGGCCAAATCACGATGAAAACCTAGATCAATGTGAACACAAAGTCTTTTTTTTTTTTTTTTTTTGAGACAGAGTCTCGCTCTTTTGCCCAGGCTGGAGTGCAGTGGCGCGATCTCTGCTCACTGCAAGTTCCGCCTCCCGGGTTCACACCATTCTCCTGCCTCAGCCTCCCAAGTAGCTGGGATTACAGGTGCCCGCCACCACACCCGGCTAATTTTTTGTATTTTCAGTAGAGACGGGGTTTCACCGTGTTAGCCAGGATGGTCTCGATCTCCTGACCTCGTGATCTGCCTGCCTCGGCCTCCCAAAGTGCTGGGATTACAGGCGTGAGCCACCGCGCCCGGCCAAGTCTTAATCTTAGCCATGACATCAAGAATAGCACATGGAAATCAAAAAGAGGAACTTGTTTATTTTAGGGAAACTCTCATGGTTGAACACAGCCATGATATTTGCCTACCTTCCAAAATTGATTCAGATGTCCTTTTATGTCAATTCCCACAGGGGAGTAATTTTTATTTATAACTTTATATTCGTCACAAAGGATAAAGTGAAAAGAAGCAAACAGATGCTCTAGATTGGTCAATATACTTTACATGTATGAAAATAACATACTAGCATGTGTGTTCTGTAATTGTTCATTCTGTCTTTTCTTCTGACACATGGTATGAGCATAATGTATGTGAACTCATTAAAATAAAAATAAGTATTGGTGAATTCCCTAATCAGGATGATGAAAGTTACTTTAGTAGGTTTCAAATTCTGGTGGTTCCTTTCATACTCCATATTGATCAGTACTCCATATTGATCAGATATAAGAAAAGCAGTTTATGTTGGAATTATGATGTTCACAGTTGTCATTCCCCAAATTAACATTATATAGAACATAAGCAAGAAAAGATGTTCTATGTAAGAAGGATTTGGTACTCAAATATGCTTTGCAAAATTAACCCTATCTTGGAGATACACAACAAATAATAGTGTATCATAGGCTTTTAAACAAAATTGCTTAAATTTTTAAAACTGTAGCTTCTAAAATATATTTGATCACAATTCTGTAGTTGGTGTTGATATTGTTTCTTTTTTCTTTTTTTAAAATGTTGGCCAGACTACTCTGAAACTCCTGATCTCAAGTGATCTGCCCATCTCGGCCTCCCAAAGTGCTGGGATTACAGGCATGAGCCACCATGCTTGGCCGATATTTTTTTTTCTTCTCATGTTTCTTTAACATCTTGTGATTTTTATTTTAGGAAGTGTAATTCTATGCATTTCTTTAAATATAAATGTCCTTCTCAAATGTGTTCTGTCTGTAGTGTATACATGTATGTGTGTGTGTATATAAATGTGTGTGTGTAGACAGGATGTGTTTAGTCCTCTCAAGAAAAGAAAAAATAATATATTTTAGCATGAAATCTCTTCCCCATTTTTCAAAAATTTATTTTCCATATTCCCCTTGTAGCTTTCTTTATCAATTATACTTTAACTGCAATATCTCAGGTTGAAGTGTCCTTTGGCATCCAGTAATGCATCCAAAAGGTTCTGGTGTTAAACTATTTCTTTCTAACAAGTCAGTTACTTCTGTTTAATGTCACTGTTCCAAATAAAACTTTAAAATGCTGTTCACTGCAGTTCATGATATGTCCATATCTGCTGGAGTTTGAGACCCTTCATCAGCTTACCCTACCTTATCTATAATCTTATTTCCCATTGGTCTCCAATGAATGTACTCTAAATTATATGGGTATGAGTGATGAAGCAGCACCACCACCAAGAACTATTTCTAAAATGAAAAGATAGTAGTCTTAAATGAAGGAGTTATGATATCCATGTTTCTACCCAATATGGTTAAATTTTCACCTCAGATTCCAATTACAAAGTAACACTTATCACCAAGAGGAGTAAAATATTGTCTATACACCCAGAGCTGCAGAGAATACGGAAGGTGAGATAGAACAGGCAGAGATAAACTCCCATTAAAGCAGAAAGGGAATATTGTCTCAAGTTTACATATAAAGGTGGCCGACTTCTCCCACCTTCCCCCAGAATTCCTTGAACTAACTCTACCTAACATGTTTAACACTAAGTACAGTCTGAGACTAAAAATTCCACTTTTTTTATTTTTTAGAAGAAATTGTGTTGGACAAATAAAAGCAAAAATTAAAAAAATTAAAAAGGAAATTAGTACATAAATCTGTTGAGGAATAATCTCAAAAATTTTTCATGGCTAAGGAGTTTTACAATTTTATATTTTTATTGTAAGTTTAAATTCAGATTAAGCCATTTTTTCCCAGTACCTAGTGTACATATACAGTAGTCCTCCCTTATTTGCAGTTCCACTTCCCATGATTTCAGTTACCCACAGTCAACCGTGGTTTGAAAATGTTAAATGAAATATTTTAGATTAATCACAAGTTTTAAATTGGCCACGATTCTAGGTAGCATAATGAAATATCATTCCATTCCACTCCATATCACCCAGGATGTGATCCTCCATTTGTGCAGTGTATCCATGCTGTATATAGGACCCGCCCATTAGTCACTTAGAACCCATCTCAATGATCAGATCCACTGTCATAGTATCACAGTACTTGTGTCCACATCACCCTTATTTTACGTTGTAATGGCCCCAAAGTGCAAGAGTATTGTTTGTAATTTGTAAATTAAACTTTATCACAGGCATGATATTGCTAAAATCTTACCTATGATAAAGGTATTGTTAAGATATTGTTTAAAAAAATACACAATACATGTATATAGCAATGATCCTCCATTTTTAATGGGGTTATGTCCTTATAACCCCATCCTAAGTAAAATGTTGTGTCAAAAATGCTTCTAATGCTCAACATCACTAATCATTAGAAAAATGCAAACCAGAAGCACAGTGAGATGCCATTCCACACTAGTCAGAATGTCTTTCATTAAAAAGTCAAAAAATAACAGATGATGACAAGGTTGTGTGGAGAAAAGCTCATGCTTATACACTGCTGGTGGGAATGTAAGTTAGGTCAGCAATTGTGGAAAGCAGTGTGGCATTTCCTCAAAGAACTTAAAATAGAATTGCTGTTTAACCCAGCAGTGCCATTATTGGGTATATACCCCCCAAATTTTAAATTATTCTAACACATGGACACTTGTACATGTATGTTTATCATAGCACTTTTCACAATATCAAAGACATCAAATCAACCTAAATGCCCATCAGCGGTAGACTGGATAAAGAAAATGTGGTACATACACAACATGGAATACTACTTGAACATAAAAAATAACAAGATCATTTCTTTTACAGCAACATGGATGGAACTGAAGGCCATTATCCTAAACAAACTAATGCAGGAAGAGAAAACCAAATACCACATGTTTTCATGTATAAATGGAAGCTAAACAATGAGAACACATGAACATAAAGAGGCAAACAACAGACATCAAGTCCTACTTGAGAGTGGTGGATGGGAGGAGGGGAAAGATAAAAAAAACTACCTATGGGATACTATGCTTATTACCCTAGTGGTAAATAATATGTCCAAAAAGCCCATGTGACATGCAGTTTACCTATATAACGAACCCGCACATGTACCCCTGAACCTAAAATAAAAGACTTAAAAAATTTAAAAAATGCATTTTGTACTCCAATAAACCCATCATAAAGTTGTAAAATTATAAGTTAAACCATCATAACTTCAGATACTTCTAGATTTACAATGGGATTACATCTCAAAAAACCAATCATACAGTTAAAAATTTTAAGTTGAATCATCATTAGATGGGGACCATCTTTATAGGGTGTAGTACTGTTTGTGGTTTTAGGCATCCACTGGGGGACTTGGGACATATGCCCTGAAGTTAAGGAGAATTACTATATGTGTGTTTGTGTATTCATTTTAAGATTTCACTTGAAATGTATAAATATGCTCTAATTTACATACTTTCCATACACACACACACACAGAGAAAGAGAGAGAGACTGGTGAAGTCGTTTTTAATATATAGCTTTATCACTTGTATTAATCAGGGTTCTCCAGAGAAACAGAGAGAGATTGAGAAAAGCTGGAGTCCCAAGACAGCCAGTCCAAATCCAAAGGCCTGAGAGCCAGGAGAGCTGACAACATAAGTTCCAGTACAAAAACCAGCATGCGTGAGACCCAAGAAGAATCAACGTTTCAGTACATGTCTTGAGACTGAAAAGTCCATAACCCAGATCAAGGCAATCATGCAGGAGGAGTTCCTTCTTAACTCAGCCTTTTGTTCTATTCATGAAGTCAGTTGATTGGATGAGCCCACCTATGCTGAGAGCAGTGTACTTTACTCAGTCTCTGCATTCATGTGTTAATCTCATGCAGAGCACTGTCAGACACACCCAGAATATATGGTCATGAATAGGGGCACCTTGTGGCCCCGTCAAGTTGACACATAAAGGGAACCAGAACATCACCTTTGTAATATATAGAGTAAAATAACTCTTCAGAATCTCATTATAAACAGGTTACAGGGTGCACTACTCTTGAATAAGGAAGGTAGGATTCTGAGGGCAACGTCAGGTAAGCAGCATCCTTGGAGAATGCCACTGATACCATATGGTGGTCCCAGGAATACTGAAAAGGTGAGTAGAGGAGAAAGAAGAGGCAAGAATTCCATCCTTCTCCACTTAACATCCCTGCCTCTTAGAAGAGAGCCTGAGCACAGTGCTTCCTTAGCATATGCTTTCTAAATGAATGAATGTGTCAACCATTAAGTGAATAAATAAATGATGGTAAAATTATATGAGTAAATATATAAAGTAAAAAGTTGTGACTATCAAATTGGCCAAGCACCTTTTATGTCTTCACTAGAGTATTCCGTCTTCCTGTGTTTTTTGTTGCGGTTATGGATGAACTTAAATTACCCTAACAAGATAATTGAATATTTATTCTTTTTAAATATTTCCATTATAAATTCAGGGAGATAATTATATACCTGTATTCGATGCCATATTGCTAATTTTCATATTGAGGACTTTATTAGGGTCAAACTAGAGTGAGTAAATTATTCACTAGCTGATGTAGATTTCAAGTTAAAACATTAGTTATTATGCATGTTAAAATTATGAATAATATTCACAGGTAACCTTACTTCTTTAAAGGGTTATTCTTAGTTTGCTTCTTTCAAGTCTTGGTTTGATAAAATGGTAATGAGGCATTTGACAGGCAAAATGAATGTTTGCCACAATGTAATACTTAAAGCAATTACCCAAAATTAGTCACTGTTCCATTTTCTCCTCAAAGGTACATGAAGATTTTCCTAGTTGTCTGGTTCATGTCACTCTTTGGGTTTGATGAAAGTTGGTTTATTTTAAAATATCTGCATCACTAATTCTATAGCTCATATGTATAGCTCTGTATTGCTAGTAAATTAGTGTCTTCTTTTCATCTTTTAAAGAAATAAATTAATCTTCTTGTAAAAATATATATTTTAGATGCTATTATATAACATAATTAGTAATTATAATACATAATTAGTAATTAGAATAGCATAATTAGTAATTATAATAGCTTAATTACTAATTATGTTATATAATAGCTCCTACGAGGCACTCAGCTCTTTTCTGGACTCAAGGAGTACTATGGAAAAATGAAATTCTAACACCGATGGCATGAGCTGTCAGGCCAGCATCCTATAGCGTCTCAATTTGTCTAGTCATAGATAATGTAAGGTGAGATTCTGAATGGATCGAAAACAATTGTACTATTACATCTCAATATATTTATAAGTTCCTTAGAGGAAAATGTTCCCGTGAGGAAATACTATATCACATTCCCTAGTAGAAGTTTTTCCTTAAAATAGGTTCTTATGCTATTGTATCCAAAGGTACAACTTGTCACATGCTGCTAATCTGAGTTTCTAAGGAGGAAAATGTCAATACTTGTGAGTGTGTATGTGCAGGGACAGGAGGCAGGGAGGCTGCATATAATCCTGCTCATCAAGCAGGGTGGGAACCAAGCATCTTAAAACTTTCATGAGGAAGAATGACTTGCTGCCATGGTATCACTGGGGTAAGGCGAATGGAATTGTGTACAGTAAATTCTGCATTTAGATAGAGTGGGAACATCTTTCTGACTCTGCAATATCTAAGTGGCATATGTCTGGGTTTTTGCCATTGATCATCTTCCACCTATGTCAGGCTCGCTGGGTGAAAGCTTGGGATTGATAGTGCTGGAATTTTGGAGACTTAATTGGGAAACTAATGGGAAATCACACGAAGATAAATCCTAATCTTGACATTAAAACAGATGGGCAGTCAGGACTACGAGGTAGGGAATAGCAAAGGTCCTGGCACACACCAGGGAGTAAAACAGAGACATCAGCTATTTCCAAACAGCAACACAGAAGATGCTAGCAAGTGGCCTAAATGAATACTTTTTAAATTACTTAAGGTGCGCTTAGGTGCTTATTTGTGTTCTTTTTATGCAATAACACACAGTTACCTTAAAAACGCAGGAGAGTCTTTTAAATGTCTAGCGAGAGAATCCGTAATAACAAGAGATTCCATAAATCCCATAGATCCGTTAAAAAAAGAAAGACAATTGTGGTGCGATATGCAAAGATTGCATGAGAAATACACATTGGAACCTAAACTAGTCAAATGAATTGCAGGTAAATAGGTTTGTGTATTATAAACCTATACTTAAATGTAATAAAATTTACATATGATTCTGTTCTTTTAAATAAAAATATTTCAACTTAACCAAGAAACCTGGTAAGAAACACGGCCATTGGGTACGTGTGTATAACACATGACTTTTGGAAAACAGAAAACTGAGGTTTACATGTGGGTCGGTAAGCTTGTTGGTATGTATAGAGTGCACTCTATGCACCAAAGTGGAGGTCATTCTACTCTAATTCAGTTACAGTATTACCTTTTTGACTTCATTAAAAGCAGTCTTGGAGATCTATATTCTGTAAAGTATTAAGACCAACTAATGAATCATCTTTAGTTCTGTAAAATCTCATAAAGGTAAATAAGCAGCAAACTATGAGGATAATTTGAAAGATGCCGTGAAGCAACCCCTGTTCAAACCGTTTTCTGTTTTAGTGCCTGCATTTTTTTTAAGAAAACATTTATTTATTTATGCCTTGAATAATTTTTAAATTAATAACAGACCAACCATTACCCACTATCAATTTTGAGAGCTTAATACTGAAAACAACAGGAGCCCAAAAGGAGACGGCACAAGCAAGAGAGTTCAGACTAGATGAAAGAGAGGACTGCTTGACTGCAAAGGGAACTTTCGCTAATGTTTAAATTGGTGTCAGGTCTGGCTCTTAGGCAGAGCTAGTTAGGTATAAAACTGGGAGTGGTAGAATACGAAACAGGGGAGCATATTACTCTTGTTCTTTTGAATAACCTTGGCTGATTTCCTATCTCCAGTCCTGAGAGTGTGGCTCATGGATTTGACATGTAATTATATTATATTTAACTCCTTTGTGGTGCTGCTTTTTGAATTGTCTCGCCACATTGATCTCTCTGTCATTTGGTTTTTTACAATTTTCATTTGCAAAGCAAGAAATGGGCAAGTTCAGCTTTGGGACTTTTTTGCCTTTTTAATGAAGCCTGATCTAAATCTGAATTTCAAATTTTTTTCATCAAACTGATTTTCAAATATATTATTCTTCATTATATTTGATGATGCTTAAAAATGTAATGACCCAATATTATGTGAAACCCATTATATTAGAGGTTAGCGATGACATTCAGAATAAGTTTAGTTCAAAAACTCATAAGAAAGCTAGTTTTTAAATAATTTATATTCCCTCTTTTTCCTTCCTAGATTACTTAAAGAAAACAGATTTTTTGTTGTCTTATTGTTGTTATTCCTGTCCTTACTGCCCAGATCAAGAGCTCGTTATATTTTTAATAAATCTTTGTAATAGTTTCATATTTGGTTTATAAACAAATGAAGCACTACCTTGTACAATTGTAACAGTAAACTACCACTTTCTATATCATGTCTATCATTACTTAGCATAAAGTATTAGAAACAAAACAGTGATTTGGGGAATGAAAGACAATATTTTAATTTCCAGATCTACTACTTTCTTGTACTTAGACAAATTATTTAACTTGACAAATCATTTTATTTAACAGAGTTTTGTTTTTCAACGTATAAAATGAGAAACAGAATAAGTATCTTCCAGGATTGTAGTGAGGATTAAATGAGATTACATATAAAGAGTCTGATAGATGGAAATGCTATTTGCCAACAAATATATCAACTGTTATGCAAATTTATTAGTGATCATGGAAAAGCATATGAAATATAAATTAAAAACAAATGTCACAGGGTAGTACAAATAAAAGAACTATACAAATGAAGGAAGAATATCAGCCTGGGTCTAATAAGAAGAGAGAAACCCAAGAAATTTAAATCATAAAATATTAAAATAAAGAATTTTAAGCTATAACAGGGAATTGGAGGGATGCAATATGATCTAATAAGAAGTAAAGAGAACTTTTTTAAAAAAGCTGTCACTACCTGTAGGGCTGGAGAATGCAGCCATGTTAGAACCACCCCCCATGAACAGGCCTTGTTGGGAAGCAGATGGTAGGTCATAGCCTCTGAACGCAGAGAAGTCACTGTGGTGCCACGCACAGAACTTTCTCGAAATCTACAATTCAGGACTTGATAGGAATCTGCCTTCTAATTTGTAAGTTAAAATTGTACTTACAAAAGAGACTGTATACTACAAAACTGCCTGGGAGTAGGGAGGTGTCAGGGGAAGCAGAAAGCCACTTGTGTTTCTGTTGACTTCCATGAACTTCTGCTGATTAATGAAGAAGCTGTGTCTGCTGCAGAAACCAGGAAACAAAACCCTTTCTTCTTGCAGTGTCTCTCCAGTAACCCCTATTGACAAAGATTAGCACTGTGCCAGCTGACAAAGAAAAATAGTAAAAGGCCCAGATCTATTTTCACAGAACAGAAAAAAGGATGAATATAAAACTAAAGGCAAGGAATCAATAACTGGCTGACTGAGTAACATCACATTGAGTAAAATAATAAAATAATTAATGATAACTTAGAGATAAATAACTATAGTCAGTTTCATTTATATAAATGTAAACAGCCCAAAGAACAAAACAAATACATACATATATGGTAAAAATGAAAAAGAAAAACAGACACAAAATTTTAGTTTCTGAGAGAAAGGATATATGTGAAGACATACAACCTCTAAGGGGCTTCCAAGTTATTAATCACAATTTTTTCCTTAAGTTAGCTGGTGGATGAAGAAGCATTCACATATTTATGATTCTTCATAATTATATAACTATATATGAGTGTGTGTATATATAGGTACATATAAACCTATATGGCTTTAAGCTATATAAATATAGCTGATAGCTTTGAAAATCTCCATATATTTTGTATACATATTTTTAAACACATTTATACGTGTTATATACATTTAGAATGTAATTATTATTCAATAACATGCTCATCACATTATAGGAACATGATAACTGCTTTTTCCTTTCTCTTTTCTATATTTCTCACTGACTCTAAGCCCTTTCCCAGGAACACAGACAAGTAGAACCTGTGTATTATGTGTGCTGGGCACATTGATGGGCTCATGCCTTCTCTTCATGATCACATCATAATAATCACCTTTATTATAACTGGGACAACAACCTTTGTTAATTTGTGTACTATTAATCATTTGGTGGCCTATTATTTGCTAGACATTGTCTCACAAAGTTCATGTTTACAATATATTCAATATGCAAAATTAAAATATGGTAGCAATAGATATTTTCATTTTGTAGGGACAGAAATTGAATAACTGAGGTAAAAATGAAACCACTCCACACCAGAGTTAATAAATATCTAGAAGCATTTTCTTTAAAAGAAAAGAAAAACAGTCTAGTTAATAAAACCTTTGTGCTTTTTTTATCCCTCTTACTATGGTTATGCGATTTTTCAGGATCTAGTCAATTTCAAATCATCAACAGGTCTTTTCTGCGGCTTCCATCCCACTTTTTCGTCTCGTCTCTTGAGTGCCACAGTAGCTATTGCCAATGCCACACAATATAACCCCCGATTCTCTCGTGTGAGTAACATTCAGCTCTGCTTCGATATTAGAAACTCAAATAAGAAATATGGCTGCTTTTTATATTTAGTCCCTATCATCCGTACCTCATTTAAACTAGGCAGCTCTCGTATGTTTTAATAATTATTAGTAAGATATGATGGTATTGATTTCTTGACTGAAGATGTAGGATAAGTCTCTTTTTATCTACTTTGTTTTTGGATAATAAAAACATAATACTGAGAAGACCAAGATAATGGAAAAAGAAATATCAACAGATAAGAGATTCCAGGAGACAGACCGAGACTCCATCTCAGAAAAAAAAAAAAAAAAAAGAGATTCCAGGAAAAGTTAGGAGACCAGAAACTACATGGGGATATGGCACCTCTGTAGTGGAAGTTGCCCCACAAGAGAGTGGAAAAGAAATGATGATGAGAAGTGAACTGATTTGCCTTGTAAAACCCAAGGGAGTCAGAAGATACATTGGCACGAATCAAGAAGAGGTCATAAGGAAAGCATATATCACAGCACACATTTAGGTGAATATAGTTTGAAAGTGGATATATGAGAAATTTTGACTCTCTTTTTTTCCTTCTCATTGAGAAAAACACTCAAATGCAAGCACCTACCTTCAAGGCAGAACAACAAATAGTTCTTTCCTAGAAAAAGTGATCTGTGGTGCTGTGGATTCAGGACACCAGGTATAGTGAAGGGCAGAAGTGAGATGTGGGAATTAAAGATGAAAGTGAATTGCAGTTGGCAAATAGATAAAATGAACACAAAACAGAGTTCATAACCTGGTTTTCACATTGTCTCAGCTGTTGTCTTCTTTTTTCCTTGAAGAAAAGTTTCAGTCAATGCTTCTCTGGAAACTCTAACACTGTGAGAGGAAAGACCTTTACATACCAGCAGTTTTTCTAGTGAAAAGAACAGCAATCAGACAAAAGAAACAAGTGAGAGTCGACCTAATTGCCCATGAAGGGATAAGTAGTGTATATACACAATGGAGTAATAGCCTTAAAAAAAAAAAAAAAGAAGGAAATTATGTCATTTGGGACAACATGGTTGAACCAGAAATACATTACACTTAAGAAAATAAGCCAGGGTGGGTAGAACCTAAAAAAATTGAAATAATGGAATCAGAAGGTAGAATAGTAGTTACCAGAGGCTTGGGGTCGAGAAAGGAGATTGGAGAGATATTGGTCAGCGGATACAAAATTTCAGTTAGATAGGAGAAATAAATTAAAGAGCTCTGTTGTACATCATGGCAACTATAGTTAATAGCAATCTATTGTATTTTGAAAACCTCTAAGAGAGAAGATTTTAAATATTCTCACCACAAAAAAATGGTAAATATGTGAGATAATGCAAATTTTTTTTTCATTTTTGTTGTGTTTATTTTATATATATATTTTTTATTATACTCTAAGTTCTAGGGTACATGTGCACAACGTGCGGGTTTGTTACATATGTATACATGTGCCATGTTGGTGTGCTACACCCATTAACTCGTCATTTACATTAGGTATATCTCCTAATGCTATCCCTCCCCCTCCCCCTACCCCAATAATGCAAATGCTAATTAGCTCAAGTTAGCCATCTCACAATGTATGCATACTTCAAAACATTATGTTGTACACCATAAAACATATAATTTTTATTTTTCAATTAACTCTTTTCAGAATAAAAATAAAAAATAAACAGAAATGACATACAGAAATGAAAACTGATGGGATTGGGATGACTTCTTAAATATAAATGTATCAGGCTCACAAATGTTATGATATTGCATCATTAAAACAAAACATTTATACCAGTCACCAAAAATAGAAAGCATTAAGAAAATGAAAAAAATCTAAGTATTTTAGTAACCAAACTAAAAACATGATGGCAAAATAAAATGTTTAAATTAGAAGTGGAGTATAAAGTCAACAAAATAAACAAGAAAGTATAATAAAAATGTCCAGAAAAGAAAAAATATTCAAAAAAAATCTTAAAGAATTAATCCTAACATTACACTATTCAAATAAATATCTGACATTAGGGATTATAGAAAATAAGGGATAGATAATAGCTAATGAATTGGATGTTTTTCTTTTTCTTTTTTGAGACAGAGTTTCACTGTGTTGCCCAGGCTGGAGTGCAGGGTGTGATCTCAGCTCACTGTAATCTCTGCCTCCTGGGTTCATGTGGTTCTCCCATCTCAGCTTCCTGAGTAACTGGGACTACAGGCATGTGCCACAACGTTTGGATAATTTTTCTCACTTTTTTTTTTTTTTTTTGGTAGAGACAGAGTTTCACCATGTTGTCCAAGCTGGTCTCAAACTCCTAACCTCAAGTGATCCACCCACCTTGGCCTCCCAAAGTGCTGGAATTATAGGCATAAGCCACCAAGCCCAGCCACGCATTGGATTTTTCAAAGATGATCACAATATCTCCTTTCCTTCATGCTCTTCTACAACATGAACTAGACACTCTCCCCACTCTGAGGTAAGATCTATTTTCCTCCCCTTGCATCTAGGTGGGCTTGTGACGTGCTAACAACTAATGGACTTTGGCAGAAGTGATACAATGGATCAGAACTACTGTTATCAATTAAAAGCTTCTTCATAAATCTGATTCAACATCCATTGCACATAAAGAAGATGGCAGATAGGAGGTAGGAATAGCTTGCAGCTCTAGCTCAGATGAACGGAGCAGTGTGTGGAGACTCACATGATGAAGTTTTGCTCCAGAACTACTGCAAGAATATATCAGAAAAGCCAAGAGAATCTGCAGACCCTCTGAAGGAAGCAGATTGCTCCTACAGGACCTGGGAGACAGTCCAAATACTGTAAGTGCCCAAGCTGTGACAGTGGGAAAGGGGGATCGTCCATCCCCAAACACACACTCTTGCTGGGGAACCTGAAGGTCTAGATCAAGGGAAAAGAATTTGACCTTAACCGGAGCTGAGTCAATTTTAAGAGCTGAGCAAAATACAGAGAAAAAGCAGCAAGAAAAGCCCTGTGGGCTCTCTGGGTCCCTAGGGAGCCACTTCTGAATTGTCTCACAGGAGGCCTTGGGGAGGACTGCTAGAGGAACTGGGAAAAGACCACAGGGAAAAGAAACCTCCAGCTGAACTTTGTAACGATTCCAACCGAATGCAAAGTCTCCTGGCCAGAACTTAGGGGACGACATGAATCTGGTGTGCAGACTCAACAGGCAGGGAGGCGTGAAAGTCCTGCTTGTTTTCTCAGCTGGGAGGCTGGTAGCCTGGGACAAGTTCCAGGCCTGCTCGCCAACTGCTAGGAAACAAATTTGGTGCTGTTCGTGGTGTGGGGGCATGGTGGGAGTCAGATCAGCCTTTTCATATGTGTGGGAGTTAAGTGAAGCCTGTAACTGCTGGCTTTTTTCTACTTCCCTGACAACCTACATGGCACAACAGAGGCAGCCATAATTCTCCTGGGAACATAACTTCAGGGACCTGGAAACCATACCCCTATCTCTCACAGCAGCCGCAGCAAGCCCTGCCCAAGGAGAGTCTGAGCTCAGACATGCCTAACCCTGCCCTCACCTGATGATCCTTTCCTACCCACCCTGGTAGCTGAAGACAAAGGGAATATTCTCTTGGAAGTTCTAGGGCCTTGCCCATTACCTGATCCTTCCTGTACTACCTCAGCTGATGCTGTCTTGAAAGCACCACCTCCTGGCAGGAGGCCAGCCAGCATGAAAATAGTGCATTAAACAACCAAAACTAAGGACCCTCACAGAGTCCATTTTACTCCTCTGCCACCTCCACTGGATCAGGTGCTGGTATCCACGGCACAGAGTCCTAAAGATGGTTCACATCACAGGACTCTGTGCAGACAACTTCCGGTACAAGCCCAGAGCCTGGTAGCCCTGCTGGGTGACTAGATTCAGAAGAGAAATAACAATCACTACAGTTCAGCTCTCAGGAAGCCACATTCCCAGGAAAAGGCAGAGAGTACTACATCAAGAAAACATCCCACGGGACAAAGGAATCTGAACATCAGCCTTGAGCCCCAGATCTTCCCTCTGACATAGCCTACAAAAATGAGAAAGAACCAGAATAACAATTCTGGTAATACGAAAAACCAGGTTCTTTAACACACCTAAAAAAAATCACACTAGCTTACCAGCAATAGATCTAAACCAAGAAGAAAACTCTGATTTACCTGAAAAAGAATTCAGAAGGTTAATTATTTAGCCAATCAAAGAAGCATCAAAAAAAGGTAAAGTCCAATATAAGGAAATTAAAAAAAAAAGATACAAGATATGAGGGGAAAAATCTTCAGTGAAATAGACACCATAATAAAAAACGATCACAACTTTAGGAAATAAAGGATAGAGTTGGAGAAATGCAAAATATTCTGGAAAGTCTCAGCAATAAAATCAAACAAGCAGAAGAAAGGACTTCAGAGCTCAAACACAAGGTTTTTGAATTAACACGATCCAATGAAGACAAAGATAAAAGGATTTTAAAATATGAACAAAGCCTCCAAGAAGTACAGGATTTTGTTAAAAGACCAAACTTAAGAATAATAGATGTTCCTGAGAAAGAAGCGTAATCTAAAAGTTTGGAAAATATATTTGAGGGAATAATTGAGGAAAACATCTCCAGCCTTGCTAGAAACCTAGACATCCAAACACAAGAAGCTCAAAAAAACCTATGGGATTCATCGCAAAAAAGATCATCACCTAACCACTTTGTCATCAGGTTATCCAAAGTCGAGATGAAGAAAAGGATCTAAAGAGCTATGCAGCAAAAGCACCAGATAACCCATAAAAGGAAACCTATCAAATTAACAGCAGATTTCTCAGCAGAAACTCTACAAGCTAGAAAGGATTGGTACCCTATCTTCAGCTTCCTTAAACAAAAAGATTATCAGCCAAGAATTTTGTACCCAGTGAAACTAAGCATCATAAATGAAGGAAAGATAAAGTCTTTTTTAGACAAAAGAATGCTGAGAGAATTCACCACTACCAAACCTGCATTGCAAGAACTGCTAAAAGGAGCTCTAAATCTTGAAATAAATCCTAGAAACACATTAAATAGAATCTCTTTAAAGTATAAATATCCAGGACCTATAAAACAAACATACAATAAAAAAAGATATAAAGGCATCAAATAGCATGATGAATGAAATACAATAGTACCTTACATCTCATTACTAACATTGAATGTAAATGGCCTAAATGCTCCACTTAAAATATGCAGAATGAAGAAAGGATGAGAATGCACCAACGAAGTATCTTCTGCCCTCAAGAGACTCACCAAACACATAAAGACTCACATAAACTTAAGGTAAAGGAGTGGAAAAAGACATTCCATGCAAATGGACAACAAAAGTGAACAGGAGTAGCTATTCTTACATCAGATAAAACAAACTTTAGAGCAACACCAGTTAAAAAAGAGAAAGAGGGACATTACATAATAATAAAAGGCCTTGTCAAACAGGAAAATATCACAATCCTAAATATATATGCACCTAACACTGGAGCTCCCAAATTTATAAAACAATCACTACTAGACCTAAGAAATGAGATAGACAGCAATACAATAATAGTGGGGGGCTTCAATACTCCACTGACAAACTAGACAGGTCATCAAGACAGAAAGCCAACAACAACAAAAATAATGGATTTAAACTATAACCTGGAAGAAATGGACTTAATAGATATTTACAGAATATTCTATTCAACCACCACAGAAAATACATTCTATTTGCCAGTGTGTAGAACTTTTTCCAAGATAGACCATATGATAGACCACAAAACAAGTCTTAGTAAATTTAAGAAAACTGAAATGATATTATAAACAGAACCAAAGACAAAAACCACATGATTATCTCAATAGATGCAGAAAAGGCCTTTGACAAAATTCAACAGCCCTTCATGCTAAAAACTCTCAATAAATTAGGTATTGATGGAACGTATCTCAAAATAATAAGAGCTATTTATGAAAAACCCACAGCCAATATCATAGTGAATGGGCAAAAACTGGAAGCATTCCCTTTGAAAACTGGCACAAGACAGGGATGCCCTCTCTCACCACTCATATTCAATATAGTGTTGGAAGTTCTGGCCAGGGCAATCAGGCAGGAGAAAGAAATAAAGGGTATGCAATTAGGAAAAGAGGAAGTCAAATTGTCCCTGTTTGCAGATGACATGATTGTATATTTAGAAATCCCCATCGTCTCAGCCCAAAATCTCCTCAAGCTGATAAGCAACTTCAGCAAAGTCTCAGGATACAAAATCAATGAGCAAATATCACAAGCATTCTTATACACCAATAACAGACAAACAGAGAGCAAAATCACGAGTGAACTCCCATTCACAATTACTTCAAAGAGAATAAAATACCTAGGAATCCAACTTACAAGGGATGTGAAGGACCTCTTCAAGGAGAACTACTAACCACTGCTCAATGAAATAAAAGAGGACACAATCAAATGGAAGAACATTCCAGGCTCATGGACAGTAAAAATCAATATCGTGAAAATGGCCATACTGCCCAAGGTAATTTATAGATTTAATGCCATCCCCATCAAGCTACCAATGACTTTCTTCACAGAATTGGAAAAAACTACTTTAAAGTTCATATGGAACCAAAAAAGATCCTGCATTGCCAAGACAATCCTAAGCAAAAAGAACAAAGCTTGAGGCATCATGCTACCTGACCTCAAACTCTACTACAATGCTACAGTAATCAAAACAGCATGGTACTGGTACCAAAACAGAGGTACAGCCTAATGGAACAGAACAGAGCCCTCAGAAATAATACCACACATCTACAACTATCTGATCTTTGACAAACCTGACAAAAATCAGAAATGGGGAAAGGTTTCTCTATTTAATAAATGGTGCTGGGAAAACTGGCTAGCCATATGTAGAAAGCTGAAACTGGATCCCTTCCTTACACCTTATACAAAAATTAATTCAAGATGGATTAAAGACTTAAATGTTAGACCTAAAACCAAAAAAACCCTAGAAGAAAACCTAGGCAATACCCTTCAGGACATAGGCATGGGAAAGGACTTCATGTCTAAAACACCAAAAGCAATGGCAACAAAAGCCAAAATTAACAAATGGGATCTAATTAAACTAAAGAGCTTCTGCACAGCAAAAGAAACTACCATCAGAGTGAACAGGCAACCTACAGAAGGGGAGAAAATTTTTGCAATCTACTCATCTGACAAAGGGCTAATATCCAGAATCTACAAAGAACTCAAACAAATTTACAAGAAAAAAACAAACAACCCCATCAAAAAGTGGGTGAAGGATATGAACAGACACTTCTCAAAAGAAGACATCTATGCAGCCAACAGACACATGAAAAAATGCTCATCATCACTGGCCATCAGAGAAATGCAAATCAAAACCACAATGAGCTATCGTCTCACACCAGATAGAATGGTGATCATTAAAAAGTCAGGAAACAATAGGTGCTGGAAAGGATGTGGAGAAATAGGAACACTTTTACACTGTTGGTGGGACTGCAAACTGGTTCAACAATTTTGGAAGACAGTGTGATGATTCCTCAAGGATCTAGAACTAGAAATAACATTTGACCCAGCCATCCCATTACTGGGTATATACCCAAAGGACTATAAACCATGCTGCTATAAAGACACATGCACACGTATGTTTATTGTGGCACTATTCACAATAGCAAAGACTTTGAACCAACCCAAATGTCCATCAATGATAGACTGGATTAAGAAAATGTGGCACATATATACCATGGAATACAGTGCAGCCATAAAAAATGATGAGTTCATGTCCTTTTTAGGGACATGGATGAAGCTGGAAACCATCATTCTCAGCAAACTATCGCAAGGAAAAAAACCAAACACCGCATGTTCTCACTCATAGGTGGGAATCGAACAATGAGAACATTTGGACACAGGAAGGGGAACATCACACACCGGGGCCTGTCGTGTGGTGTGGGGAGGGGGAAGGGATAGTATTAGGAGATATACCTAATGTAAATGACGAGTTAATGGGTGTAGCACACCCACATGGCACATGTATACATACGTAACAAACTTGCATGTTGTGCACATGTACCCTAGAACTTAAAGTATAATAATAAAAAAACATAAAAAAAGAAAATTGAAGTGATATCAAGTATTCTTTCAGACTTCAGTGGAATAAAATTGGAAATCAACACCAAAAGGAACCTTTAAAACCATGCAAATACATGGAAATTAAATAATCTGCTCCTGAACGATCATTGGGTTAACAATTAAATTAAGATGGAAATTTAAAAAGTCTTCAAACTGAATGATAATAATAACACAACCTATCAAAACCTCTGGGATATAGCAAAGGTGGGGCTAAGAGGGAAGTTCATAGCCCTAAATGCCTACATCAAAAAGTCTAAAAAGCAACAAAGAGACAATCTAAAGTCACACCTTAAGGAACTAGAAAAACAAAAACAAATCATGCCCAAACCCAGAAGAAGAAAGGAAATAACTGAGATCAAAACACAACTAAATGAAATTGAAACAAAGAAACAAAAAATACAAAGGATAAATTACACAAAAAGGTGGTTATTTGAAAACATAAATAGGGGCCAGGCGTAGTGGCTCACGCCTGTAATCCCAGCACTTTGGGAGGCCGAGGCGGGCGGATCATGAGGTCAGGAGATTGAGACCATCCTGGCTAACACGGTGAAACCCCCTCTCTACTAAAAATACAAAAAATTAGCCGAGCGTGGTGGCTATGTAGTCCCAGCTACCTGGGAGGCTGAGGCAGGAGAATGGTGTGAACCTGGGAGGCAGAGCTTGCAGTGAGCCGAGATCACTCCACTGCACTCCAGCCTGTGCAACAGAGCGAGACTCTTGTCTCAAAAAAAAAAAAAAAAAAAAAGAAAAGAAAGAAAACATAAATAAAATTGATAGACCATTAGCAAGATTACCCAAGAAAAGAAGAAAGAAGATCCAAATAAGCTCATTTAGCAACAAAACAGGAGATAATACAGCTGACTCCACAGAAAGGTAAAAGATCATTCAAGTCTACTGTGAACACCTTTATGTGATAAACTAGAAAAACTAGAGGAGATGGATAAATTCCTGGAAAGATACAACCCTCCTAGGTTACATCAGGAAGAATTAGAAACTCTGAACAGACCAATAACAAGCAGCGAGATTGAAATAGTAATAAAACAATTACCAACAAAAAAAGTCCAGGACTAGATGGATTCCTAGCTGAATTCTACCAGACATTCAAAGAAGAATTGGTACCAATCCTATTGACAGTATTCTACAAGATAAAGCAATAGGGAATCCTCCTTAAATCATTCTACAAAGCCAGTAACACCGAAACCTAATGCCAAAACCAGGAAAGGACATAACAAAGAAAGAATACTCCAGGCCAGGAATGGTGGCTCACACCTGTAATCCCAGCACCTTTGGAGGCCGAGGTGGGTGGATTATGAGGTCAGGAGTTCAAGACCAGCCTGACCAACATGGTGAAACCCTGTGTCTACTAAAAATACAAAAATTAGCTGGGCATGGTGGCACGTGCATGTAATCCCAGCTACTCAGGAGGCTGAGGCAGGAGAATCACTTGAACCCGTGAGGTGAAGGTTGCAGTGAGCCGAGATCACGTCATTGCACTCCAGTCTGGGCAACAGAGTGAGACTCTGTCATAAATAAATAAATAAATAAATAAATAAATAAACAAACAAACAAACAAACAAACAAACTACAGACCAATATCCCTGATGAATACAGATGCAAAAATCCTTAGCAAAATATTAGCTAACTATATCCAACAGCATATTAAAAAGATAATCCACCATGATCAAGTGGGTTTCATACCAGGTACTCATGGATGGTTTAACATGCACAAGTCAATAAATGTAGTACACCACATAAACAGAATCCAAAACAAAAATTACATAATCATCTCAATAGACACAGAAAATGCATTTGAAAAAAATCCAACATCCTTTTATAATTAAAACCCTCACCAAAATTGTCATACAAAGGACATATCTCAGTGTAATAAAAGCCATGTATGACAAACCCACAGCCGACATAATACTGAATTGGGAAAAGTTAAAAGCATTCCCTCTGAGAGATTGAACAAGACAAGGATGCTCACTCTCATCACTTCTATTCAACATAAGACTGGAAGTCCTTGCCAGAGCAATCAGACAAGAGAAAGAAATAAAGTGCATCCAAATAAGTAAGAAGGAAGTCAAACTGTCTCTATTTGCTGATGATATGACTGTATACATAGAAAACCCTAAAGACTCCCCAAAAAAGCTCCTGGAACTGATAAATGAATTCAGCCAAGTTTCATGATACATAATTAATGTACACACATCAGTAGCTCTGCTGTACAACAACAGCGATCAAGCTGAGAATAAAATAAAAAACTCAATCTCTTTTACAATAACTGCAAAAAATAAAATACTTAGGAATATATTTAACCAAGGAGGTGAAAGACATCTACGAAAAAATTTAAAAAACTACAAAACACTGCTGAAAGAAATAATAGATGATACAAACAAATGGAAACACACTCCGTGCTCCTGGATGGGTAGAATCAATATTGTGAAAATGACCATACTGCCAAATGCAATCTAGGAATTCAATGCAGTTCCCACCAAAATACCACCATCATTCTTCACAGAACTCGAAAAAACAATCCTAAAATTCATATAAAACCAAAAAAGAGCCCTCATGACAAAAGCAATACTAAGCAAACAGAGTAAATTTGGAGGGATCACATTACCTGATTTCAAACTATGCTATAAGGCCATAGTCACCAAAACATCATGGTACTAGTGTAAAAATAGACACATACATCAATGGAACAAAATAGAGAACCCAGAAATAAAGCCAAATATTCACAGCCAACTAAACTTTGACAAAGCAAACAAGAACATAAAGTGGGAAAGGACACCCTATTCAACTAATGATGCTGGCAAAATTGGCAAGCCACATGTAGGAGAATGAAACTGGATCCTTATCTCTCACCTTATTCAAAAATCAACTCAAGATGGAACAAGGACTTAAATCTAAGACCTGAAACTATGAAAATACTAGAAGGTAACATTGGAAAAACCTGTCTAGACATTGGCTTCAGCAAGGATTTCATGACCAAGAACCCCATCCCTACTAAAAATACAAAAATTAGCTGGGCACGGTGGCACGTGCCTGTAATACCAACTACTCAGGAGGCTGAGGCAGGAGAATCATTTGAACCCGGGAGGTGGAGGTTGCAGTGAGCCAAGATCATGCCACAGCACTCCAGCCTGGGCAACAAAACGAGACTCCATCTCAAAATAAATAAATAAAATAAAATAAAATAAAAGTTGATAATAAGTAAAGTAAATAACAAGTAAAACTTTCATAATAAAAATGTATGCAACTATTATTCTTCCTCTCCCAATTTCATTTTAAAATAACTTTTTAGTATATAATGGTTCAGTAAATAATACTAAATAATAATAATAATAATAGTAAAATAAGTCCTTTGGAGATTCAGAGTAGAATTTTGGTATCTTAGGATCAAGAGTGACTAATATAAAAAATTCACAGACCAACTACAAAGAGTTTTATTTCATTTACATGCAATCTGATTTAAATACTTTAAGAAGTATACATTTAGGCCAATATTCATGTTCCAAATATCTGGATGTCTGGAATCACATCGATCTAGCATTACTCAAATCATAAAAGCATTCATGGAAAAGTACATACATAAGGAATCATTAAGCAATCATTTTAGTATGGAATGAGTAGTACAATAATAGTTTTTACATGAGTATCTGATACTCTCTCTGTTCTCCCTGGAAACTCCTTGCTGGTGGAGTATTTCTGGTATGAGGGAAAATACATTACTTTCTGGTAATAAGCTGTAAGCAGTAAGGTCTTAATGAGTCATTTTCACAGAGAGACTAAAGATGAAGACTGAACATTTCAGGTTAGAGTTTTAGGTAAATGTTTAATCTATTTTTAATGTGGATCACTACTATAATTCATTGCTGGCTTTTTAAAATAACTCGTTTACTCTACAAACCTTTTCTTCTGTAGTTACAAGCATTTAAGCTTCAAGATGAAAAACCTGTCTTAGACTCATCTTGTTTAGGTCCCTGGCTTAACTAAACATGCAGAAAGACAGGCATAATTATCTTCATTTCTTCATTCCACCATTTCAACATGCATCATCTTTTCACTCGTACTTTTGGCATTCACACCCATCTATGTGCATAAGGATATTTTGTTTTGGGATATAGAGATTGTCAGGGCAGGTGGGGGGAGAATAAAATCAAACAAAAAACGTCCATGCCTTCAACTAGCTCATAATCACTGAAATTGATTTCTTGTGCCTCAATGAGAGTGTGATGAGGGAAGGGACACTGGAGTTAGCATGTAGCAGAGGGCAGGACAGTGTCTCAGGTGAAAATTAAAGAAAATGATATCTGAATGTGAATAAAATTTAGTTAAGTGTGAGGCAGACAGGAAGTAGGGAAGACTCCTGGTGAACAGAGGAGCAGACATAAAATAGTCTCCTGCACATGGAGGAACGTGAGCGATCCCACTGGTCCATCCACTGCACCAACCCACACCTGGCCACAAACAGAGCCCCTTTTAGACAACATTTTACAGTCTAAAATTGAAACTGTCATTCTAAATTACGAATTACATTATAAACACTAGTCCATGCTGAAGGATCCAAAAATGCCATCTAAGAGGGAGACTAGAATGAAAAACAAAACATGGAAGCGTGATGAAAAGTCCATCTGACCAAGGGCAGGATGTGTAAAGTCCTCAGAGAGATGGTCTGCTCTCTAGAGCCTGCGCGCAGATTAAACCAAAAGCTGAGCATGGGCATGGGATCATCAGTTAAGAAACAAGCAAGTAAGGTACTGAAAGCCTGCACCGAGTAATGAGATGCAGACCGGTGAGAAGTTGTAGCTTGCGCCCATGCTGGCAGGCCAGGTGGTATCTTCTTTTGATGTAGTGCTGCTTCTTTAAAATCTGAACAGTTTTTAAAGGACTATATTGGTGGTGACAGTAATAGAGAGGTGGCTATTTGACACATATTTCTGGATGTTAATGTGCCTAGTATAGTACCCTGCTCCAGAACAAACATGCCAAGATAGGTTGCTTTCTATGTTTTACCGTAACATAATTTTTGAAACCCTTCTCCCTCTCCCTCCAATATCACTTAATGTTCTTTTTAGTCAAGATATTAGCAAGCTGTGTTACACTTCAGATGCCAATTGAGGACAACAAGAAAATGTTTTCCCTGTTAAAGACCTTAAAGTGATTCTCTTTGTCTCTCTCTCATCTCTCTTTCTCCCTCTGCCCTTTTCTTCTTTTACTTCTACTTTTCCTCTCCTCCTCCTTTTTCCTCCTTCTCTCTTCCTCCTGTTTCTCCACTCCTTCTTCCTCTTCCTCTCCATACTCTTCATCTCCTCCTCCTTTTCTTCCTCCTCCTTCCTCCTCCCCATTCTCCTTCTTCATTCTCCTCCTCCCCCTCTTCTTCTCCTCCTCTTCCTCTTTCTCCTTATATTAGTCTGTTTTCATGCTGCTGATAAAGATATACCTGAGACTGGGTAATTTTTAAAGAAAAAGAGGTTTAACGGACTCATAGTTCCACGTGGCTGGGGAGGCCTCACAATCATGGCAGAAGGCGAAAGGCACATCTTACATTGCAGCAGGCAAGAGAAAATGGGAGCAAAGTGAAAAGGGTTTCCTCTTATAAAACCATCAGATCTCATGAGACTTATCCACTACCATGAGAAGAGTATGGGGAAAACTGTCCACATGATTCAATTATCTCCCACCAGGTCACTCCCACAACATATGGGAATTATGGGAGCAACAATTCAAGATGTGATTTGGGTCTGGCTGGCCAGATGGCCAAATAGGAACAGCTCCAGTCTGCAGATCGATGTAGAAGTTGGGTGGTTTCTGCATTTTCAACTGAGGTCCATGGTTCATCTCATTGGGATTGGTTGGACAGTGGATGCAGCCCACAGAGGGTGAGCTGAACAGAGTGAGGTGTTGCCTCACCCAGAAAGCACAAGGGATTGGGGGATTTCCCTCCCCTAGCCAAGGGAAGCTGTGAGGGACTAAGCCTGAGGAATGGTGCACTCCAGTCCAGATACTGCACTTTTCCCATGGTCTTTGCAACCTGCAGATCAGGAGATTCCCTCTGGTGCCTACGCCACCAGGGCCCTGCATTTCAAGCACAAAACTGGGTGGGCGTTTGGGCAGATACCGAGCTAGCTGAAGGAGTTTATTTTTCAAACCCCAGTGGCACATGGAATGCCAGTGAGACAGAATTGTTCACTCCCCTGGAAAGGGGGCTGAAGCCAGGGAGCCAAGTGGTCTGGCTCAGCGGGTCCCACCCCCACAGAGCCCCGCAGGCTAAAATCCACTGGCTTGAAATTCTTGCTGCCAGCACAGCAGTCTGAGGTCAACCTGGGACACTCGAGCTTGGTCAGGGGAGAGGCATCCACCATTGCCTAGGCTTGAGTAGGTGATTTTACCTTCACAGTGTAAACAAAGCTGCCAGGAAGTTTGAACTGGGCAGACCCCACCATAGCTCAGCAAGGCTGCTGTAGTCAGACTGCCTCTCTAGACTCCTCCTCTCTGGGCAGGGTATTTCTGAAAAAAAGGCAGCAGCCCCAGTCAGGGACTTATAGATAAAACCCCGATCTCCCTGGGACAGAGCACCTGGGGGAAGGGGAGGCTGTGGGTATGGCTTCAGCAGACTTAAACCTCCCTGCCTGATGGCTCTAAAGAGAACAGCGGATCTCCCAGCACAGCGTTCGAGTTCTGCTAAGGGTCAGACTGCCTCCTCAAGTGGGTCCCTGACATGCATGTCTCCTGACTGGGAGACACCTCCCAGTAGGGACAACAGACTCCTCATACAGAAGAGCACTGGCTGACATCTGGCGGATACCTCTCTGGGATGAAGTTTCCAGAGGAAGGAACAGGCAGCAATCTTTGCTGTTCTGCAGTCTCTACTTGTGATACCCAGGCAAAAAGGGTCTAGAGTGGACCTCCAGCAAACTCCAGCAGATCTGCAGCAGAGGGCCTGATTATTAGGAGGAAAACTAACAAACAGAAAGGAGGAACATCAATATCAACTAAAAGGAGGTCCACTCAGAGACCCCATCTGAAGGTAACCAACATCAATTACCAAAGGTAGATAAATCCATGAAGAAGGGGAGAAACCAGTGCAAAAAAGCTGAAAATTCCAAAAACCAGAATGCTTCTTCTCCTCCAAAGGATTGCAATTTCTCGCCAGCAAGGGAAAAAAGACTGGACAGAGAATGAGTTTCATGAATTGATAGAAGTAGGCTTCAGAAGGTGAGTAATTACAAACACCTTCTAGCTAAAGGAGCATGTTCTAACCCAACGCAAGGAAACTAAGAACCTTGAAAACAAGTTAGACAAATTGCTAATTAGAATAACCAGTTTAGAGCAGAACATAAATGACCTGATGAAGCTGAAAAACACAGCGTGAGAACTTCATAAAGCATACACAAGTATCAATAGCCGAATCAATCAAGTAGAAGGAAGGATATCAGAGATTGAAGATCAACTTAATGAAATAAAGCAAGAAGACAAGATTAGAGAAAAAAGAACGGAAAAAAAAAAAACCTCCAAGAAATATGGGACTATGTGAAAAGACCAAATCTACATTTGATTAGTGTACCTGGAAGTGACAGGGAGTTGGAAAACACTCTTCAGGATATTATCCAAGAGAACTTCCTCAAACTAGAAAGATAGGCCAACATTCATATTCAGTCATATTGGTATTTAAGAAATAAAAAGGCTGGGCGTGGTGGCTTACACCTGTAATCCCAGCACTCTGGGAGGCCAAGGTGGGCAGTTCACCTTAGGTGAGTAAGCATGACCACCATGGAGAAAACCCGTCTCTACTAAAAAATGCAAAATTAGCCAGGCATGGTGGCACATGCCTGTGATCCCAGCTACTCAGGAGGCTGAGGCAGGAGAATTGTTTGAACCCAGGAAGCAGAGGTTGTGGTGAGCCAAGATCGCACCGTTGCACTCCAGCCTGGGCAACAAGGGAGAAACTCCATCTCAAAAAAAAAAAAAAAAAAAAACAGAGAACATCACAAAAATACTCCTCTAGAAGAGCAACCTCAAGACACATAATTGTCAGATTCACCAAGGTTAAAATGAAGGAAAATATGTTAAGGGTAGCCAGAGAGAATGGTCGGGATATCCACAAAGGGAAGCCCATCAGACTAACAGACTAACAGCAGATCTCTTGGCAGAAACCCTACAAGCCAGAAGAGAGTGGGGGCCAATATTCAACATTCTTAAAGAAAAGAATTTTCAACCCAGAATTTCACATCCAGCCAAACTAAGCTTCATAAACAGCGGAGAAATAAAATCCTTTACAGACAAGCAAATTCTGAGAGATTTTGTCACCACCAGTCCTGCCTTACAAGAGCTCCTGAAGGAAGCACTAAACATGGAAAGGAACAGCCGATACCAGTCACTGCAAAAACATACCAAATTGTAAAAAGCACCAGCACTATGAAGAAACTGCATTAACTAACAGGCAAAATATCCAGCTAACATCATAATGACAGGATCAAATTCGCACTTAAAAATATTAACCTTAAATGTAAACAGGCTAAATGCCCCAATTAAAAGACACAGACTGGCAAATTGGATAAGGAGTCAAGACCCATCCATGTGCTGTATTCAGGAGACCCATCTCATGTACAAAGACACACATAGGCTCAAAATAAAGGGTTGGAGGAAGATCTACCAAGTAAATGGAAAGCAAAAAAAAAAACAAAAAACAAAAAACAAAAAACCAGGGGTTGAAATCCTGGTCTCTGATAAAACAGACTTTAAACCAACAAAGATCAAAAGAGACAAAGGAGGCCATTACATAATGGTAAAGGGATCAATGCAACAAGAAGAGCTAACTATCCTTACTACATATGTGCCCAATACAGGAGCACCCAAATTCATAAAGCAAGTTCTTAGAGACCTACAAAGAGACTTAGACTCCCACACTGTCAATATTAGATGGATCAACAAGACAGAAAATTAACAAGGATATTCAGGACTTGAACTTAGCTCTGGACCAAGCAGACCTAATAGGCATCTACAGAACTCTCCACCCTAAATCAACAGAATATACATTCTTCTCAGTACCACATTACATTTGTTCTAAAATTGACCACATAATTGGAAGTAAAACACTCCTCAGCAAGTGCAAAAGCATGGAAATCATAACAAACAGTCTCTCAGAACACAGTGCAATCAAATTAGAAATCAGGATTAAGAAACTCACTCAAAACTGAAAAACCACATGGAAAGTGAACAACCTGCTCCTGAATGACTACTGGGTACATAATGAAATGAAGGCAGAAATAAGGATGTTCTTTGAAACCAATGAGGACAAAGGCACAACATACCAGAATCTCTGCAACACATCTAAAGCAGTGTGTAGATGGAAATTTATAGCACTAAATGCTCACAAGAGAAAGAAGGAAAGATCTAAAACCAACACTATCACATCACCATTGAAAGAACTAGAGAAGCAAGAGCAAACAAATTCAAAAGCTAGCAGAAGACAAGAAATAACTAAGATCAGAGTAGAATTGAAGGAGATAGAGACACAAAAAGAAAACCTTCAAAAAACCAATGAATCCAGGAGCTGGTTTTTTGAAAGGATCAACAAAATAGATAAATCGCTAGCAAGACTAATAAAGAAGAAAAGAGAGAAGAATCAAATAGATGCAACAAAAACTGATAAAGGGGATATCACCACTGACTCCACAGAAATACAAACTACCATCTGAGAATACTATAAACACCTCTATGCAAATAAACTAGAAAATCTAGAAGAAATTGATAAATTCCTGGACATGTACACTCTCCCAAGACTAAACCAGGAAGAAGTCACATCCCTGAATAGACCAATAACAAGTTCTGAAATTGATGCAGTAACTATAGCCTATCAACGAAAAAAACCTAGGACCACACGGATTCAGGCTGGATTCTAGCAAATGTATAAAGAGGAGCTGGTACCATTCCTTCTGAAACTATTCCAAACAATAGAAAAACAGGGAATCCGCCTTAACTCATTTTATGAGGCCAGCATCATCCTGATACCAAAACCTGGCAGAGACACAACAAAAAAAGAAAATTTCAGGCCAATATCTCTGATGAACATCTATGCCAAAATCCTCAATAAAATACTGGCAAACCGAATCCAGCAGCATATCAAAAATCTTATCCACCATGATCAAGTCGGCTTCATCCTGGGATGCAAAGCTGGTTCTACATACGAAAATCAATAAACGTAATCCATCGCATAAACAGAACCAACGACAAAAACCACATAATTATCTCAATCGATGAAGAAAAGGCCTTCAACAAAATTCTACAGCCCTTCATGCTAAAAACTCTCAATAAACTAAGTACTGATGGAATGTATCTCAAAATAATAAGAGCTGTTTATGACAAACCCACAGCCAAGATTATACTGAATGGGGAAAGGGATAGCATTAGGAGAAATACCTAATGTAGATGACAAGTTGACGGGTGCATCATACCACCGTGGCACATGTATACTTATGTAACAAACCTGCAAGTTATGCACGTGTACCCCAGAATTTACAGTATAATTTAAAAAAAATTAGATTTGGGTGAGGACACAGTCAAATCATATCACTCTTCTTTTTCTTTCTCCTGTTGCCCCTCCTCTTCCCACTCCTCCCACTCTTCCTCTCCTCCTCCTCACTGTCCTTTTTCTTCCAAATGGGTTTGACAGTACAGTAGTAAGCTTTCAAATAAAACAGAGTGCATTCAGGAAAAGTCGCATTCAGAATATTCTGCCACCCAGGTACCTTTCACTGCCAATGAGTAGTCAGTTCGAGAAAAAGCAGAAACTTGAGTGGCAAGGTAGATGGGTATAGAAAATGACACAAAATCAGGGACGAAGACTTGACTATCGTATGAAAACCAAGAATAAACAAAAATATGGAGTCTTTTCAGATTATAAAATACCTTTCTCACAAAATATAGTAGCAAAGTTAAGAAAGTAAACATATATATATACACACACACACACAGACACACACACACACACAACTACTAACAACAATCCCAAATATAATTCATTGGTCCATATCCTAATAGGTTTACTTCTATATATAATTTTTATTGAATTCATGGCATGCATTAATTCAGTGCCTTGTTTTATGAAAGAAATAATATAAGTAAAGCACTTAGCACAGTTCCTAGAACATGTAAGTGCAATACAAGTGTTTCCTCTGACTAGTATTTATCTTGGGCTGAGCTCAGAGTTTACATAAAATCACTCATTTGGCCCTCACAAGAATCATTTAAAGTGGGCTCTATGATTGTCCCATTTTGGAAGTGATGAAACCTAAATGCAGAGAAATTGACTTCCCTAATAACACACCATAGGCTTGTGAGGGAGTCAGAACATTAAGCCACGCAGTGAGTTTCCACATTTGGTGTTCTTAACCTCTGTGCTATTTTGGGAGATTGCAGCAAATAATAGAGACACCAAAGCTGTGGTTACCTTTGATTTTTCCTTTCTAGCATTCTAAACTCTTCTTTTTGTTGTAGCAGGTCGGTTTTCTCCAGGCAGCTATTATTCTACTTTGGATGCAGACTTGTTGACACTGCCAATCTAGATGTCATTATGTGAGGGTAGAGTGGGCAGCCACACACTGCCAAGTTGTTCTGGGTTCACTCTTCCTGTCAGGTGATATAGGGGGTTCCTTAAATGCACGTGGCACAGGAGAGACTTCCTTCATTACATGTTCTTCACTAGTGTCAGGCGACTGAGAGCTTTTATTCAACTATTAAATAATGAACCCTTCAAGAGCTTCCAGGTTGTTTACAGTTTGTCAGACACCAAATATGCTTTATGTATTTGATCTGAAATAAAATGCAGCGGACCTCTATACGGCAGAGTTCCTCATGCTAATTTCACAGAGGAGGAAATTGAGGCCCTTAGAGGGTAACATGCCCAAATTTTGGTTGAAAGCAAACAAAAGAGTCAAGATTTAAAGCATATATGCCTCTGGTGATTCTATTCAGCTACCCTGCCCACCATCCACAATGTGAGAGCAGTTCTGCCCTGGGTATCAAGGTGGACAAACAGCCACAAACTGTGTGATTCCTGCTGTCATTAAAGATAAAGTGAAGAGATGAGAAAACCTAAACCCGTGAAAATGCAAACAGTGTGAGTGATCTGGCAGTATAAATCCTAAACACATCATACAAAGAGAAGATACAGAGTGGGCAGGACTGTAGAGTTGCTAAGGTTTATCCTCTAGCTGCAAAATCTATTGCTTTTTTTAATAACTGAAGAATCTTATCAGCAAAACCATGTTAGCACATTAGAAAGTATGTTCACCTCCTTTAATTCATCCAGCACATGGGTTTTCCAAGGGTGAACCCTAGATCAGCAGCAAGAGTGGCACCCAGGAACACTTTATAAATGGAAATTCTCAGAATCCACCACAGACCTATTGAGTCAGGACCTCTAGAGTGAGGCTCAGACCTTGTCACATTTTCATATTTACTACTCTTTGTCCAACCCAGTATGTAAGCTTTCAGCCCTAATTGCTTCTGTGAGTCTTTGTTTTTCTTGTGAGGGCTCCCATGCCTGTGTAAAAATTACTATACCAAATCTGTATGCTTTTCCCTTGTTAAAAATCATCTCCCCAGATTATTCATATACGTGTTCAAGTTTGAGAACCATTGGTTGAATTCAGGGGTCTGTGAACTTTTTCTGTAAAAAGCTAGAGATGAAATAGTTTAGTCTTTGGGAGCCATGTGGTCTTGTCCCAACTATTCAACTCTGCTGTAGTAGCGTGCGAGCAGCCGTGGCAAGTACATACATGAGTGATCATGGCCATTTACATCAAACTTTCTTCAGGGACACTGAGATTTAAATTTCCAATAATTTTCATGTGTCACAATGTACTCTTTTCTTCTTTGGATTTCTTTCAACTATTCATAAGTATAAGAAGCCTATTTGGCTTTTGGGTTGTACCAAAACAGGTGGCGACTGGGTATGGCTTCATCATTTCCCAACTCTGTTGTAGTGTCTAGAAATAGCATGGCCTTTTATTCCAGCAGGGTTTTTATTGCATGTCTCAGCTCTGTCATGCACATATTAGCTCTGAACCTTGGAAACTTATCTCACATCAAGCTTCAGTTACATCACCTATAAAATGGAGTTAATAATATTTTCTCATGGGATTTTTTGAGACAATATATGTTAAAAAAAAAAAGAACCTCGCACAAAGTAGGTGCTCAGTGTGTGAGAGTCCTCTATAGTGTTTTCATAATCTTTCATTTTGCAAGTAAACTCCTACAAAAATAAAATAGGTTCTTATGGCATGACATTTGCCCAGAACAGTAGTGACTCCTGAAATATGTTCTCCCTAACAAGGGATCTCAGAAGCAATTCCCTTGCAGAGGCAGCACTCCGCCTTCCCTCCGCAGGCTGTGGTCTAATCCAAAGTTTACAGGTCTGGATATCCATGTCAGACCCAAGATTCAGACTACGGCTTCTTTACTGGTGACCAAGACAATAACAGATAGTTCAAATTAGAAAATAGAAGGAGTAAAGCCATTTTCCCTTCCTTCAAAACACAACACCAGAAAGCAAACATGTTTGCATTTTGAAATGGATAACTGTGGATAATTTTCACACCCGCAAATAGAGTTGAGTAGGTGCGAGCTGGTCACTTGTGCTGAAGGTAAAGAATTGGCAACCAGCGAAGCAGCTGGTCACACAGAAGTGTCCAATATCTGTATGTTGTTTGATTGGCTACTTATTTGGCAAAGAAAATATCCTGGTGAGTTGCTAATTATGACAAGTCTAGCCCTTGGCAAAACTGAATATAGTGAAGTGTGTGTTTCATATTGTCATCCATGCAGTGTGTAAGCCACCTGTTTTAAGCAACCTGTGTTGCATCCAGAGGAAACGAAAATAAGTTATTTGGAAAAAAAATGTACTATTTATTCATTTTGCAGCTTGACATCCATTTCAATTACTAGTTTACCAAGGGAGGTTTTGTAAATGATATACTGTGCTAAGAGCAGCGGCTAATACCAGACACTACATATTTTCTGTGTCACCTTAAACAAGTGACTTAATGATCTGGCATTTTCCTCATTTTTAAAAGTAGTAAGACTAAGGCTCAGAGGAGTTACGTGAAATGATACTGGAACATGCTTGAGAAGAGGTGCAGCCAGCCTCTGTTGCTGGAGCCAGCTCTGAGGGCTCCCAGAAAGCATGCTTCCCAACTCCAGTCTCTGTGAGGGTACATTGGTAGCTTGGAATCAGACAAGTGGGAGTACTCACATACAGACAGGGCTTTTCTTCAGTCAGGGATTATTTAAAAAAAAAATATTGATTGACTGATTGGTTGTTTGATTGAGAACTGACTCTTAAATACTTACTAGCACACCACTGCACCCTTTCAAACTCCTGTCCCCGGTGATTCCCTGCACTGTCCTCCTCAATGTGGAAAGAAGAATTTTGTGCCTGACATTTCAGGCTTTAACCAGAAGTTACAGGGGAGATGTGTTCGGGAAAAGAGGCCTTTATTGGCAATACGGAATTGTTGCACTTTGGGGCTCCGTTTAATCATAATGCTCAATACTTTGAAGAAGGGGATGTTGATGACACAACAAAGTTGGAGACAAAGTTAACAAAGGCTGCCTATTCATAAACTTGGAGCACATATTATTAAATCATACGCCTTGTTTGAGCTGAAGCTTGATGGTGTGGGGAAGGAGAGAGGTTTATTCAGTAAAAGGGGAAATGTATTGAGAAAATCTCTGGCAAGTGTTCTATTAAGGTAGAATTTTAGGAAATGGGAGAGACCTTCTAAATGTTTTTCAGATACATTTGGTGGTCCTTGCTTGGCTGGAAGGGCACAAGTGAAGAGTTTGAGGACATTTTCAAAGATAAAGGCTCATGTAACTTTAGGGGAGGAGATTTTTCGTGGAGGTCAATGGGGGTCTTTTTTTGTGGCCAAACTGTTATAATGTTGCTAATGGCATTTGGCTGCCATGGAAGGAATTCTCAGAGAAAATAATCTTTTGTAATAAATGTTGGATAATTTATTAAGCTACATAGGCTATATACTTGGATAAATATATCTGGTAAGCTCTTGGAATCATAGCAAAATTTTATGGATTTAAGTTAACTGGACTGGATAAGAGCATACTTTCATAAAAACCAAAATTGTATAATTATGCAAACTTTGAACCAATATTGATGTACATTAAAATAATGTTCACCAATTTACACATTCCATTCGCTAACTCTGTACAGAAGTGGGGGAAATATTTCCACTTTGTAAATAAATTATTAAGGCTTGAATAGTAATTTGATATCACTTTGCCAAATATTAGAATAATATAGAGCATTTAAATAGATTTTCTGAGCAGAAGATTTGTGGCTCAGTTTGAATACCTCAGTGACAGGAAGCTCACTACTTCAGGAAACAAAGTATTTTTTTTAATTCCAGCTTTATTGAGGCATAATTGGCAATGTTCAATGTATACGACATGATTATATGTGTGTATATATATATGTGTGCATGTACTGCCTAATGATTACAACAATAAATTAATCAACAGACCCATCACATTTATTTTGTGTATATGTGTGTTTGTATGTGTGTGTTCTGTGGATACTTGCAATTTACTCTCCTAGAAAATTTCAAATAAACAAAATAGGGTTTTGTAACTATAGTGACCTTGCTGAACAGTAAATGACAGAACTTATTCATCTTAAAGTGAAACTTTGTATTTTTGGCTAATTTCTCATTCCCCACATGACCCATCCCCTGGAACTCACTATTCTTCTCTCAAAGCAAAACAGTTTGGGTGTCAGAGAATCCTTCCTACGGTTCAACCAAGATCTCCCTCTGTTGTTCTTCAATCCATTGCCTACATGTTGGCCTCCAGAACAACATGGCTTCTTTCTCATAATCAGCCTTCAGTTCATGTGGGCAGGCAACTACTGATTTCCTCCAGCCCCTCTGTGTGATGAGCCCTCTCAGTTCTCCCAATGCTCAAATCAAAACCTGCATTATGAGACTTCTCAGACCTCGCTGTGACCTCCAGAGCAGAGCAGTAATATGTTAACATTTCTTTGAATAGCGGGACACCATATTAGAGTGTGGACTGGGCAGTACTGAAGATAGTGAGAAAGATACGCTCTATGATATCTTAAAATTGTTAATATTAATTGTCAAGACAATGGAAATACTCAAAGTTGATATCTATTACTGAACACGTCTACTGTAAGCAAGCATGAATACCAAGTCAGATGGCTGCCACTGCCACAAATTTCTTTCATGTTTTTCTGTAATGACATTAGAGAGTTCAAAATTATATGACCTAAATATCTAAAAGAGAAACTGAAATTAATTTATTCTTGTCTTTCCCCTGAATTTTAGAACATCTCATTTCCTAAATTCACAAGTCTGACTCTCACTAAAAATTTGAATTACCATATGATCCGATAATCCCACTTCTGGGTATATATCTCAACGAATTGAAAGCAAGGTTTTAAAGATAGATATATAAATATATATAAAAATTTATATATATTTATATATATATATAAATATATATAAAAATTTATATATATTTATATATATATATAAATATATATATTTATCTAAATATATACATAAATATATATATATTTATCTAAATATATACATAAATATATATATATTTATCTAAATATATATATATTTATATATATATTTATCTAAATATATATATAAATATATATATATAAATATATATATATATTTACATCCATGTTCATAGGAGCATTATTATTCACTAAAAATTAAAAGCCAATGAAGTGTCTGTGGATGGACAAATGGACAGAGAAGATGTGACCTATTCACACAATGGAATATTATTCAGCCTTAAAAAGAAAGGAAATAAAGACATATGTTACAACATGGGTGAACATTGTAGACAGTATGCCGAGTGAAATAAGCTAGTCACAAAAGAAAAAATACCATACGATTCCACTCATATGACATACTTAACACAGTGAAATTCATAGAGACAGAAAGTAGTATGGTGGTTGTCAGAGGCTAGGGAAGAGGGGAAAATGGAGAGTTTTTTTTGCAGGTGCAGAGGTTCAGTTTTCAGGATGAAAAGAGTTCTGGAGATGGATTGTGGTGACAGTTGCACCACAGTGTGAATGTACTGTGTCCCCTGTATGTTACTACAATTTTACAAATGTATCAAAGACACTGTTTTTTGTTTGTTCTTTTGTTTTTTCGGAGTCTTGCTCTTGTCACCCAGGTTGGAGTGCAGTGCTGCAATCTCGGCTCACTACAACCTCCGCCTCCTTCAAGAGATTCTCCTGCTTCAGCCTCCAGAGTAGCTGGGAATACAGGCACCAGCCACCATGCCTGGGTAATTTTTCGTATTTAAGTAGAGATGGGGTTTTGCCATGTTGGCCAGGCTGGTCTCGAACACCTGACCTCAGGTGATCTGCCCGCCTCGGCCTCCCAAAGTGCTGGGGTTATAGGCGTGAGCCACCGCGCCGGGCCAAAGATGGCATTTTTAAAGGAAGGAGGCTTAATGCAACTTATGTGAACATGTAAGGTCCCCATCTTAGCTCCACGTGGACTCCTTCTTTTGCATTCGCAAAGCTGCGCATACCTGGTACCTCTCCAAGGGCATTAGTTTCTCTCTGCCTTTCCATATTTCTACCTTAATGAATTCTGCAGTATGTCATGATGGCTTCTTGTTGGCTTTAATCTCCTTTGAGCAGATAGTTAAAATATTTGCAGATCAGGTTTAAAAATCAAACAAAAAATTTACTTCCTGACTTTGTACCCACATGTTAGTTTTGAAGAAAAATAGTACTACCTTTATTTATTCATTCTTTTATTCACTTTGACATAGACTGTCTTTCCTTCAATAATTCAACCTGATAATTTATTTAAAGAATATAATCCAGACATTAAAAAACTAAACCAAAAATTCCTCCAGAGTCCAAGCTATGAGCAAGTACAATTCTATCCTTTTACAGAGAGAAATATTAATTGAATATTTGTATCCTTGTATTTTTGTATAAAATGTGTTGGTATATTTTGTATGTATTTAAATGTTAGATATTTGTCACATGGGGAATGCTGTGTAAAGAATAGTAAATACAAATCAAGTTCTATGAATCCCCGAAGATTTAAAATTATGTGTTTGCTTTCATTTGTAATATATATTAAATCAAATCCCTGCAATAAAATACTAAATGTAAATTGCTTCCCAATTTCCTAATTCTACACAAAGTTTTAAGTTAGTAAATGAAAATAATCTCTTCCTCTCTAAATAGCAAATAATATAATTAAATAAAATTAACAAAATAGCATGTAAAGAGTAATATTAAATATGTATTTTGATAAGATTTTAAATAACGTTTAGTATAATATATTCACTTTGTAATGTACTTACTTTGTTTATTGTTTTCTTTTCTTATAAATATTTTATTGCTTCATTAGTTAACTACAATATGCTTTATGATTTCTAAACACGGGCATTAATTATTTCTCCTTGAACTAAAACATTATGTCTAGTATTAAAGATTGCTGAGGCATTCTCTACCTTATGATAATGGCTACATTATCAGAAAAGTCTTTGAGAAACAAAGATAATTAACTCCTTATTTGTTGACCTATATTTGATCTACTTTCAGAATAGCAATCCTCACTAAGTACTTTGTGGTCTTTTAGGTGGTGTTCTTGAAAGTCAGCATGTTATACTTCAAAGGGTTGCAAGTCTGTTTAAAGGGAGAGAAAATACATAGTTTTGTCTTTGTTGGCCATATTGTCTGTGTTTCAATTACTAAATTCTGCCACTGTGTCATGAAAGAAGCAACGAACAATACATAAATGCATGGAAGTGGCTGTGTTCCAATGAAATTTTATGTATGAAAATGGAAGTTTACATTTTATGTAATTTCCATGTATCCTAAAATATTATTCTTTTTATTTTTTCAATGATAAATTCTTTATTCGAAAATAGGCTAGATTTGATGATGATATTAAGAGCAATGATAACAGTGATAAGATTTTTTTGGTAGGTAGGATGACGGTCTCATTAATCAACTAGGGTCCTTTTATGTTTATAGGCAGTGTTCTCACAAAAACTCAGAACACAAAAGCATAAGTATCCCTATGATATTTAGCAGTCCTTATGATTACATGACTATAAATGTCCATAAGACATCCTGGAGTCAAGAGAAGATACAATGTCTTTACCTTCTTTGAGGCTCCGATTTGCTATATGACAGACACGTGATACCCGACTCATGAAAGTAAGAATCAAAATTGTGTATAGATAGATAAATAAACAGATAGATAATTAGAGAGAGATTGAGAGAGAGAGATTAATGGGGAGGGAGAGCCTGAGCAAGCCTGGCATGTAAACACCTAATGATAAACACTTAATACCAGAGGTAATATGATTAATAGTTATTAATATTTTGTTCATAATTATCTTCTTTTCTCTTTTGAGCTTTACTCTGACTAATAATAAAATAATTTATTTTTATATGAAGTAGGTGGGGAACCCTGAGGAAGCAGTCTCAACTTGGAAACCACTCCGCAAGATTATTATACTAGACACTATGCAGATGGTCTGGCCAATTTATCTCTGTGAGTGGTTTTCAGAATCATCTATAAAAGGCTTTCTTCCTAATTAAAGAAAAAGTATAGAAATGCATATTTTTTACAAGAGCGTGATCCAGGGGTAGGGTGTGCCAGAGCAGGTGGGGATGGTGGGGAAGAAGACTGTGGACCACTGTGAGTACAGTGGATCTATGACTCAGACTGTTCTCTGGCTTATCTTTTGTACATGTTTTTGAATGTGAGACTCATGGAAGCAAAACATTTCTCTTGCATCTCTGTAAGATTAAAGGGAACATAGGTTGGAACTGTTTCATAGCCTATTTGCCAAAATGTTTCTTGTTTTCCTTGTTCCCAGTAAGTGAAAACATGAGGAAGGCAAGGTGATCTTAAAAGCAAGCCAAATCAGAGCAATCATTTATAGACATTGTGTTCCAGGGGGCATCAGGAGCATCTTGACAAGTTTGGACATTCTGGTCTTCACCCCAAGTGTTATCAGCAGCATGAAATCTCACAATATCTTATTAGAAGAGACCAGAAAGAGAATGGCAGCCACCATTGAGCAGCCATAAAAACACTTAAGAAAATAGTCTCTGCCTGAGAATGCCCAGAGCTCTTGAACTATTTCAGAAGTCTAGAACTTGTCTCCATTTTCAGTAAGGCAGTTTTTATTGGGAGCTAGTTTTTAACACCAGAACGTAGGAAAACATGAATTATAGACATGGAATTGTGGATGTTTAGATCAATATATTACAGAACAAAACTAAACTGAAGACAAATAATGTTATTTTTCCAATGTTGCAAAAATAATTAGACTCAAAACTGGAGTGACAAAAAACTGAGTGAATTGTCCTCCCCTTCTTCTTTCCATTCCAAATATATTTGTTATTAAAATTTTCTTTCATGTATTCTGTCTTAATTTTAGTACTGATAAACCTCTTTTCTCAGTTTCTCAGTTCTATTATAGATACACACACATGCACACACACACGAAAGTTGAATAAATCAGCCAATATAAAAATAATAAAAATAAGCTTTATTTTCTTTTTCACTGTTAAGAAAAAAAGAAAACTAAAAAAAAAAAAAAAAAAGGGCTACTTAAAGCAGGACTGGGACAGAGATTGATTAACATGGAGTCTGATAAAAGTTGTTATTCTTTTGGCATTTAAGATAAAACTGAAGACCATAAACTTATATTATGGAAGATGGGATTCTTCCTCATGATAAACGACAATATGCTATAGAAAATTAAAATAATGATGTTATGTTGTTGTATTTGCTTCATAATGCCGGGATAGTTTGAGTAGAGGAAAAAATTTCCAGTCTGGTAAATTCTTCATGTTTATCTTTAAGCCTTCCAATGATCAGAGAACTAAGACCATATGGCTCATGAGAGAAAGTAACTAATGCCGTTTGCAAATTGCAAATTTCCTCATTTAAATCTAAGTGAATCAATGTTGGTGTTTTTCATCTTGGAAAGTAGAACAAGCCTTAGTTTATCTTTTTTTTTTTTTTTTTTTTTGAGACGGAGTCTCGCTCTGTCGCCCAGGCTGGAGTGCAGTGGCGGGATCTCGGCTCACTGCAAGCTCCGCCTCCCGGGTTCACGCCATTCTCCTGCCTCAGCCTCCCAAGTAGCTGGGACTACAGGCGCCCGCCACTACGCCCAGCTAATTTTTTGTATTTTTAGTAGAGACGGGGTTTCACCGTTTTAGCCGGGATGGTCTCGATCTCCTGACCTCGTGATCCGCCCGCCTCGGCCTCCCAAAGTGCTGGGATTACAGGCGTGAGCCACCGCGCCCGGCCCAAGCCTTAGTTTATCTTATGGGTAAACTCTATGGACAGATTTAGGAATAATCCAGCCTACACTATAGTGAGACAGCAAAGTATAAAGGGGTCCCGGAGAAACTCCGATCAGCCTGCACATGGAGAGGAATGCGCACTGGGGTGGAGCCTTGGGAAGTTAGCCTCCTTTGCAGGGGGAGGAGCCTGGCCTATCCTGTTCCGGGGGTAACCGGGGATTCTATCTGTGAGGCAGGAATCCTACTTGCAGGACTCCCACTTTGCTGAGAGACCCTGTTTCCGTTTTTTTGTTTGTTTGTTTTTGTTTTTTTTTAACCCTTTTCACCCAACAAACCCTGTTCTTCTCATCCTTCAAACTGTCTGCGAGCCTAATTTTTCATGGTTGTGTAAGACAAATCAGGCTTTAACTGAACTAAGGAGAAAGTCCTACAAAAATAGTATTCAATCTTTCAAAATATTTCATAGTTAATCTATTTGGCCTACAATGGCGATCTCACAAAAGTCTTCAAAGTCTCATCTCTTTAGACTCAGTTTAGAAGAATGATGTTTTAAAATATTTTAACTAATTATGAAGACAGACAGTAAGTGTTTAAAGATGTACATTATGGTAATATAATAGATATTCACATAAAAAATTTGTGAAAAGAGAGTATCAAACACTACAAAAGCACTTTGGAAACATTTTCCTTGCAGTGGAACTTATCAAGACATTATTATTTAAAATTTATACATTTTGATAATAAACATTTCAAATAAAATCTAAAGGAAATGTTAACTCTTATTAAACCAAAAAGGGCTCTTAGCGTCTATTCACCTTGTACTTCAATACAATTAAAAACAATTTCTGGATAGAATCATTCTTCTGAGGAAAATAGGAAAAGCATGAATCCCCTTTAAAAAATATGGTAACTATTTTCTTCTAAATAGTTAAGTCATAATAGGAAAAATGTTCTGATACAATTAAAAAACACCCACAATACTAAGAACTAAGAAAATTATGACTTTAATTTAAAATAATCTACTTATGCCAAGATTGATAAGAATCAGATGTTGGAATTAGCTGACAAGGAATTGAAAGAAAATATCATAAAAGAGTTTCAACAATGATTACAAATTATGTAGAAACTAATGAGAAAACATAAAATATCCATAAAGAAAGAAAAGTATAAAAAAAGATTCAAATGGAAATTATAGAACTGAAAAATAAAACAATCAATTTAAAAACTTGCTGGCTGTTCTTAACAATAGATTGAATATAATAGAGAGTAGAAACAGTGCACTTAAGGAAATAACAATAGAATTTACACAATCCATAAAAAGAAAGAAGATATACACCAAAAAAAAAATATATATATATATATAGAAACAACTTTGTATTATCCAGGTACAGAGAAAGAAGAGAAAGAGTGCAGAGTTGCCAGGATATTTGAGAAAATAGTAGCTGAAAACTTCCCATGATTTTCAAGACACACACTCATACATGGAAGATGCTAAGTGATTCCCAAACAGAATAAACCCCAAAAAAGTAATACCAGAACACATCATAACTATAGCCTTTAAGGATAAAGAATGCCAATTCAAATGACAGATTTCTTGTCTTAATCCATAAGGCAACAAGGAATTGACAAAGTATCTTCAACTTCTAAAAGAAAAGTTATATTGTCCCTGAATATTTTATCCACCAAAAATATGTTTCTGGAGCAAACGAGAAACTGAAGCATTCTAAGACAAAGGAAAACTTTTTTAAAAAGCCTCTAACAGGCCGGACACAGTGGCTCATGCCTGTAATCCCATCACTTTGGGAGGACAAGGTCTGTGGATCACTTGAGGCCAGGAGTTCGAAATCAGCCTGGCCAACATAGCAAAACCCTGTCTCTACTAAAAGTACAAAAAATTAGGTGGGTATGGTGGTGCACATCTGTAATCCCAGTTACTCAGGAGTCTGAGACACAAGAATTGCTTGAACCTGGGAGGCGGAGGTTGCAGTGAGCCGAGATGTTTCCTGCACTGCCCTTCAGGCGGGGTGACAGAGCAAGACTCCGTCTCAGAAAAATAAAATAAAATAATAAAAGAAGCCTCTAACAGACCCATCTATCCTTCTAAATTGGCTAAAAGAGTTGGGGTGTGGTAGTGGCTCTCGCCTTGCCTGTAATTCCAATTTTTTGGAAGCCAAGGTGGGAGGATCACTTGAGGCCAGGAGTATGAGACCAGCTTGGGCAACATGGAAAAACCCAATCTCTACACAAAATCAAAATATTTTTTTAAAAAATTAGCCAGGCATGTTGATGCATGCCTATAGTCCCAGCTACCTGGGAGACTGAGAGAGGATGGCCTGAGCCCAGGAATTTGAGGCTGCACTGACCCATGATTACACCACTGCACTCCAGCCTGGGTGACAAAGCAAGACCCTATCTCTTAAAAAGATGTTTGGCTCCATCCATGTCTCTGCAAAGGACACGCTTTCATTCCTTTTTATGATTGCATAGTATTCCATGGTGTATATGTACCATATTTTCTTTATCCATTCTATCATTGATGGGCATTTAGGTTGATTTCATGAATTCACTATTGTGAATGGTGCTGCAATGAACATGAACATGCATATGTCTTTATAATAGAATGATGTATATTCCTTTGTGTATATACCCAGTATTGCTGGCTTACATGGTACTTCTGCCTCCAGGTCTTTGAGGAATCATCACACTGCTTCCCACAGTGGAAGCCATGATCCTCAGCAAACCATCGTGGGAACGGAAAAACAAATACCACATGTTCTCTCTTATAAGTGGGAGCTGAAGGATGAGAAAACATGAACACATGACGGGGAACAACGCACACTGGGGCCTGTTGTAGGGTGGGGTTGGGAGGAGGGAGCACATCAGGCAGAATAGTTAATGGATGCTGGGCTTAATACTTGGTGATGGGATGGTCTATGCAGCAAACCACCATGGTACACATTTACCTATACAACAAACCTGCACATCCTGCACATGTATTGATAAACTTAAAACTTAAAAAAAAAACTCAAAAAGGAATCAATGATCTAAATATAAGAGCTAAGGCTCTAGGCCACAAAGAAAATCTGGCATTGACCCAATAGCACTTAAAAAAAAAAAAAATAAAAAAAAATAAAAAAATAATAATTGGAGCATAAGGAAGGAAGAAAAAATAAAAGAAAATGCTGGCAGAAATATGTGTAAATACAATACAGTATGCTGTTCTGTGTGAGTTTTACATCATATTTGATGACTGAAACAAAAATCATGACCCCATCTGATACTTAATACAATAGTATTTAAAGTGGGTGAGATGAGGATTCTAAATTAAAATGAGGTTTCCACCCTTCATACTTCCCAAGATGTGGTAAAGCATTTACACAAATACAGTAACTCGTAACTTCGGGTTTTTGGAAAGTGCAACTTGAAGCAAAGTTTAAGCAAAACTTATAACAAAAATAATTTCTAACAATGTTTTTGAAGTCACCTTTGCAAAAATTATAACAGTGAGAAAATTTTGACGGTGAAGAGACCTGATCTAATCAACTCTATCTTGCCTTTTGCCTCCAAACTGCTCTGGATCAAGCTAACTTTGGGAGAAATTTAGTTTATAGTTAAATATCATTTAGTTTAAATGATAATAGCCCTTCCCAAAACTAAACTGCTTTTGTAAAACTAATGAGAGTCCACAAGGTTAGGATTATGAGAGGGGCCCAAATTCTGCTAAAATGTAGGCGTAGTTACAGGATAATCATCTATTGGTGCAGAAGTCACAAGATTTATAACTTCCTCAATTATTCCAGTAAGTAACATCACTATTGTAAAACTTAAGAATGGCTTTCTGAGATGTCTTTTCAGACTTTTGCATTTCTAACAACTAGATGACTTTATCTGGACCTGCAACTCATGATTCAACCGGTTCTCTGGCCCCCACTGAGTAGTGTACACAGCACACAGGGTCTATTTTCCATATCCCCGATTTTTTTTTTTTTTTTGAGACAGGGTCTCACTTGTCGCCCAGGCTAGAGTGCAGTGACACAGTCTTGGCTCACTGCAGCCTTGACCTCCCTGGTTGAAATGATCCTTCTACCTCAGCCTCCTGAGTAGCTGTAACCACAGGTGTGCACCACCACTCTTGGCTAATTTTTGTGTAGAGATGGAGTTTCTCTGGTCTTGAACTCCTGAGCTCAAGTGATTCTCCCACAAAGTGCTGGAATTACAGGTATAAGCCAGTGTCCCCAGAGACAGCCCTATGATTTCATCCCCAGTAAATTAGCATTCCCCTTTCCCAGACCCTTGCCCTCCAACTATCTTTAAAAATCCCAAGCCTCTAAATTTGGGGGAAGATTAATTTCAGTAATAATAAAACCCTGGTCTCCAGCTGAGCTGGCTCTATGTGCAGTTAACTCTTTCTCTATTGCAATTCCTCTTTTTTGAGAACTTGGCTCTGTCTGGTGAAAAATTGCTGTACATCATTTCTCCTAAATTTGCAATTTCCAAGAACCTATCAACCACATTAACTAAGGACATACTCTACTTTCATGTGACATATGTATGTTGTAACAACTCAGAGCAACACTATGAAAACTAAACAGATACACTAAAAACACTATTAAAAATCAACATAATATTTTTTAAAAACCACCAACCTACCTACCGAATGAGCAAACAAAACTAATAGAAGTCTAATGTTAAATGACGAGTTAATGGGTATAGCACACCAACATGGGACATGTATATACATGTAACAAACCTGCACGTTGTGCACATGTACCCTAAAACTTAAAGTATAATTAAAAAAAAACTAATAGTCAAATATTAAAGAGGCAGACAAGTGTCATCATAATAATTATCTTAAATGTAAATATTCTAAATACACCAATCACAAGACATAGATTAGCAGAGAGCATAAAGCAATATGACTCAACAATTTGCAATGCGCAAGAAACAATTTAAAATTCAATAAAGAAGCTAGATTAAAAGTTAAAAGATGGAAAAAAACTACCAAGCATACACTAATAAAAACTATTTTAAAAATAAGAGTGGCTTTGTTAACACATGGCAAAGTGGACTTTATAGCAAGCAAAATTACTAGACAAAGATTACCATTATATCATGATAAAGAATCAAGCCACCAACAATACATTACAATCTTAAATATGTACACACGAAAAGTTGGAACTTCGAAATGAATGATGCAAGAACTGACAGCACTGGACAACACAATCAACGAACACATTCTAACTGACATATACAGTATATTCCACTCAAAACCAGAATACATAAAAATTTCAAGTGCCTTTGGGACATACATTAAGTTGTTCCATATCCTGCATCATAAAACAACACCTAACACATTTTTTAAATTTTTAAACACATTTCAAATATATATTTTAATGATAGCAGACTCAAACTAGAAATAAATAACAGGAAGTCAATAGCAAAATCGCTAAACACCTGGAAATTAAACAATATACTCCAAATAAGGCACAAATACATGTACTTGGAACTACTTGAAAATGAAAATACAACATATCAAAACATGAGCCATCAGATAGAACAATGTTGAGATGAAAATATACAGCATTAAATGCTTAAATTAGAACTCAAGAAAAGTCTCAAATCTGTAATCTGATATTCCACCACAAGAAACTAGGAAAATAAAGAAGCCTGAAAGAGGAAGGAAAATAATATTGATAAAATCAGAAACCAACAAAATTTAAAATTGGGAAAAAATAGTGAAAATCAATGAAACAAAAAACTGACTTTGCTAAAAAAAAAAACAAAAAACAGAAATTAAATCAATGAAGCTGTAGCAAGAATGGTAATAAAAAACAAAGAAAACACAAATTATGAATATCAGAAATAAAAAAGGTGAAATCATAAGAGATTTAGTAGTCATTAAAAATAGAATGAGAATATTACATATAGCCTTATGCTCATATTTGACAACTTTAAAAAAAGAACCAGTATTTAAAAAAACCTGCCAAATTAAAGTACAATGAGACAAACAGAATAACAATTACAAAAATTAAATTCATGATTAAAAAAATACTTCCCCCATAATTTTCAAGTCCAGATGGCTTCATTAGAAAATTCTACCAAATATTTACAAAAGAATTAATGCTAATTTTACACAATCTTTTCCAGAAAATAGAAGTGAGGGAATACTTCCTAACTCTCATGAGACTAGTATTACTCATGTTAGGGAGAAAGTTTCCTCAACCACCTAAGGTTCTTTGCTAAGCTGGAAAATAAAACTGACAAAGACAGGTTAACAGAACAAAAGCATATGCATTTATCTAATAAAAGTTACATGACAGAAGAGCTTTCACAAGGAAATGGATATTGAGAGACCCAAGAAACATTGTATTTGTATGCTGAGTCTGGTGAAAGAAATGGATAGTTGTGAAGAAACATAGTTGGACAAACATGTGTATGATCCAAAGGTAATAAACTGGGGAGAACATAGCAAGGCCTGTTTGTTCCCATCCTTTTCTATGTCTCTGTAAGACATTCCTTTTCCCTGGTTATGCGGCAGGACACCTATCACACAAGGATCTGCAAAGGAGGGAGGAGGTCAGAGAATGAATGATCTTTTTAGGTTTTCTGACTTGCTTTGCGGGAGAGGAGTTCTAGTTTGTATGACTATCCTTGGGTGAGAAGAATTCTGGCTTTTATTACACAACTTAGGCGAAGAAGTTCTGTTTTTTATGGACTGTCTTGGGGAAGATTGGGAAATGGGAGGAAGTTAGTGGAAAGTCAGAAAGAACTTGCATCTGAAGCCCTTTGAATATTCTTCAGTTTAAAGTACTCAGTGTACCAAGGTGCCATTCTTTGGGATATCATGTTCTGATCCCCACATCCAGATACTAAAAGCAGAACAAAATAGTACATAAAAAGAAAGAGGAAAGAAAGAAAGAAAGAAGAAAGGGAGGGAGGGAGGGAAGGAGAGAGAGAGAGAAAGAGAAAGAGAGAAAGAAAGAAAGAGAAAGAGAAAGAAAGAAAGAAGAAAGAAAGAGAAGAAAGAAAGAAAGAAAGAAAGAAAGAAAGAAAGAAAGAAAGGAGGGAAGGAAGGAAGAAAGGGAGGGAGGGAGAGAGACAGAGAAAGAAAGAGAAAGAAAGAAAGAAGAAAGAAAAAAAGAAAGAGGAGAGAGAGAAAAAGAGAGAGGGAGGGAGAGAGGGAGGGTGGGATGGAGGAAGGAAGGAAGGAAGGAGGGAAGGAAGGAAGGAAGGAAATAATAGACCAATAACTGTTAGAAACTCAGACAAAAGAAAATCCTTAATCAGATATTAGCAAATAAAATCCAACAATGTATATTAACAATTATACATCATGACTGAGTTGGATGTATTGAAGTTATGCAAGACTTCTTAAATATTTTAAAATTAATCAACGTAATATACCATAGCAAGAGGCTAAAATAGAAAACTTATATGAATATACTCATTCACACAAAAAATTATTTAACAATATTCAAGTTCCAGTAATGATTAGAAAAAAAGAAAACTCACCATATAATCAGGAGCAAGGAATGGGAGGCCACTCCCACCACTTTTACTAACTTAGTATTGGAAGTATTATCCACTGCATTAAGATAAGAAACTGTTCATATTTACAGATGGTATGATTATTTATATAGACAATCCCAAGAAATCTACAAAATATTCCTAGAACCAATACAAGACTTCAGCAAGATGTCGGGATACAGGATAGAGGATTAATTTTAAAAATCTAATTTCTATATGCTAAAATTGAGCAAGCAGAAACAAAAATTTTAAAACACTATAACATTTATAATTAGTAAAAAGTGCACTACTTAGGTATGCAATTAAGCATGCATAGCAGAATGATAATGAAAAGCCAAAGAAAACTTAAATTCAAAAAAGTATACCATGTTTATAGACTGAAGATTCAACATAGAAAATATGTTAACTTGGCACAAATACATTTTAAACCACTTTTACCAAAATTCCGACAATAATTTTTGTGGACATAGGCAAGTTTATTCTAAAACTAACATAAAAAAGCACAAATCCTAGAATAATTCAAACAATCTTATGAAGAATCAAGTAGGAAGTCTCATTTTACCCACTATTAAAGTTTACTATCTAGCTACAGTCATCAACATATTGTTGAATTACAGGAAGGAGAGACACAGATCAATTAAACAGAATAGAGGACCTAGAAATAAAACTGTACCTACATTTATATATATACATATATGGATATACATGTTCTCAGTTGATATTTGATGAAAAAGAAAAAGCAATTTGATGGCGGAAAAATGGGCTTTCAACAAATGGAACAATTAGAAATTCATAGATCACACACACACACACAAAAACATTCAACCAAAACCCCAGATAGCTCATGCACTTAAAAGTAAAATATAAAAGTATAATCTTTTAGAAAAAAATAAAATAAATTTTTAGAATCTAGGGCTAGGGAAAGAGTTCTTGAACTTGATACCAAACATAATCCTTAAAAGGGAATATAGGTAAATTGGAACTAATCCAAATTAAAAGGGAAAAAGCAAAAAAATCTCTGGCCATGGGAAAGCCTGTGTGAAGAGGCTGAAAAGATAATTCTAGACTGTAGAGATTGGAAGAAAATATTTGCAAATCAAATTTCTAACAAAGCATTTTTACCTATATTAAGAGCCCTTAACACGACAGTAATAAAACCATCCAGTAAGAAAGTGAGCAAAATATGTAAACAAATCTTTCACTGAAAAGAACTTACAAATGTCAAATAGACACAAGAAGTTGTTCAATTAGACATCAAGCCACAATCAGATATCACAGCAGACTATTCAAAATGACTGACATAAAATTGAAAAAAACGTGACAACAGATGCTGGCAAGGATGATTATAAACTAGATCATTCATACAATGTCAGTGAAAATGTAAACAGTATAGCCACTTGGGAAAACTGCATGACAATTTCTCCTAAATATGTTATTACTATATGATCCAGAAATTGTACTTAAGGATATTTATCCAAGAGAAATGTAAACTCATGCTCATACAAAAACCTATATTTGAATGTATATGACAGTTTTTTTCCATAAAAGTCCAAAGCTGAAATAACCCACTTAATCCTTCAAGAGATGAATGAAGTGTGGTACAACCATATAATGGAATAAGACTTAGTGATACAAATGACAGACTATCGATACACAAATTGTCAACCTATGTGAATCTCCCGGAAATTATACTGAGTTTTTTTAAAGCCAATTTTAAAAGGCTACATAACAGGTAGGTTGTGGGGGTTGGAGGTATGTAGATATAAAACAGCAATGTGAGGATCCTTGTGAAAATAGAATTTTTTTGTATATTGACAGTGGATACATTGACCTACAAACAAGATAAAAATCAAGGAAACTAAATGCACACAAACACAAACATCTATACATGCAATGAGTACAAGGGAAACTGGGAAATCTGAAAGAGATGGATGGATTGCACTAACATTAGTATCCTGATTGTGATATTGTACTATAGTTTTGCATGATGTTACTATAGTTTTGCAGTGGAGGAAGCTGCTTAAAGGGCACACAAGATCTTTCAGCATTATGTCTAACAAGTACATGAAAATCTATAATTAACTCACTTAAAATTTCTGTTTATAAACGTATATATTCCAGATAAAACAAAGTAAACTGTTTTTGCTTGCAGGTCTGATGCATTTAGAAGTAATATTAACACCTTACATTGTGTAATAAAAGGAAAATTTTTTAAAGTGTAGTCACTATTAAAAATCAGATGATCAGAAAAGTCCTACTGAAATGTATATACTTCATTGTCCAAATGAATAATAATAATAATGATTGCTTATAATAAGTAAGAATAATAATAATGATTGCTTACAATAAGTAAGGCATAGTCTTGTTATTTTCTTTACAACAGTGAATTGGTATAGGCAGCTCTATGATTATCATCATTTCACAAATAAGAAAAAAGAAATACAGATAGATTAAGCAGCTTCCCCATGATAAAAACAAACAAACAAAGACCCCTAAAAAACCATTAACCTTATGTGTTTACAAGTGGGATAAGTAAAAATATAATAATTCTATATAGCTGAACCAGTCTCATAGCTACCATTTGAAACAGTGCCTTTTCAATATGTAATCTTTATTTAAGAAATAATCTTAATTTAACATTGTGCCTAAATTCAACTTCTCAGGGGATGACTTAAACATTAGTTTTCTTGTTGGTGGTGGTGGGTTGTTTAACTTTTATTTTAAGAGCAGGAGTACATGTGTAGGTTTGTTATATAGGTAAACTCTGTCATGGGGGTTCGTATTACAGATTATTTAATCACTCAGGTATTAAACCTGGTACTCATTGGTTATTTTTCCTGATTCTCCCCCTCCTCTCAAACTCCACCCTCCAATAGGCCCTGGTGTGTTATTTCTCTCTATGTGTCCTTGTGTTCTCACCACTTAGCTCTCCCTTATAAGTGAGAACATGTAGTATTTGGTTTTCTGTTCTTACGTTAGTTTGCTAAGGATAATGGCCTCCAGCTCCATCCATGTCCCAGCAAAAGACATAATCTCATTCTTTTTTATGGCTGCATAGTATTTCATGGGATATATGTAGCATATGTATTTTAGCCAGTCTATCATTGATGGATATTTGGGTTGAATCCATGTCTTTGTTATTGTGAATAGTCCTGCAATGAACATACATGTGCATGAGTCTTTATAATAGAATAATTTATATGTCTCTGGGTATACACCAAATAATGGGGTTGCTGGATTGAAAAGGATTGCTGTTAAGCATTAGTTTTAATCTTTCTTTAGAAATGATATGATATAGCCTCAACTTTCAATATCAATATCAATGTATGATGATCCTGTTTTTATAGGAACTATTATAAATAAGACAATGTTAAGGTGTCCAAATCATAGAATGTAAATATTAGGCAAGTAAAAATCCTTTTAATGTTATATTACTTCCTCTTTATGCAGAAAGCTGGACAACTTGAAATCATATATGAATTTTTCTTCTCTTTTTTTCCTCTGCCACATCCAGTTGCCAACTCTCAAGTTATGAGGAAAATCTAATTGGGCCACAGGGTCACGGCTAGCTCTCACTCCCTTTTCATCCTCTTTGCTTTCTCTTTTACTTTTACTCTAATTCCTGTACACATGAAGTGGCAGCCAGTATGAGACTGGTGCCCAGAAAATACCATCCTGAAGGACAGCTGAGGGAGGGCACAAGTGAAGAGAGGCTTACGGAAGCTTAGAAGGAGGAGGAAAAAGCAGAAGCCTGAGAAGAGAGGAGCAGTCACTAAGTTCTCCCTCAACCCAAGACAACCTGTTGGATCATTTTTCTACTACCAATATCAAGGGCAGGTTACTAGCACTGCTTGCTGTTCGTTTCTTTGTCAAATTGTGGTTCAGGAAGATGCTTTATTAGGTAAAGAAATCCAGATCAAATACAAGTTGATAAAAATCAATAGTTGAATTTAGGAACATTGAAAGGATGTAATGAACAAATGGCACTGCAACTTACACAACTTAGTAAACACTTATAATTTTTATTATCTGATTTGTTTATAGAAGCATTTGGGAAAACTACTTAATAGATTTTTAAAACAGTCCGTAGAGTTATATGTGAATGATTTTACCATACTGATTGTTTAATGGCTTGGATGTCACCCCTGGGTTTTCTTTAATGTTAAAACATTGACATGTTGTTAGGATTTGAATGTTAAGTAAGAGGAATAATTGCTTATCACCATCAACTATTATTGTCTAAGTATGATTTAAGCCCGTTGCATTATCCAGGCATTTAACAAGAGCCTAAGGGAATCAGACCAAGAATAAACACACTCTGGGCAAATTAGAGAAAAGAGCTGGGGGTGCTGTGAGGAGGGGAAGGCCTGCACTGATGGCCCTGTGGGAACATGTGTGAGGCATCCCTTAGACCTAGAGAGCAGGAAGGCACAGGAGAAGAGATGCCAAGGAAAGTACCATCAGAGAACAAAGCCTCACTAGACTTATTCCACATTGTTCCTGGATAAATTTTATTTCGGCTTAGTTTTATGGTTTAAGTATTGTGTTCCTATTCAGAACTATTCCACCTAGGGAAGGAAAGGCAGAGCTAATAACGGGGAACATGATTTTAGCTGGGCTTTGTGCCAGGCTTCTGTCAAGCAAGAGAGCTAATACTACTGCAATGTAATGAGACTGATGTTAGACATATGCATAAGCATGTGTGTGCATGTGTACATGCTTTTGTGTGCATAGAAGGATAGTTAGGCAGATACAGATATAGATACAGATAGATATGTTAACATTAAAACCAAACTCTAAAGTTTCTTAAAGAGGTTCAATCTAAGCCAACATGAGTGACCATGGCTTGGGAAACTTAGTCTCAAGGAGTCCTGAGAAAGTGCACCGAAGACGGTTGGATTACAGTTTGGTTTTATGCATTTCAGGGAGCCAGGGATTATGGACAAAGTCATAAATCAATACATGAAGGGTACACATTGGTTTGGCCTGAAAAGGTATGATATCTTGAAGAAGGGCTTTCAAGTTATAGGTGAATTCAGAGATTCTTTGTTTTGCAGTTGGTTAAAGGAGTAAGGCTATGTCTAAAACTTAGAGTCTGCAGAAAAGAACGTTTTAAATTAAGGATGCTATGTAGCAAAATTGATGGCCTGCAGGCGTGAATTAACTCTTGCCTTGGATGGCCTTGGATCTGGTTTATAATTTGGTATGTTACTGCCCCAGCTTTGATTCCAGGTCCCAGTGACTCTGGCCTTGCTCCTCCAGGTTTAGCCTGCAAGCAGTATGCTCATCATCATTCAGCAGGACACTAGGACTTGGTCGGGTCTTCAGAGCTGGCAAAGTGAGGGATGCTAATTTAACAGTGCTTCTTAAACTCAGAAACTTTTGTAATGATTACTTGAAATAATATATTTTACTTGGTTGATTTTATACTTTGTACAGAGTAAAAAAATTAATAAAATTGCAAATTTACAATAGTATTACAGATTCTTGATATGCAGTGATTATTATTTGTAATTTAAGAAGAGGGAGAAGACATAACATGTAAACATCCTCTCATTTGTTATTCTGAAACTCTGTTCTAAGAGCTGCTCTTCATATTTGCTTCCCTTTTGATAATCCCTGGGATAATAGACTCATTGACAGTTGTGCTCATGTGACATTTAAACATATACTGCCTCAGATTTATTTTTATGTGTGCAGTTGCTTGTGCTAGATTGCAGTTCCTTTGAGATCTCTTTAAGAATTAAAACAGTAGCTTCTCAATTGTTTGCAGGAGTAGATATAAATAATAAATGACAAAAAGGTATTAAAACCTGCCTTATACTACTCATTAAAGTGATGCTTTTTTAAATATTCCCTTCTCTGTTTCCATGATGAGAGAATGAATGAATGAATCAGGCAGAAGGAAACTGACTATAGGCCACTGAGTCGTAGTAAACTAGAAAGGTCTATGGGAAACTGAACTCTTTCTTTCTCATAAATGAACAGAGTCTATTAAATATGACAAAGTCATTTCAAATCCATTTATAAAACTCCTAAGAAGGTGAAGTTGTAGCACATCTATTTTCATTTCTAATATGGGGCATGTTTTCTCAGCAATGGTCTAATTACTCAATATGCGATGTTAGCAATTTTTATTCTCTGTGTGGTAGAAAATATTACCAAAAACTCCAAAGAAACATGACGTTCTTAGCTGAGTGGAAGCATTTTGGCAAATGTTTCTGACAATAGTTTATGTCTCTTGTTATTAACTGAGAATTTTTAGAATGTGTAGTGTTGATTACTTCATATCATTTTAGGATTTAAATATTCTATCAAGAGCTAAGATACAGAATAATACCGATGGTACTGAAAAATGCATTATATTATATGAATATTTGATATAAAAGTCACAAAATATGTAGTTATGTGTAACTAGAATTACTAGATGTTAAAAGCAGAAGAACTTATAGGAAGGAGTCAGTCTAATTATATTGTATTTCAGATTAGGCAAACCAGGTTAAAGAGCTGATTGACTGAGAACAGCAATTTGTTCATGGTTTGATCAGTCCCCTACTCTGCCATAAAGTTGGGATACAGAGAGGAAATAGATGAATTTTCTTAAATGGAAATCACAATACAGCTCTGATGTGGAGATACAAATTTCGGAGTCATAAGCATATCAATGACTCTAAAGTAATAATATTATTATATTGCTGCTGTTGGTGGTGGTGTTTGTTCCTGAAAAATTCTACTTATGAACTTGAGTCCATATATGAATTAAAACCATAAATAGAATTTAAAAAAAGAAAATTCTATGACCCCTTTTTTAAATAAAACTTATTATGTTCATAAATATATACAAGATATCTAGGACAGTAAAGCCCGTGTTTAGGAAGCTATAGCAACAGGAATACAGAGGTTGCTTAGAAACACCTGAGGATAGAGCTCAGTTCCCACCTCCTGGGTGGGTGGTTGAGCACTGTGATGGGGGGAAGTGGCTGACTGTGTGTCTCATTGGCTGGCTGCTTCCTGATGGGGCTGCATCAAGTCTCCCATTTCCACTTTGGCTAAGAGTTTGTAAGTCTGGCTTTCCCACTCTCCCATCAGAACCATAGATGTGCTGGCCTCATTTGATGTGATTTCATTCATGGGGCAAAATGAGAGTAGAATCAAAGACGATGCCTAAACATACGCCAGCATCTAAGGGTTGGAAAGCAAAGAGCCTCCAGTAAATATAAGTTTTCTGATTATTAGTCATTTTCTGTCGCTACTATATCATGTTAGCTGAAGTATGTGAAGAATTGTAATCCGTAATTATACACTACTTTATACTTTTATGTTGCATACTCTAGTTTTATTTATGTAAATTAACCAGAACCACCTATTCGATATGCCCTGCACTACATAGTACAATTCTTCAGGTCTTCAGCAAATGCTTGATGTTTGGTTGATTTTAACATTTTCTCCTTTAACATGAATGGTTTTTTAAAAAAAGTGTTATTAAAAGGGTCAAGTTAGGCCAGGCACAGTGGCTTATGCCTGTAATCCCAGCATTTTGGGAGGCCGAGGCAGGTGAATCACCTGAGGTGAGGTGTTCAAGACCAGCCTGGCCAACATGGTGAAACCCCATCTCTACTAAAAATACAAAAATTAGCTGGTCATGGTGGTGCAAGACTGTAGTCCCAGCTACTAGGGAGGATGAGGCAGGAGAATCACTTGAACCTGGGAGGCGGAAGCTGCAGTGAGCTGAGATTGTGCCACTGCACTGCAGCCCGGGTAACAGAGCAAGACGCAGTCTCAAAAAATCAAAAAAGGTCGAGTTAGTTACCATAGTTAAACTTTGAATTCTTAGAAGAATTGCAGCCTGTTGGAATATCTTAATGACTTTTAGAAAAGTTAATTTACTTCGAGTCTCCTGTAATTGACATATTGACAACAGAATATACATAATCTTTACAATTTACCCAATTATAAATCTCTGAAGATGGACAGAGGCAAGGCTCAATCATAGCAATTAACTAGTGAAGATTTGTTGATAATTTTAACCCTTTGAGAAAAATAAATCTGCCACTGTTCAACACAAGTATCTAGCGATATAAATATAATTTCACATTTCATTCAAAAATGAATTCAAATAACATCTTTATTTCTGCCTTCATTTCGTTATGTACCCAGTAGTCATTCAGGAGCAGGTTGTTCAGTTTCCATGCAGTTGAGCGGTTTTGAGTGAGTTTCTTAATCCTGAGTTCTAGTTTGATTGCACTGTGGTCTGAGACATAGTTTGTTATAATTTCTGTTCTTTTACATTTGCTGAGGAGTGCTTTACTTCCAACTACGTGGTCAGTTTTGGAATAGGTGTGGTGTGGTGCTGAAAAGAATGTATATTCTGTTGATTTGGGTTGGAGAGTTCTGTAGATGTCTATTAGGTCTGCTTGGTGCAGAGCTGAGTTCAATTCCTGGATATCCTTGTTAACTTTCTGTCTTGTTGATCTGTCTAATGTTGACAGTGGGGTGTTAAAGTCTCCCATTATTATTGTGTGGGAGTCTAAGTCTCTTTGTAGGTCTCTAAGGACTTGCTTTATGAATCTGGTTGCTCCTGTATTGGGTGCATATATATTTAGGATAGTTAGTTCTTCTTGTTGAATTGATCCCTTTACCATTATGTAATGGCCTTCTTTGTCTCTTTTGACCTTTTTGGTTTAAAGTCTGTTTTATCCAAGACTAGGATTGCAACCCCTGCCTTTTTTTGTTTTTCATTTGCTTGGTAGATTTTCCTCCATCCCTTTGTTTTGAGCCTATGTGTGTCTCTGCACGTGAGATGGGTTTCCTGAATACGGCACACCGATGGGTCTTGACTCTTTATCCAATTTGCCAGTCTGTGCCTTTTAATTGGAGCATTTAGCCCATTTACCTTTAAGGTTAATATTGTTATGTGTGAATTTGATCCTGTCATTGTGATGTTAGCTGGTTATTTTGCTTGTTAGTTGATGCAGCTTATTCCTAGCCTTGATGGTCTTTGCAATTTGGCATGTTTTTGAGTCTCTGGGACACATTCAATGCAGTGTGTACAGGGAAATTTATAGCACTAAAGGCCGACAAGAGAAAGCAGGAAAGATCTAAAATTGACACCCTAACATCACAATTAAAAGAATTAGAGAAGGAAGAGCAAACACATTCAAAAGCTAGCAGAAGACAAGAAATAACTAAGATCAGAGCAGAACCAAAGGAAACAGAGATACAAAAAACCCTTTAAAAATCAATGAATCCAGGAGCTGGTTTTTTGAAAAGATCAACAAAATTGATACACTGCTAGCAAGACTAATAAAGAAGAAAAGAGAGAAGAATCAAATAGACGCAAGAAAAAATGACAAAGGAGATATCATCACCGATCCCACAGAAATACAAACTACCATCAGAGAATACTATAAACACCTCTACGCAAATAAACTAGAAAATCTAGAAGAAATGGATAAATTCCTCGACACATACACTCTCCCAAGACTAAACCAGGAAGAAGTTGAATCCCTGAATAGACCAATAACAGGCTCTGAAATTGAGTTAATAATTAATAGCTTACCAACCAAAAAAAGTCCAGATGGATTCACAGCCGAATTCTACCAGAGGTAAAAGGAGGAGCTGGTACCATTCCTTCTGAAACTATTCCAATCAATAGAAAAAGAGGGATTGCTCCCTAACTCATTTTATGAGGCCAGCATCATCCTGATACCAAAGCCTGGCAGAGACACAACCAAAAAAGAGAATTTTAGACCAATATCCTTGATGAACATTGAAGCAAAAATCCTCAATAAAATACTGGCAAACCTAATCCAGCAACACATCAAAAAGCTTATCCACCATGATCAAGTGGGCTTCATCCCTGGGATGCAAGGCTGGTTCAACATATGCAAATCAATAAATGTAATCCAGCATATAAACAGAACCAAAGACAAAAACCACATGATTATCTCAATAGATGCAGAAAAGGACTTTGACAAAATTCAACAACCCTTCATGCTAAAAACTCTCAATAAATTAGGTATCGATGGGACGTATCTCAAAATAATAAGAGCTATCTATGACAAACCCACAGCCAACATCATACTTAATGGACAAAAACTGGAAGCATTCCCTTTGAAAACTGGCACAAGACAGGGATGCCCTCTCTCACCACTCCTATTCAACATAGTGTTGGAAGTTCTGGCCAGGGCAATCAGGCAGGAGAAGGAAATGAAGGGCATTCAATTAGGAAAAAAGGAAGTCAAATTGTCCCTGTTTGCAGATGACATGATTATATATCTAGAAAACCCCATCGTCTCCACCCAAAATCTCCTTAAGCTGATAAGCAACTTCAGCAAAGTCTCAGGATACAAAATCAGTGTGCAAAAATCACAAACATTCTTATACACCAATAACAAACAGAGAGCCAAAGCATAAGTGAACTCCCATTCACAATTACTTCAAAGAGAATAAAATACCTAGGAATCCAACTTACAAGGGATGTGAAGGACCTCTTTAAGGAGAACTACAAACCACTACTCAATGAAATAAAAGAGGATACAAACAAATGGGAGAACATTCCATGCTCATGGAAAGGAAGAATCAATATTGTGAAAATGGCCATACTTCCCAAGGTAATTTATAGATTCAATGCCATCTCCATCAAGCTACCAATGACTTTCTTCACAGAATTGGAAAAAACTACTTTAAAGTTCATATGGAACCAAAAAAGAGCCCACATTGCCAAGTCAATCCTAAGCCAAAAGAACAAAGCTGGAGTCATCACGCTACCTGACTTCAAACTATACTACAAGAGTACAGTAACCAAAACAGTGTGGTACTGGTACCAAAACAGAGATATAGACCAATGGAACAGAACAGAGCCCTCAGTCATAATGCCACATATCTACAACCATCTGATCTTTGACAAACCTGACAAAAACAAGCAATGGGGAAATGACTCCCTATTTAATAAATGGTGCTGGGAAAACTGGCTAGCCATATGTAGAAAGCTGAAACTGGATCCCTTTCTTACACTTTATACAAAAATTAATTCAAGCTGGATCAAAGACTTACTTGTTAGACCTAAAACCATAAAGACTCTAGAAGAAAACCTAGGCATTACCATTCAGGACATAGGCATGGGCAAGGACTTCATGTCTAAAACACCAAAAGCAATGGCGACAAAGGCCAAAATTAACAAATGGGATCTAATTAAACTAAAGAGCTTCTGCACAGCAAAAGAAACCACCATCAGAGTGAACAGGCAACCTACAGAATGGGAGAAAATTTTTGCAACCTACTTATCTGACAAAGGGCTAATATCCAGAATCTACAAAGAACTCAAACAAATTTACAAGAAAAAAACAAACAACCCCATCAAAAACTGGGCAAAGTATATGAACAGACATTTCTCAAAAGAAGACATTTATGCAGCGAAAAAACACATGAAAAAATGCTCATCATCACTGGCCATCAGAGAAATGCAAATCAAAACCACAATGAGATACCATCTCACACCAGTTAGAATGGCGATCATTAAAAAGTCAGGAAACAACAGGTGCTGGAGAGGATGTGAAGAAATAGGAACACTTTTACACTTTTGGTGGGACTGTAAACTAGTTCAACCATTGTGGAAGTTGGTGTGGCGATTCCTCAGGGATCTAGAACTAGAAATACCATTTGACCCAGCCATCCCATTACTGGGTATATACCCAAAGGATTATAAATCATGCTGCTATAAAGACACATGCACAAGTATGTTTATTGTGGCACTATTCACAATAGCAAAGACTTGGAACCAACCCAAATGTCCAACAATGACAGACTGGATTAAGAAAATGTGGCACATATCCACCATGGAATACTGTGTAGCCATAAAAAAGGATGAGTTCATGTCCTTTGTAGGAACATGGATGAAGCTGGAAACAATCATTCTCAGCAAACTATCACAAGGACAAAAAACCAAACACCGCATTTTCTCACTCATAGGTGGGAATTGAACAATGAGAACACATGGACACAGGAAAGGGAACATCACACGCTGGGGACTGTTGTGGGGTGGGGGGAGGTGGGAGGGTTAGCATTAGGAGATATACATAATGCTAAATGATGAGTTAATGGGTGCAGCACACCAACATGGCACATGTATACATATGTAACAAACCTGCACATTGTACACATGTACCCTAAAACTTAAAGTATAATAATAATAATAATAATAATAATAATAATAATAATAATAAAAAGAATGAATTCAGTTTTCATGGCTGAGGAGACAGTGCTTGAAAGATTGTTTAATATATAAACATCACTAGCTTCTAACATGAACTGTGAAAATCAACTTGTAACTCTGACCTCTGATAACTCAAGATGGGTCAAATAGATACTGAGCAAAAAAATAGGAAAGTAGTCTCTTTTAAAGTAAATTTTCCTTCATTCTATTACTTGAATGTGCTTAATAAATTTATCATTTATTTTTACATAATTCCTGAAAATAGTTTATAATTTTTCTTAAAAAAGAGAAAGATCCAAAATTTTCAGATTATGGAATTTGATTTTAGATTAACCTAGGCTCTAATACAGGTTATGACCCATGGCATTAACTCTCTATGTCATTATTTATAGTCTGTATATATTGACTCACCTATGCAATGTAAAGGCTAATAGCATCTAACATTAGGGACTTCTGCAAAGAATCGGGATTGTGAATACTGAGTATTATAGAAATTGGCATATGGTAAGAATATGATAAATGGATACTGCTGTTGTAGTTTTCATTCCTCTATTTTTATCGCCTTTATTAAACATTTATCAATTAGCCATATTTGTAGACAGCAATGATTGTGGAAGTGAAAGATGGGAAGAGATTTTTGGACCTGTTATTATTGGAACTACAAAAATAAACTATTCAGTTTAGACAGTGATGGATGCTGAGCTTGTCAGCATGGTTTCTCTTGTTTCAGACTTTGCAAAAGTACAGTGGTCAGATGCCTCCTACCACAATGGTTAAGAACACAGCTTTTGTGCCACACAGACATAGATTTGGCCCAGCTCTCTTGTCTACTTGTGTGGTAGAGGGAATTTGCCAAAAAAATCCCTATAATAAAAAACTGGAGAAATCTGAATAGATGAATGTATTGCATTCATGTTGACATCATAGTTCTGACAGTATTTTGAAGATGATACCATTGGGGGGAACTGGGTAAAGGACATACTCCACTATGTTATCTTTTACAACTGCAGAAAGTTTACATTATCTCAATAAAACTTCAATGAAAAGTGTCTAAAACACTATTTCTTGGCCTATATGTACTTCCAGAAGCTTGTCACTCCCCACCAACAGGCAGAATCTATTTTCTCTCTCCTAGAACCAGCTTCGTAGTTGACATTTAGGAATCCTGAAAAAAGGCAGTACTCTTATATATATAAAATAATAATACCTACAAAAATACTCAGCCCTTACTAAACACGTGTGCCAGAAGCAGTTCTAAGTGCTTTGCAGGCATGAACTTGTGTTTAATTTGCACAACACCATGAGGCACGTAAATAATATTATGTCTCCAATTAACTTTAGGTAGCTGAGATCTACAGAGTTTAGATATTTGCCTAAGGTCCTAAAGCTACAAATTTTTTCTTTCCTTCTTCAAAGTTGATATTTTATCATATCCTGAGTGTATCTGGGTAGAGTTATATCCTTCTGCCCTCAAGACTATCAAATGAGCCAGTCTTTGATGAGTTCCATTTTGAAAGACTAAGCAATCCAGGTTTTTTGTAGTGATTTCATCCTGAATGTATCTTTGCAAGACTTTTGATATGGGGAGCTAAAGAAATTTAGCTATACAAACATCACTTGCTATGTATCAATGAGTTTCTCAATTGCTATGCATAAACGCCCAAGGATGTGTGCTCTGTGTGTCATCACTTAAATTAGGCAGAAGTTGATGAGGGTGACATATGAGGTATACGTACTGTGCCAACTACACAGAGGAAAAGTAACTGAGTCTTGCAGGCAAGAAATGTCTCTTGAACCCAGTTATCTTGCTTTGACACACAGCTCTGCCACTTTCTAGCTCTGTGACCCATTCAGTTCTCCAACTGAGTTAATGCATATAAAGTTTCAGTACAGATCCTGGATGCACAGATGACACTAGCAAAGTCACCAATTACTACTATTATTGTAAATTTAATTAAGACTCAGTGACATCTCTCAGTGAGTTTACTGTCAAGCAGGAAAAAATCAAGTTTTAAACAGTGCCATGGTCACGCAATGCCCCGAACCTCATGCAAGAAGGACTTATTGCCCAGCAGCATCCAGTATGAGCCCAGCCAGCCTCCTGCTATCAGCTCCTTTAGGGCCTGCTTCAGCTGCAGAGTGCTGCCTCGGCCACAATCACACCCTTCCTAGGACAGCCAGCATCCAGAAACTGACAGAGGCAGGGTATCAAGCCTACTACTTAAGACCAATGCAAGACAACTCTGAACAAGCAATCCTTGCTCCTGAGCCCCAACTCTTCACTGGATGGGCACCAAAATATGACATCTTCTGTCCAACCCTGCTGCCACTCCATTTCTTAAGACTGTCTGTTCAAATGTATTATTTGATAATCAAGTGCTGCTGTCACAATCTGGCCACAATGTACTCTTCATAAAGTATCTTAAAGAACAAAATAGAGCATACATTCTCAAGAATACACACACCCACACACATATACATATGGCGTTTATGCCTATTGCAAAGAAAAAGAAAATGAGAAGTAAACAGTCATGTGCTTACCACCATCAAGAAGAAGAATGTTATCCAAGCTCCTGAAATTTGCTGTGTATCTGTAACTTTCAGATCCCCTTGTTTGCTCCCTCAAATTCTTAGGTTTTTTGTTAATTAGCACCCCATGCTACCATTTAAATTTTCCTCTTTTTAATGGATAACACTATATATATAAAATTGTATAACTTGCTTTTTTCTCACTCAACATTATGGACCTGGATTTATCTATGTTGGCACATGTAGTTTAGTAAATTCTTTTTTATTTTATTATTTTATTTTACTTTATTCTTTTATTATACTTTAAGCTCTGAGGTACATGTGCAGAATGTGCAGAATGTGCAGGTTTGTTACATAAGTATACATGTGCCATGATGGTTTGCTGCACCCATTAACCCATCATCTACATTAGGTGTTTCTCCTAATGCTATCCCTCCCCTAACCCCCTACCCGCCAACAGGACTCAGTGTGTGATGTTCCCCTCCCTGTGTCCTTGTGTTCTCATTGTTCAACACCCACTTATGAGTGAGAACATGTAGTGTTTGGTTTTCTGTTCTTGTGTTAGTTTTATTTATGCATTCTAATGCTGATGACACTTTGGATAACCTTTTCAAAAACTTATGAACAATGCTACTATGAATATATCTACATATGTCTCCCAGTATATAAATACAAGACTTTCTCTAAGATATGCAAAAGTAGTGAAATGCTTCATATTTATTTAATGAGATAATACTAAACTATTTGTATGATCAAGGTTGATTTTATTCTATGGGAGTCCTTCTGGCCACTTCTGCAGCCCCCAGGCCTAAGTCTGGGAATTTCAGACTATTACCTTTACTGATTACTGGTCCGAGGATAAATATATCCACAATTGTGTCTCTCGGAGTTTAACCCCAAGACAAAATCATTCCCTGCTGCTTGCTTCCTAATCCAGATCAGCTTCTTATAACATGCTGTCAGCATATGTGATCTGGTCTTCTGACATTCGCATCTGGATGCTGGGTATGTCCATCTTGGCTCCAGTCACCTAAGATCTAACACCTTTGGTACTGGCAGCCATAGTCTCAAATGTCATATGCCTGCAGGGTCAACTTTCATTTACCTGTTTGCTGGTTTATTTTTGCTTTGCATGGTCATTGTAGAACTCTGTTAATTTACACGAGTCCAGTTGTTTCTTACAAGTATGTGATAACTGGGTTTGGTTATGTCCACAAGTATGCTTGTATCATACATATTTTTTTCTTTTTCTCAGTGTCCTTTCCTGGTTTTGGTATCAAGATTATAAAATAAATTAGTAGTGATTTTTTTAAATAATAAAAAAGATTGGAAGAGTGCTCTTTAAATATTTAGCAAAAATTTTCTGCTAGTTACTATGTACAACTGATTACATGTCTTTATGTTCATATGTTTTTCAGATTTTCTGTTTCTTCTTGAATCGCATTTATGTTTTCTCCACGAATTTATCTCTTTCCCATAAGACTTCAAGTATATTGGTATTAAGATGCATACATTCAATATTTACTGAGCAGCCTCGTTGTGCCAGACCCTATTCTAAGTGCATGGACTGTGAGATTCCTTCATTCATGACCCGTATATCCCAGTGATCACTAGAACATTAAACATTCCTTCAATATACTGACAATAAGCCTGAAGACCCATATCAGTAGGCAATCTATAGCCTAAATGTTGTTTTTGGTTTTACAATTTCCCATCTCTTTACTAATAGGAAAGTCTTCCAATCTTTTTAGATTTTGTGGAGCTAGTGGATACTGAATCCTTACCCAACCATTTGACTGTCATTAGTTTTTATTATTCAGTGCCTGTATGTTTACTGCATACGGGCACCTCAGGGAGCTTCAGCAGCTTTACTTTAAGAGAACATTCTCTAACCACAGGTATAATTTTTACTCATTTTTTTGCTCGCTTTGATAATATATGCATGAATACCAGTAGTTTTGCAGTACATCAGTTGAAATAATTTACATTTATTATGATTACTGATCATAATAAGTAGATTTCTTCAAGTATGAATTTAATGACTCCAAAGACTTAGACTTACTTATTGCTTTTTGTTCATTGAATGGTTTAGTCAACGTCGTACTAGAAAAAAATTCAAACAAAATATATACAGTGTTATACAGAACTAGGTTTAAATGTCAGGCTTTCATTCACAAAATGGGCCGAGTTTTATGTTATTCATCAGTAAAATATTGAACACACTTATTTTGTTTGCAATTATTTTGGTTATACAATTATAAATAATTTTAGCATTTATTCATCTGTGTACAGAATCCTGGCCTTCCAAATGCACTGCTGTTTATGTAATAAATGCAAAAGTAGGATATTAATAAATGTTTGCTTTTATTTCAATCAATCCTCAGACTCTTTTGCTTCCCCTGTTGCTTACCTCCTTGATTTTATATCCTCACTGGTTCTCTGAAACGTTTATACTCTACAGTGGCAACAAGAGACCGGAAAAGTAATTCAATGACATACTGAGAGCTGGGTTCCTAGGAATGGCAAAAGGAGGGCTCAGAGACAGAACAAACTTGTTCAGTTTAGAAGATTCAATTATAACGTATTCTTTCAGCGGATTAAAATGGGGTGTTCCTGACTTTTAAAGTAAATCTAAACTATCAAATTTAGTTACTCAACAGCTTGAGTATGCTCAATGTGTATGAAACAGGAAAATAAATTTTATTTAATATCTCAACATTGGTTTGTTTTACAAAAGTAAAATTATATTTTTAAAATATTTTAAATTTATTTTCAACACCAAATACTAGAGATAAAAACAAATCCATTTGATTCTACCAATATTAAGTAATCTTAAACTCATTTGAATCCAGATTCTTTAGATTCGTTTTAAACTAACAATAAATTGGCACAAGCTTAAACTGGCAATAAATAAGTACAAGCAGGTGACCTAGGAAATATTCTGATATTATCTCCAGTAATCCTTGAATTATAAACATATTATCTACTGATTGATAAATAATGGGTTATATCCTTCATGTAATAGTTGTCTCCATCCACTTCCTCCCTATGTCTTCAGAAGAATTTAGAATTAGACCAAGTGCAGATTTTTTTTTTCAGCTGTAGCTCACAGGAGGAGTTTCTGTTCCTTCCCTGAATTCTAAGATAATGGAGTAAATTAACCAGCAATGTGATGCATAATTGTCCAAGTACTTAAAAAAAATAGGTCAGACAAATTGTTATTCAAAGGTCAATAGAATATATGTAATATTGGCTCTTTGATTTACAAATACGAGCTGGTTGACTAAATATTGCTCAAAAAAGCACATTAAGTTTATCTTTCTATCAGTGTCAAGTATAAAATTCCACTGGTGCAGCTCATCCTGATAACATGCTTGGCCTCATATCGGTATGAATTTCAGACCAGAAGACTCAGGAAATCTAACTAGTGGGCATAGCATTAAACAGCAGTAGTTGAACTCTAACATATATTTAGAACTGACTATGTGCAAACAATTGTAAATAATTGTTTAAAATTGTTTAAAAATTATTTACACTTATATAAAAATATGACGTAATTGTCATAATTTATACAACGTATTGATGCTCTTTTATATTAGAAGAAAATTCTAGTTTTAGAAATTATTTTATAGAACATCAACTAGGCAGTTAAGAATAGGGGTAAGAGTTAACCCCAGGACTATATGATTCCCAAGTCCATCTATATTCTTCGCGCCAATCCTGCATATTCACTGTGGTCTTTTCACCATTTTTTTCTAATGCCCAGTGACCACATTTAAGGAGTTATAAGAGAAATATTGTGTGTGTGTGTGTGTGTGTATGTGTGTGTGTGTTTATCGAAGACAATGAAGAAAATGTAAGAAAATGGTAGCGAAGTTCCAAAAAAGGCATAGAACAAAGGAACTTAAGATTCGTATGTAAGTGGTATTTCTACATATACCTGACTTTTCTTGTTAAGAAAACTTGCAAAAACTTTCTCCTTCCCTGCCTCAGTTCATTTATCATGCAGAATAAAGAGTTAACAATCTCCGTCCTACATTTCCCACAGGATTTCAGATCAAATAAATAAAATCAGAGTCTATGCATCAAACTCAGCAAATGTGAAATCATCAGCAAGGTTAAATAATGAATCCGGGACACCAGAAACAATGCTGTCTGGTTATGTTGGATTATGGAGCCATTGATGTTGTTCCATCATTCACTTCTTTGAACTAACAGTTTTGTTCTTAGTGCCAGACAAAATCATAGGATCCTGCCCTCATGCAAGTTATAACCTAGTACTCTCCAAGACATTATTTAAGTAACTACATATCTACGTGAAAGAATAAAAGTAGAAATAAGTTCTCTAATAAAAAGGTGAGATAGTTTGAGAGTATATAATAGTCTGAGGGGCATGAGTAAAGCCTTTCAGAGAAAGTGGAGATGGAGCTAACATGTTCAGAATTAATTCACTGGATGAGGAGAGATGGGAGGAGCTCTCTGTGGAGGTCTGCCCTGTCGTAAAATGAAACATGGTAATTCTAAGAATTCTATTAAAAGACCAGGAGTGCTCAAGTGTATATGAATGTGTGTGTGTGTGTGTGTGTGTGTGTGGTGTGCATGTGTTTTAGGGCAAGAGGAAGATGGAGTGGTAAGTAGGGGTGTTTGTGTGTGTGTGTGGTGTGTGCATGTGTTTTAGGGCAAGAGGAAGATGGAGTGGTATGTAAGTGTGTGTGTGTGTGTGTGTGTGGTGTGCATGTGTTTTAGGGCAAGAAGAAGATGGAGTGGTAAGTAGGGGAGTATGTGTGTGTGTGTGTGAGAGAGAGATGTGTTTTAGTGCAAGAGGAAGATGGAGTGGTAGGTAGAAGCCAGATCATGTAGGGCTTTGTCTGGCATTGTAAATATTTGGAAATTTTCATAATATTGTTTTATGAGTGGTAAAGCTGTAATATTCCCGATTAAAAACATCTGTCTGGCTCCAGTATACAAAATAAATTGGAGTTCAGGAGGAACAAAATTAGATAGAGATTGATCATCAGTTAGATTGGTCAACTTTCTAACTGGAAGCTCTACTTCATCCAAAACACACTGTTATTACAGTAGTGCTTCAAATATAATAGAAGGACTGCTGTATTCTTAGCTATGGATTCAATATCTGTAGAATAAGCTTGTTTGACTTCACTTTGCTCATGGTACTTTTAAACGCCTCTTCAGAAAAATTGAGTAATGTTTTTCCATCACAGTTTTTTTCTAGAGTAGCCGTAAAAGGATTTCAAAGTTTTGGTTTCAGAAAATTTATTTCTAATCTTTTCCACCTTTGCTCTTGTGAATAACAGAAGTAGATGCAAAATTCAGTTGTCCCTCATGTGTCTAATCCTAGGATCTCTGGGAACAGCACTGCAAGGCAGGCAATAGAATTCACTCCAATCCCCAATTCTGCTTCTCAGCTTTTCTTTCTTTTACATCAACATGCCTCTGTTGTCTAATAAATAATGGCTGAAAAATGTCTGTGCCTTTATGTAAACATATTTTGGCACTTCAGGAAGATTTGAGAGTATATGTTTATTTCAAATTTTAAGACATTCCAGATGTTTTCCTTTAGTGCAGCAGTTCCCACCCTTTTTGGCACCAGGAACTGGTTTCATGGAAGACAATTTTTCCACAGACCATAGTGGGGGATGGTTTGGGGGTGATTCAAGTGCATTGTATTTATTATGCACTTTACTTCTGTAACTATTACATTGTAAGATATAGTAAAATAAATTTTACAACTCATCATAATGTAGAATCAGTGGGAGCCCTGAACTTGTTTTCCTGCAACTAGAGGGTCCCATCTGGAGGTGATGGGAGATAGTAACAAATGTTAGTCATTAGATTCTCATAAGGGGTATGCAACCTAGATTCCTCACACGCACAGTTCACAATAGGGTTCACACTCCTATAAGAATGTAATTCCGTCACTGGTCTGACAGTAGACAGAGCTCAGGCGGTAATGCAAGTGATGAGGAGCAGCTATAAATACAGATGAAGCTTCGCTTGCTCAATCACCGCTCACCTCCTACTGTGCGGCCCAGTTCCTAACAGGTCAGGAACCAGTATTGGTCCATGGCCCACAGGTTGCAGGCCCCTGCCTTAGTGAAGAGACAGCATAAGTGAATGTAGTCAAGGGAAAGAGAATTGCAGAATGTGAAAACTGAGAACACATGTGTTGGAGATAGGACAGGGGAAGAATCTTTGGAGACTCGGTACCACAGTTGCCTTCTTTATCTTGGAGGGAACATCCATTTACAGCCTCTCATTTCCAGCTATCCTTTCACTCATGCATGTCCTTTTCTGTTCCACTAGGACCATGTTGAAGTTCTACCAATGGAGTTCAACTCTTTGTATATAATGACTGAAGCCTGGACTATCTGGGATCACTATATTCTACCAAGGTTATAGCCTTTGAGTAAACATTCACCAGCCACATTAGCTTAACAAAATCTGGTGCTCCATGGAAATACAGAATTTGCAGCTCAGTTGCTCACATAGTTCCATATGGATTGTAGACTGAGAAGCATCTGTCACATTTATTGTTTAGATTTAGTTTCCTACAGTACCTAGCACAGTTACAGCCATATTAGAGCCATGTCACATACTGGTACATGAATATATAAAATAAATACACCTTTGCTAAATAATCTAAAGAAATGGACTGATACATGAAGAAGAGTTTTTAAATTTGCAACATGGAGAGCTGAGAACTCAAAACACATTTAGTAGTCATAAGAATGACAGGTTGTCTATCACATTTAAAGAAAAATGAGGTGATCTTTTGCCTCATTTAAAAAAGTCAGTTCCTATGTTTCTTTTTGTGTTACTCATTGATGGTAAGTGCACAGGGCCTATTAAAAGCTAGAAAATCAAGCAGTCATTTGTCTGCCAAGTGCCAAAAGTATTATTTGGTTGACTTGTTTCACAAAATTGAGTAGTCCGAGCTGGCAACTTTTTCTTAAAAGGCCAGATGGTATTATTTTAGGCTTTGAGGGCCATCTTGTCTCTGTCACAACTACCCAATGCTCCCATTGTACTGTGAAAACACACATAGACAATATGCAAATGAATGACTATGGCTGTGTTTCAATAAAATTTTGGTTTACAACAACAGGCTACCCTAAACACTGGCCATAGCTGACCTCTCAACTAGTTCAATTGCAACAAAAATCAACCCATATAATGTTTAATTGGTGCTTTTTGTGTTATATAAAAAGTAAGACACACTTTTTAGCTGTAAAAGTTTATTTTAAAATACTATATAGGCTGGGTCAAATGCCAGTTCAAGAGAGTCCATGCTAGGGTTTCAATACTGTTGGGAGAATGATAAGGAATCCAACCTCAGATAGATAAGAGGTGGAGAAGTCCAAGTGTTTGCAAATGTTTTCAGTCCTCCTAAGGAAAAAGCATTTAAAACGTCAAGTCCAGTCATTAAAGTCAGAGCCATGAACCACCAAATGTCTTGAGACACGTACATAGTCAAACAAATACCAACAGGGAGCTGCTCAGGGTGAAACAAGATGGGTGTAGAGCTGCTGCCATGCTCAGCTCTCAGTTGTCCATCTTCCTTATTTATCTGTGGTCACAAATATGGTATAGGTTTTGGGAAGACAATTAAAAAAAAAGGAACAAGTTTATTAGATGAAGGATTTATATGTACTTTCTGTTTCCCTCAGTCTTTGCTAGTTCACCTTGCAGCACATACCACAGAAATTTCCCAGGACACTCTCTCTACCATCCAGATGCTTGAAGTCTACTTTATAAGATATGTCTAATAAATATGAACTAGTCAAACACATATCATGCTATCTTGGATGATCCAGAAGGATGCTCTACACCAGTGTTTCTCAAATTGTAAAGCACATACAAGTTACCTGGGAATCTTGGTCTAGTGCAGATTATGAATTGATAGATCTGGGGTGGGGCCTGAAATACTTAATCTTTATCAAGCTATCATGTGATGATGATTCTCTTGGTGCGTGGACAACACATGAGTTTCAAGCCTCTAAGCAATTTTAGAAGACATCAGCAATGGCTGTGTGGTCAAGAATTTCTGGACTAAGTGAGAATGGAGCTATGCTAGGAAACAGGGATTCATATTCAAATGCCTTACAACAAAAATGTGGTGTAAATGGGTATATCAGGATAGATGTGATAATAGGAAGTGATCTGACACTGAGCTGAATCTGGTATCCGCTGTTGATCAGTTAGGTGTTCAGGTAATCAGTTAGAAGAAGGAGCCAAAAACTAAAAGTAACAATAAGACTTTTCTCACCTATTCAACAGTGCAAGCCAAAGTGGGGGGAAAAAAGAGAAGCACAGGTCCCTCAGTGTTCTATTCTTCTATATGAAAGGACACTGGGCAAAGGGTCAGGTGGATCAGCACAGACAAGAGGAATAATTTCATTGCCAAAGAACAAGAGGCTCCTTCCTTTTCATGGGGGGTAGAAAGAAGGGGAAGGACTAAGAATGGAAATGTACTAAGTAACAATAGGAAAAGTGTTGCAGCCGAGGCCCCCATAATAAGGAGGCCTTCACACGAAGGTTCCTGGGCTAGGAATGCAGACATGCATGTACGGATGGCCAGCCTGGGAGCTGCTGAGCCTGAGTTCTGGACTATAATTTCTGGGAGGAAGCTGCAGCATTATCTGCAAAGTTTGGTGCGAGGAGGGCAGATTATCCACATGAAGCCCTCCTGATGAAGCCTTGTAATTGCCTATGGTTGAGTCTGAAAAATCACACACGGGTTTTTGCCTGGGACAGGGCTCCTCACCCATGTCATACCTCCAAGTAACAGCACTATTCAATTTCACCAATTGTTGCCAGGAAGGAATTAGATCTTCCTTTTTTTTTTTCAAGAGATGCCAAGAAGTTATATTTATCTGTGGAATTCTTTGATTTTCAAATCTTGACAATTATTTCTTAAGATGATTGTTCTTATTTTCTAACACTCTGAACTCATAACATGTTTTTCGTTATCCTGATTCAGGCTGAGGGCCACCAGTTTGCAACTTCTGCCTGAAAGGAAAGTAGAACTTGGCTGGAAGACAGAATTATGAAGAGACCAGATATAGAGTGAGAAAGAAAAAAAAAAGTACATCCTTTGGGCTGAGCTATTTCTAGCATGAAAACAGGCCAACTTATTTTTTATTTATTTTATCTCCTAATTGATTCCATATTATCAGCCCCTGGACCTTCTCAAAGCTGCCATGTTTTCCACACTTGAGTAGGAGATTTGTCCTCAGGCACAGAATTTCTGGGCCAGTTCTTGCTAAAATGTCACAGTTTTCATAGTTATAATTCATCACACTCAAGCACCCATGGAAACAATTGTCCACAACATGAACTCAGAGATCCAAAGTAAAAATGTTTTTCTCTGCCATAATAAACATCTCCTTGTGGAACTGAAGATTAAAGGGAGACATTTATTTTACTAGGCTATTGACTTTACTATGGGGTACCTGAAATTCCCAGGGTGACTCACAAAGAAGTGACAGTGATATGTTTGTGTCTCTTTAAATATGTACCATTGTGAGTGTCAAGCTGCAAAGATAAATCTTTCTGAGGAATAATAGGAGACTTTCTGCTCTGGAAATGAATGGGCCTCTGGATGGCTATTTCCCAGGCTCCAAATATAAGGGCAGTTTTTGTCCACCCATTCCTTCTCTGGCATACAGATGTGCCAGTGCCTCTGCTGTACTGCTGCTCCTCTCTTTCCTCCCGCAGTCCCACTGACCACACAATCTCAGGCTCATCACTGCATTTAGCAATCATAGCATCCGCTTTCAAATTGGTCTCTGTCTCCAATGTCTCCCAATTCAAATTAATTCCGCACATGATGTAAAATCCTATTTTAAAATATTTTAGCTTTAATTTTGTCTTCAACATATTCAATGAAATAAATTTGAAGTCAAATTAAATTTCATTTAGTTGAAGATTAATTTTTATTTTTTTAAAAAAGGAAAATAAGTAGATTGTCATTCAAGGCTGCCCCCGTCTCCATGATTTGATCTATATCTATTGCCAAGTTTTTTACTGCCTACATTTTTCAGGGTTATAGTCTCAGCAGAAAGGCCCTTAGCATCAAAACCATAATCTAACTCCACTTGGAAGTTTTTCTTTGTCCTCTTCATCCCAATATTAATTTTTATTTTAATTGTTCAGAGATTCCTTAATGTCTGTGGAGTTTTTGTGGTGAAGAAATAGTCACACGACATGCACTTGGTTTAATTTCCTTAGAAATCTATTTAATAGCTAGCATGTATTTATCTATTAAGCTATTCATAATATAACATTCATTAATATATTAAATAATCAAAATCCAAATATTATTCCAACACTACACAACTCATCCAAATTAATTAATTAATCACAATGAATTTTCTTGAAGTCAAAAAGAAAATTATAGACTAATTTAATCAGATGTTTCTAAAAAATTTATTAAAATAAAAGCTTTACTAACTTTAAACAGAAAAAAGAAACAAGAATATTGGAATAATTAAAACTTACTAATGTACTTATAATTAAACAAATTATAAAATTTACCAACTTCTAAGATTTAATTATTTATTCATAATTCCTAATTTTATTATTATTTTTATTCTGCTTATTTTCAAGGCTGCAGTAATAATAAAAGGTATTCACTCTTATACCTCTTTAGAAGTTCAGTAATCTTTTAGTGGTTAAAAAGAATGAAACCTCAGATTAGCCTGAGATGTTGATTTTTGAGATATGAATGGATTGATTCTTGTTTTAACAGGGATCTTAGTACAAAGTTAAATATTTCTTTTTTTTTTGAGACAGAGTCTTGCTCTGTCACCCAGGCTGGAGTGCAGTGGCTATATCTCAGCTCACTGCAAGCTCCGCCTCCTGGGTTCAGGCCATTCTCCTGCCTCAGCCTCCCAAGTAGCTGGGACTACAGGCTCCTGCCACCATGCCTAGCCAATTTGTTGTATTTTTTTTAGTAGAGATGGGATTTCACCATGTTAGCCAGGATGGTCTCGATCTCCTGACCTCGTGATCCACCCACCTTGGCCTCCCAAAGTGCTGGGATTACAGGCATGAACCACTGCGCCCGGCCAAAGTTAAATATTTCTGAGTTGAGTCATTGATCATTTATAATCATGCATTGCTTGTTATAGCAATTTGAGTTACATTTTCCACATAGATTTAAGTTTTTGAAGCTTATAATTTGTATAATAATTTAATTACTAACTCATTGTCAGGCATTTTGTATATTAACTCTATTGTTCATGTAACTGGAAATTCAAGAATGTTTTCTCAATATGAAGAGTAGGATTCCAGAGATATGTCATCTACTGGTAGATGAGAATTGAAATTCTCTTGGGCAACTCTTACTTAAGAAACCATTGGAAAATTTATTTGGAAACTCAGACCATATCAGTACATCACCATTGATAGCAATTATCTTCCATATCCTTTTTCAACCTGCTTATTTTGTATTATCATTGTTGCTGGGCAGTCAATTATGTTGATCCTAATCTTTATTGTGAAGAATTGACTCACTCACATTCTATTATACCTTTATTACATTCACATTTTATTATAAATCATTTTCACCACCTTTTATATTATAATCACATTTTTGCAAATGAATATCTGTACCCCCATGTTTATTTCAGCATTGTTCACAATAACAAAGACAGGGACCCAACTTAAATGTGTATCAAAAGATGAAGGAATAAAGAAAATGTGATACACATACACAGAGGAGCACTATTCAACCATAAAAGCAGAAATTCTTTCATGTGCTGCAACATGTATGAAACTGGAGATCATTACGTCAAGTGAATAGACCAGGTAGAAAGGCAAATATCACCTACTCTCACTCACGTGTGGAAGCTAAAATGGTTTGTCTCGTGGAAGTAGAGAGTAAAACAATGGTTACCAGAGGATGGGAAGAGCAGTGGGGGAAGGGTTGTGTGAAGAAAGGTTAGTTAATGGGTACAAACATAGACTTAGAGGGACTGAATCAGTTCTACTGACTCATAGCACAGTAGGGTGACTATAGTGAACAACAGTGTGTTGTATATTTGAAAATAGCTAGAAGAGGAAATTTGAAATGTTTCCCAACAAGAAAATGGTAAATATTTTAGATGATAGATATCCTAAATACCCTGATTTAATCATTACACATTATGTGCATGTATCAAAATATCACATGTATCCCATAAATATGTACAATTATTATGTAACAATAAAAATTACTTTCATACTTCATATTAGATTTAACATTTTGCATATTAATATAAGTCAATGATAGTTCATAAACAACTATAAAATTATTATCAATGATTACTGATGCAAAGGTTATCACCTGGCCATTAGAAACTCCTTTGTCTTTTTAGTGCTTTCCTGACATTCCTGAAATTGTCCTTGAATTTTGCCAATCACAAGATATTTCATGCCCATATGAAGATTTCAAGCTACTCTCCAAATGAGATAGGAGTTCCAGCAGGACTGGTTTCACAAGATACAGGTCACAAAGACCTGGCTGATAAAATAAGATGTTGAAAAGAAGCTGGACAAAACCTGCCAAAGGGTAGAATGGTGGTTTCTGGAGGCTGGAGACACAAGGCATGAGGTGCTATTGGTCAACAGGTGTGAAGTGTCATTTATGAAATAAAGATAATTTCTAGAGATACTATGTACAGTATAGTTTTGTAAACCAAAAATAAAATTCTAAGCACCACCCCCCTGGCCTTCCCAACTATCTGAATGGATCACTCCTCTTGGTCAAGGGCTTTCCAAAGTTAACCTGAAAAACTGGTTCAGGCCATGATGGAAAGTGAAGGTTGCACATTCATCACAGATGAACAACATTAACATCAACACAGAGACCATAAGCCTGACAGAATAGACACTATAAGTCTGATAAGAAACATTTAAAATCTATTCTTGCTGATGTCTACTACCTGGAGGCTTCATCTGCATGATAAGATCTTGGTCTCCACATCCTCTTACGGCAACCCAGATATTCCCTGGTATTGATTCCAGGTCTCTAAATAATAACTCTTTTAACCGATTCCCCTTCAGACAATCTTTGAATCTGTCTATGACCTGAAAGCCCCCACTTCCAGTTGTCAAGCCTTTCTGGACAAACTCAGCATACATCTTACATGTATCAACTGACATCTTATATCTCCCTAAAATGCATAAAATCAAGCTGTTGCCCAACCACTTTGAACACGTGTTCTCAGGATCTCCCGGGGGCTGTGTCCTGGGCCATTGGTCACTTGTTTTGCCTCAGAATAAACCTTTTCAAATATTTTACAGAGTTTGACTCTTTACTTCAACAATTTCTATAGTTTACAATACTGTACCGTACACTTAAAAATTCACTTAGGGAGTAGATCTTATCTTGTGTTCTTATCACAGAAATAAAATAAAATAATAATAATAATATAGAGGAGACTTTTGGAGACAATGGATATGTTTATGGCATTAATTGTGGTGATGGTGTCACAGATATATATTTGTGATGGTGTCATAGATAATATATTTTTCTCCAAAATCATCAAGTTGCACTTTAAGTATATACCAGCTTTTTGTACATCATTTGCACCTGCACAAAGTGTTTGCCCTCCGGTACTTCTCTCAGCAGCTTGATGGTTGTAGCCTAAGGAGGCTGTAGAAGATACCAGGAATGACGGCTAATCAGGAGTTAGGTGCAGCTGATATCAGAAGCTTTCTGAAGAGTGCAATGGCCCAGTACTTTCATGGGCTTATTTTTCATATCAGAACCCTATCAGATATTACATTTATCCTCGCATCAATAGATTTTCCATACTAAGGACATTCCCATCAAATTTCTCACATTTATGGAATGTGAGAAAAAGTTTGCTTTTGTGAATGAATAACAGAAAACCAGATGGTTGATATGTGTTATTATATGACACCCATAAGCATACATAAAATCATGTATCCAGTGTCTAGAATTGTACTCACCACATATATAAATGCTCAATCAATATTTATTGAATAATTGAATAATAAAAAGTGAGAGAGGTTACCATGGAGAGTTAGGTACACAATTTTCTTGTTTTTTCTACACTTCCATTTCCATTATGGTAAAATGAAAATAATAATAGTGTTGATGCCGGTGGGCTGGAGAGGTCCCCAAAAGCTGATGGGACCTCAAATCCAGCTGGTGTCCAGTCTTTTGACACTGCTGCAAGAAGGAATACAAGGAAGAGTCAGAAAATCATGAATGTACAAAGATTTATTGAAAAGCAAAAAGTATGCCAATGAGAGCGTGGGAGTACTCAAGAAAGGGTCATGCAACAGGGTTTAAGGCTGCTACCTTTATGGATTTCTTCAACCAAGGAGTGAAATATTCATGAAAATTCCTGGAAAAAGGTGGAGACTTCTCAGAACTATGGTTCTACCTATTTATACACCAAATATGTGTGTTCTTGGAGCCATTATGGTGCTTGAAGTGTGTGATTTAGCATATAATGAGGTCCTAGGGGAAACCTAAGTCAAATCTAACACTATGTTGAGTCTAGTTGCTTTTAGCCAGCTTGGTCCACACTGTTTTTCAGGGTCTTATCAGCCCATAGCCTCTAGTAATGTGAAACTACTGTCTGGAATTTTAATTCTCTGACCACCCTTTATTATTCCTGTGTCAGTGTTGCCTCATAGATTGTTGTAGGGATTTAAAATATCCATACATTTCAATTTCCTTTTAAATAGAAATAACTTCGTTTTGGTTACCCTCTGTTATTTTTATTAACATCACCATAATCATAAGCTCTTCCTCATGAAGAAGGAGCTGGAAAGTTCTGGAGTAAATCATTCCTTAGAATTTATCACATAAGTGCCTTTGCCAGTCCTGGACTGAGCTTACACAGCTGCAAGTCTTGTTAGGGATTCAGACTTCTGCTCACCTGCCTGTCTGCTTCTATAGAGGAGAAGTCCATCCTTTTGATGTTAGAACACTATTGAAGATGATAATCACCCTGCACTGCCTTCTCTACAATTCAGGTACTATTTTCCTGGAAACACATTCTCTTCTCTCTAGAATATATCTTAACCACAACCGACTTCATTTACTGTTGGTGAAAGTTAGGCCAGTCTTACCTGAGGTTGGAAGAAGCAGCTTTCATACAGGCTGTGGATTTGGTGGTTCCTGTGAAGGAAATAAAAAATATTTTATCTCCAAATTTATTTCTTTTACATATTTTGAAATGGCTGCCTCAAGGCCAGCAGACTGAGGTGGGGGAAATTTGCATCTGTAGAGAATCTCCATTAATGTGACCATGCCTCCCTCTTCTGTGCCTTTCTGGTTCTGGGAGAGATTGATAATTTGACACTTTAAAAGTCTAAAAAGGAACATTTACCCTCCATTATCTCTGAGGGAGGCTTCATCTACATAGCAAGGCCACCTTTGCTAATTAAGCTTCTTCCTTTCTCTTTCTCATCACCTGTCTTGCCACTGAATTTGTTTAACCAGAATTCAAGCCGTCATTCTTTCTGCCTCAATATAGTGTATAAGCTTCTGTTACTCTTTGAAAAGTTGAATCTTCATTCCAAAGGCTCCAGTTTCTGCACATTAAATCAATTTGTGCACCTTTTCTCCTATTAATCAATTGGTCTCAGGTCAGTGATTTTTTAGCGACCCTTTAGGGGGCCAAGAGCCTCTGGCCCCCACACTTGGAAGCCTCTTATTGAAATGATTTTCTTTATCTGTTGGCTGAATCCCTAAAAATTCAAGTAAGCATAACTTTATCAGTTGCATATGCCATTTAAAATGTAAGCATATCTGAAGGAGAATAAGTGTAACTACTAATTTATCTTCTCTCCTCACTTATTTCCTTCCTCCCACAAATATACATTGGGACACCCTTTTGTGCCAAGCATTGAGGCTTTAGGAGTGTAGAGACAATGGCTGTAACCTCTGTGAGCACAGAAACAAAGATTTTAATAATGACAGAACAGAAAAATGATTGACAAATGTTATAGTAGTGCTTTTTGTAAGATAGCGGTTCAGAGTGGGGAAAGAAGGAAGTAATCAGCTCTTAATGAGAGGTAGTGTAGCATGAAAGGAGGCATGGGAGCACCTCTGCTTGTGTTGGATAAGTAGAATTGCACCAAATAGGCAAGATAGGAGGGGGAGGTTATTCTATGCAGATGAAGGGGTAAGTGCAGAGCACTGAGGCATGAAAGACTACAGCATGCTTTACAACCACAAATCAATAAAAAATGCTTAGGGTATGCATAGTGTGTGTGTGTCTGTGTGTGTGTGTGTGTGTGTGTGTGTGTGTGTGTGAAAGGGAGAGAGAGAGAGAAATGGAGGTTCCAGAGAACCGATCCATGGAAGTCTTTGCAGGCCATGTGAAAAAGTTTCAATTTGATCCTAAAAAGTTTGGTGAGCTATTGATAGATTATAAGTACCGAGATGGACAAACTTATTAATTAAATTATCAATCCTCTTTTATTTATTTTTCTTAGAGCACCGGTTAGTATGCTAAAGACAGCCACCAAGGAAGTGTAAAGTCCAAGAAGAAATGTCCCAAGTATCAACCACACAGACCAACACCTTCTCTTGGCCTTGGGATTACAAAGAAAAGAGCACAGCCAAATTGACAAGACAGTCAGGAAATAGATGGGCAATGCTGTGTGAGGGGCACAGTGATCGAAATGTCAGCATCTAATAGAAGCTTGCAGGAAGATGTTGTCAAGTTTATCTTGTTCGGGCATGGAGATCTAAAGTGGATTGTTACGAGAACAATTTTTTTTTGTTAACGAAAAAATTAAGCAATTTTTTATATCATGTGTACCACATTTTTGATGACAACGGTCTATTATTTATACTGATAACTAAGTAAAAGTCTAACTATTCTGCTGGTTTCATTGGCTGGTTTGGTTGTTTTACAGTAAAAAAAAAAAAAAACAAAAAAACTTGTGTGGAATCCCCAGTTTTTAAAATGTCAAGAAAGATACCCTGGGACTTTTAAAAGATGGAACTATACCTTGTTTTCACATTCTTCACTTGGCCAACTCCATGAAATAATGCTATCAAATAAATAGCAATTCAGTCAATGGATAAATTTTTAAAATAAAAGTTTTAGTCATATGAAGAGTGAAGACCTCTTCAGTTATTTTAAACAAAGCTTAATATGTGAATAAATTGCTTTCACACTCTCAAAGTGTATAATTAAGCACTGAAGACCAGAGAATGAAGATTTAAATTATTCAGGAAAGATTCTTGGAACTATTTACAAATGAATTACCTGCTCTATGAATCAGTTATACAATACCAAACTTATTAATGCCCCTATTAATACAACCTTTGTCTGATACAAGCAAAAATAATTCATATTTTTACAATACAGTGTCCTACAATAATTCAGCTTGACCAACATTCAAACCTTTGCTCAGCTTGTTGGATTCATGACTTAGCATCACACTCAAAAGACATCTAGGTTCAGTTATGTGCACTGGCCATAGCCAGAATAAGGGGAAAGGCTGCTATGATCTCCAATGTGGATTTAACAAGTTAACTAAGCCTAATGTTGTCCATGTTATATCCGCTGCCATTTTTATCACTATGTGCTCATCTTGCTACCTCCTAAGGAAGAACTGGCAACTTCTTCCTGTTCTCCAAATGGAGATATAGGACTTGCACACAAAATTTACAATGGAAAATAGTGTGTTGTTAATTATACAGGTCATTTATATCTGGGAAAGAAGAAACATATTATGATACATTTAAAATGTCTTACTAAGTACAATTCTTTAATGTTATTTAAAAAATATTAGCATGTTATCTTATATTTTATGCAAATAATCATGTTTTGCTTTAAAATGTGAATTCGCTGCCAAACTTGTGTTCCCACGGTTCCTCAGTTAAAACCCAAAATGTTTACTACAACATACAAAGCTCTCTATTCTTCTCTGTACTCATCATCACTCTAATATCTTATGTTCTAGAGTCATGATTTTTTAATGCTCCAGCCGTACTATATTTTCTTCAACTCCTTCAATTCAACAAGCTGTCACCCTACAGGGCCTGCACATACGCTGTTCACTCTGCCTGAAAATTATCCCTGTACACATCACACTCTCATTTGCACCTATTCATCTTCCACGTCTAAAATCAAACTTTAATTTCTCAAGGCAGCCTTCAATAGTCTGGAAAGGAAAGCAGGGTCCTGATGAATTAAGCTAAGGGGCTTAGATTTTACTCTCAGGCATTTGCATCCCTGTAGGAAAATTCCTATGACTGAATGTCTGGGCAGCTCCTGTAGTGGCCAACAGCTCTCAAGTTGAAGAGAGATGGAACCAGGTTTAAATCCAGCCTGCACTCTCTATTATTAGTATGCTGCAGGAAATTCATAAACTCTCTTGAATGCCTTTTCAGAATCTCTCTCCAATAGCCAGTTGTTATTTATTATTATTATTTTTAAAAAATACGTGAGGGTTAGATGAGGTCTAGGGGTCAGGGATAAGACCAGAGGAGGAAAAATCATTAAGATATTTGTGATTGGCTGAAAGGAATTTGTGTGTTCATTTTAGACATTTAAGCCTCCTGGTAAATTTTTGTTAAAATTGTTGTTGGGGAAAGGATGGCACAAGTTCTTACCACTCATTTCTTTTCCCTGCCTAGCTATTTATTTGAGCTGGCAACACTGAAAGGGCAAGGGCCAATAATTTAGATTCACTATTACCTCATTTGACAAAGCCATGCTTCTAAAACTCAGTGTGTATTAGAATCATGAGAGTTTCTGGTTCAGTAAATTTAGGGCTTCCGAGAATGCCTATGTTATCAAGCACTCCAACTTTTACACACACTGTACTTCCAGAAATGGTCACTCCTGTGATGGAGGAAAATATGTTCATAAATGAGGAATAGTGTAGATCTCTTTCTCATTGCAGAATGAAAGTAAGAGATGGGTTGTCAGAGGCCAGCAGTCCTTTTCACAGCTGAGAAAAATACATTCAAGAACACATCAAGGATCCGCTTAGGGTTACATACCATGTTAGTATTAGAACCAGGCCCAGGGTGCTGATATCCTACTTCCCAGCTGGTTTTCATTCTATTTTACCAATTTTCCCAGTTGTCTGAAGACAATTATTTATATGCTCATAGAGCTCCTTACCACATCCTCACCTATGAGAATGACACAGATCTCTGGCATTATTGAGGACATATTTAGAGACATATTTAGAGGGCATATTGAGAGACCCTAGAGACAGCTAAGGTTAGAAATGTTGATAAGAAAGGGTCTATATCCTATGGACAAAGAAACACATTAAAAATCAAGTATCCATGCTTTCCTATGCTAGGAGGAGAAAATTCAATATCTAATGCAGATTCAACGGTTGCTTTATTTTATAGAGAAGGAAGAAGATTTGCGTGCTTTCCCTTTGTTTAATTTTGGGGTCATAGCACTGCAAACTCTCAGAAACTCTTGCTTAAGTCACTTTCAATGTCTTATTGGCCATCCTGGGGCATTTTGACAGTCTTCATTGAACCAGAGAGAAACGATTGTCTAAAAAGAAACCCCCACGGTATTGTTGTAAGGCTGTATTGCAGTATTCATGGCAGAGTTTGTATGAGCATCTGATTACATGCTGCAAAAGCCACAGTGCTTCCCTGATTCCCTTGTGTGTTTTCAAAATATTTCTTCAGCCTCATACAGCAAGCCAGTTACCATCGCTCACAGCTAAATTGGTCATATACTTGACCTTCACCGTGTTCCAAGGCTGCCTAGCTACTTTCCACAACATTCTTGTATACATACTACATTATTATGAAAAGATGAGGCCAATTTCTTACCACATAATCACCTAATTTAATACTTCCACTAAGAGAAGATATCGATTCTCTGCTTACGACGTATAAGGTTCTGGGGAATGTGTTTTATATACATTTCTTCATTTAATTATCACAAAGCCTCCTGGGGTGTCATTTCCTCCATTTTAAAAGGACCACACTAAGTCACAGAGAGGCAAAGAGGTTAACTAACTGTGTAAGATTCACATCCAATGGTTGAAATAAATATGTTTTGCCTTGCCCGATGTTAACATGAATGAAACCATGAAGGAGAGACGCAGATCTTAAAGTTGACGCTTGCCAAAGTTGGAAAGTAGGCAGAGGACTTGGTAGATGAGATCACTTGAGTACTAGAGTATAGTATTTATCTTAGAATGAATTATTGAGCCCTGACTGAATTTATTTGATAAGAGTTGTTGGTTAGGTCATGGCCATCCACTGATCTAAGACAAGATGGTCAGATCTGGTTGAGATATAACAAACAAGAAAACAGAAACCTTAGAAAATGTTAACTTTGAAACAGAATATCAAAAGTCACTACCCTTCAACTTTGTTTTTCTCTTGGATTGTGTTTTTATATTCAACCAACAAACAAAGGCTGCCTATGACTGGAAACTTTGCACTAAAAATGTTACATTTCTTTTTCTCTTTGTCAGGGCTTTTTTTTTTTTGGCTATAAAATGCAATACTTTATTTTCTCTTCTCTTATTTCTCCCTAACATTTTCATTATATTTTCCTTTAGAAACAATATAATTACTAAACAGCATTACCTGAAATATGTGTATATAAAATTATAGCATCAGTAGTCAGGATCCTTGCTGTTGTTAAGAGGTTAATATTGATACATATACAATGGGTTGTTCAAGAAATATGATAAAATAGAAAACTATTTCACAAATGATTATCTACTGTTGTTTGAGTTTTGTTCTAGCTTTGGATATGAGCAAAGAAATTATATGAATGCTCTATGATAGTATTTTATCTGAATTATTTTGTACTCATGTTGATTCAGGTATTACATCAACATGTTTCAGTTTCAATATTTAAACTTAATTATACACTCCAAAACCACTGACAATATAAAAGTTTTCTTGTCAAAGCACCAGATATGAGTATTTTAAAAGGTTTATTTCCATTATGTATATAATCCTGCTTATATTTGGACATTTCAAATTATAGGTGTAGTGGAAGGCATTTTTTATTACTCTGTGCTTTGAGAATTCTGGATATTGTAATACACCCTATTAGAATCGATGTATCATTACATATTATAGATAAACTCATATACCACTAATGTGAGAGGAGTTATAAAATTGAAATAGAATAACAATTTTTTCTGGTTTCTCTGGTGCTTTATGCACTTCATTTACTAAAAACATAAAATGGTCAGTAAAATATTTACTAGGACTCTGAAAGTCTCTAAAGGCATAAATTGAATTTTGCAGTATCTCTAGTTTTCTATAAAGCACCTTGCTTCACAATGCAACAGTCTGGATTTTTTTTTTTTTAATTTGAGAATGTGTGTCTTTTGAGGCCATTCTACCTCAATTCAGCAGTAAAGACTATTCCCATTATTTATTTAAACTGTTAAATTTTTCTGTGTGGTTCACTGATAAATATTACAGGATATACAGCAGCTGTGCAATTATTTTATATAAGAGTTTATAATACTTTACATATTTAGTTACAACAGAGACACTGTTCTATATACTTCTTAGACAGCAGGTCTTTATAAATTGAGAAGTTTCCAATATTTTTCCAATATTAGTAGTGTCTGTGCCATTATTGTATCTTCCTCTTTCATATTTTATTGATTCTCCCTCCCCCACAATAACCCAGGGTCACTTGTGGTCCCCATTCCTCTGTCTCTTGTGTTGGAGGATACATGACACATTGCTTAATGGAATGAGGATCCAAAGCTTTAAATATGTCATGGCTTTCAGAAGGCATAATTAAAAGGAGGAGCTAGAAGAATAGTGCAATCCAATAGAAAATAATGTATTTTCAATCATACAGTTTTCTGGAATCATTTGGAAAATGGCTGAGCAGCACTACGAAGTTGTTTAATCCTTTATGCTCATCTTACAGGTTGGCTGTCTATCCCACCAAAGGTAAAAAGCTAGTCCCAGAAGCTAATAGTTTGACATCATGCAGCTCATTTTATTTCTAATATCTAACACGTGTTCATTTGATTTTATTTGTTAAGCAAAAGTAATTCATGCTCATTGAGTTTTTTAAATCTCTCTTGTCAAGGTAAAATGTTTCTATTTCTCCCTTTATTTCCATACCCTAAAGGAATTGTTATAAACCTATAAGTGGAAATGCGAAGTTAAGTTATATTTTCTTTTTTAAAACAACTTTTTAATATGTTTCTCTTTAACCCAATTCTTGATGAAAGCTCAATTAGTAATACTTAGTTATTAACATTAATGTACTTGTATGGTCTTTTCTGACATATCATTTTATTTTGTCTTGTTATGTGAACCGAGATTTTCAGAAACGATTACTTATTTTGATGTTTTCTTTCCAAGAAATATGGCCATTTAGCCCCTAGAGTGGATCAGCTCCACCCATTAGTTTTCTTAATCTCTTCCAGGAATTCCTGTGAGATAGCTTCTAGTAAATAGCAGTTACTAGGACATGCACTGCTTCAACTGAGTTACGTAATGCAGAACTCAGGGAAATTTTTATTCACATCACTGTTTAGTGGCATATTTTCACTTGAAGAGATAAGAAGAAGACAAAATGATCTTATTAAATAATGATATTTCAAACATATTCTCCAGGAACGAGTTTATCCCTAAAGGATATTCCATGTAATCAAACCATTTCCTTGAGCTTCTCTAATTTCCTAAAATAAAAACAGCAAAAGAAAAAGAAGAGAATTGGTGTGGGAACACCAGTGCAGTATAAATGCCCTCCTTCTCTTATGTCACGGATCTCATTTCCTTTTTACTCCATAGGGTAGTTGCATGTTCTGAATGTTACATGCTTCTCTAATCTTTGAAGCTTTTTGCGTATGTGGCTTTGCTTAGAGTACCATTCTACAGAGTCTGCCATCCAGTACCTGTACACATCATAGTCTTCCTTCAAAACCAATGTGGATTTTAAATCATTTGGGAAAATACATTTGATTCCTACTCTCTGGCTTCTAATCAGAATAAACTACCTCTCTTTTTTTGTGTCATCTTGGCCTCTTGTAGTTATATTCACAAGAATATTTATAATATTGTAAATAAGACCTTCTTTGTCTATTTACTTTTGTTTCCCCTGCTAGACTATATGCTCCGTGAGATAGTAAATCTGTTATTCATGTATCTATCTCCAGTTTCTTGAGCATATCTGCTGAATCAAAAATTATATGGACAGATAGAAAAATTAATTATAATCCATAAATTGTTTTCCTTTTGATGTACTCAATCTAAAATTGGCATTCCTTTATAATCAGAATAGATCTCGAGTAAAAATGGGAGAATTTCCTCAGGATTCTGACTTCCTTGGAATACACAATATATATCAAGATCATGAGTTGTTATCTAATTTCTTGTTCTCTGATATACCTCTCTGTACTAATTTTTTGGTAAAAAATAATTAGACACTCTAGCAAGAAAAAAAGGTATATTTACAGAAAAATGTGGCAGCAATTATTATGGTAAAATCGTTACTTAAACAGAATTTCATTTGGCACTTTTTTGAGCTAAAATCTGTTGAAAGAGCATTATTCAAGGGTCAGAGCCAGGAAAATTCAAGCAATCAACACACTCAACTGGCAGCTAATTTAACACCAAAATTAATTCCTCATAAACCTTCCCAATATATACTTTCAACTTAGATCTGTAGGTCTTTATATCTGTTACCTATTGACACAGTAATGCTGTTTAACAGACCATCCCAGATAACCTAGTTGTAAAAATATATAAGCACCTATTTAGTTCATTTAAGTGGGAGCTGCCTGGGCTGGACAGGGCTCATTCATCTCTCTTGAATCAGCTGCAGATGGTGAGATATCTCTACTGATTTTGCCGGGCTCTTTCTCATGTTTGTAGGCTAGTTGGCTCATAGGTGTTCTAGGAAGCCTGTGCTAGGAAAAAAGAGAAAGATAGATTCTGCCTCATGTGTCTCATCCCACAGTCAGCTAGCTCAGGCATGTTCTCATGGCAAAAACACAGGAGCAAAAAGAAGCAGAAGTATGTCAACACTTTTTCAGTTCTCTCCTTAATCATAACTGCTAAAATCATATTGTGCCCAAAGCAAGGCACATGGCTGAAATCAGAAACACGGAGCAATATTGTGACTACAAAGTCATACTGCAAACATGAGGCTACAGGGAACGATGAAGACTCAGAGCTGTTAGTGTCATCAATATACTGTGGTTTGCCTTATGCCTATGATTATTCACACTCTCTTGTATGCACCATATGCTCACTTTTATCCCAGAATCTGACACCTCATCTAATTACATCACTTTATGTCCAAGATCTTCTCAACCACAAAAGCATTAATCAAGTTTTTCCAAACCACCACCCACAGGCTGCATGGGGCACAGGATGGCATTGAATGCGGCCCAATACAAATTCATAAACTTTCTTAAAATACTGTGAGATGTATGCACAGACCTTTTTATTTTAGCTCATCAGCTATTGTTAGCCTTAGTTTATTTTATGTGGGATCCAATAAAATAATGCTTCTTCCAATGCGGCTCAGGGAACCCACAAGATTGGACACCCTTGGTAGATGATAATTCCCTTGATTTAGAGACCACGAACAAAAAGACAAGCTGTCTGTTATCAACGTCTGACTCCATCCACACACACACTTACTTGAACATTCCCTAAAACAATGGTCAAACAGAGACAGGATGATGCAATAAGCACTCACATTTCCCAAAAGAGAAAGAAAGGGAGTCAAAGGGAAGTTGCTGCTTATAATTTTGAAATCCTGCTGAGCAACTGTAACCAAGTTGTTCCATTCTGGATAGGGTTTTCTTGATCAGGTACCACTTCTGTTCCCTGCCTGTGGCTCACAGTTTATTGTTTGCCATGTTCATTGGCTTTACCTTTGGGACATCCTTCTTTGTCCATATTATGTAATAAATGATTGCCCCTGCTCAATCCATATGTTATAATAGTTATAACCCTCAGTGTGATGACATTTGCAAGTGAGGTGTTTGGGAGGTAATTATGTGTAGAAGACATCATGAGGGCAGAATCACCATAGCAGAGCTGGTGTTCTTATAGAAAGAAAAAGAACAGAGATCTCTCACACACACTATGTGAAGATATAGATAGAAAGTAGCCATCTGCAAGTTTCAAAGAAAGCCCTCACCAAGAACTGAATCTGCCTTTGTCTTGATCTTGGACTTCCTGGCCTTTGGAACTGTGGGAAGTAAATGCCTGGTGTTTAAGCCATCTAGTCTGTGGTATTTTGTTAATGCAGTCTTGGCAGGATAACACAATTTATTAGTTTCTATGCCATCTAAGGAGGAAATGGGAAAATATGCTCTTTGAAAAGAATTCCCAGCCCACTTCTACCAGAATGTTATTGAGATCCGAGAGCTCTTTTCACCCATTTAGAATATTTTTTGCCTGTTAGATCTAAGCTGGAGGTACTCTTACTGACTCAGGAACATTGTGTGTTTCTTATGAAATTGAGTCTATTTTATGTGAATGGGTAAAAAAAAAAAAAAGCCACTCCCATACTTGTTTTCCCTATAGGTCTTTCTCACTCATTTTCTTCATTGCTTTTTTAGGCAGGCCAAGTTTCTGTGGGACAATGTCCTTAGATTCCTAGAATCACTTACTTCCAATGGAGAGAACCAATAGACATCGCTTTAATTCCATCCAGGGTCTTAGCAAGGATGTCACAATCAAACTCTTAATTTTGTTTTGGTTCTGGAGGCATCATTCTTTGAGACTCTTTTGCCACTTTTCAGTTTTTCTCTAAGCTAAAAGGAGAAAATATTTTTTCATTACAGGAAATGTTGGCCCTTATACATTTTATCTAATTTCTATTGGCAAATTTTCGTTATTTTCTGAGTTCATCTCTTTCTTTTTTTTTCTTTTTTTATTTTTATTTTTTTTTTATTTTGAGACAGAGTCTTGCCCTGTCGCCCAGGCTGGACTGCAATCGCGTGATCTCGGCTCACTGTAATCTCTGCCTCCCGGGTTCAAGCAATTCTCCTGTCTCAGCCTCCCTAGTAGATGGGACTACAGGCACCCGCCACCATGCCCAGCTAATTTTTATATTTTTAGTAGAGATAGGGTATCACCATATTGGTCAGGCTGGTCTCGAACTCCTGACCTCAGGTGAACCGCCTACCTTGGCCTCCCAAAGTGCTGGGAATACAGATGTGAGCCACCGTGCCCGGCCAAGTTCATCTCTTTCTTATGGGACCTTATCACACACGTAGGTAGTAAAAGTTAGCTGCACTTTCTTTTTTTTTCTTTTTGAAAAGGAGTTTCTCTCTTGTTGCCCAGGCTAGAGTGCAATCATGTAATCTCAGCTCACTGCAAACTCCGCCTCCTGTGTTCAAGCAATTCTCCTGCCTCAGCCTCTTGAGTAGCTGGGATTACAGGCATGTGCCACATGCTCAGCTAAATTTTGTATTTTTAGTAGAGACTGGGTTTCACCACGTTGGCCAGGCTGGTCTCGAACTCCTGACCTCAGGTGATCCACCCTCCTCGGCCTCCCAAAGTGCTGGGATTGCAGGCATGAGCCACTGCACCCAGCCGTAGATGTACTTTCAGCACTGCCTTGGGAATATCCTTCGTCAAATGTAAAAATGCTGTGGTTATGTTTTTATCTTCTATTATCATCAGCAAAAGTGCTGCCAAATATATCTCCACCACGTAACTCGGGTCACTATATTTCCATTCTGTTATATGTGTCCTCAACACTCTTAAACTATTTTAAGAACTTCCTCACCATCTGGTCCCAAAACTAATGCCACTTATTTTGGGATTTCACTGTGGCAACATCTCACTTGTCTTATCAGTGTGTATATTACTTATCTATTGCCACAATGTTACCACATACCAACAATCCCAAAACTCAATGTTATAAAATATAAGTCAATTTTTGAGTCATAAGTCTGAAAGTTCCTTTTTGCTCACATGTCCAGTGTTTCATTGTTTCTGTTTTTAGTGGTTGTTTCTCTTTGGTCTTGGCTGGTTATTTTACGCATCGAAGTTCAGCTAGGCAGATTTGCTAATCTTGGTTGGGCTTTTCCGTATATGTGGAGATGGTTTGATTGTTGAATGACCTAGGATAGCTTCTGCTGGGACAAATGAAGTGACTTGGCTGTGCTCCATATACCTTATTGTCCAGCAGGCTAGTCTAAGAATAGTCTTGCGGTGGAGACAGAAGTACAAGAGTAGAAATAATCAAGGAAATGTTTTCAAGCCTTGGTAGTGTCAAAACTCTCAACATTTCATTAATCAAAGTCAAAAGACTAAATTCAGAATTAGTCAGCAAGTAAATAGATTCTACCTCGGTGGGAAGAGCTACAAAGTCACACTGCAAAGCAAGTAGATATATGGAAAGGTACAAATCTGAGTCACTAATGCAGGATTACACAACAGCTTTATCCCTCTTTAGTCTCATAGAATTAGCTAATCAACTAGACTATTAAGGGGGGATGAACTCTTTCTTAAAGCAAGCTCACTCACTTCACCTGTTAGAAAAATCTAAATCAAAGTGACTTGAACAGAAGTAAAGTAGATGTATCATCCAGTATTGATGGGAAGTTCTGTGGTAAGATAATCTTTAGAATTAAAGATTAGTGGTTCGTCAATCTCCTCAAGGATCTACTTTTTTAGTTTTTTTCTTCTGTATGTCTCTGCTCTGTTGGTTTCAGCCTAAAACCAGTTGCCATGTTGGTCAGAATATCAGAAACTTCAGAAAACTGGTTAACAGGTTTCCCTAGTCACACACAGGAAGAGAGTGAGGGAATGCTTCCAAAGAAGTTTACAAGCAAGAGAATGGAATAGATTCCCCATGCTCTGGTTTAGGTCCTGTGTTCACTCCCTAGTTGTAACCAAGAACAGGTCCCACTTATAACATTTCTTGGAGAGCTTAGCGTGGAGTCAAATCTCTGAAAGTAGGGGTGAAGAAATATTTTTAATAATCACACCGAAGAGATGCTTTTTACCCCAAAGCTTTAGAAGTATTGATTTTGTGAGCATGCTGGACTTATTTTGGGTTTCCACTGGATTTCTTTTGGGTTTTGCTCAAAAAACTAAGGAATATACCTTAACTGATAGAGAAGACCCCTTCTTTCCTTATATAGATATAACACACTTATTTTAGCTCATTAAAGGTTTTATTTTTCTTTCCACACTTTTTTAAAAAAAAATGTTGCTAAGAAAACATTTTTCTTTAATATTGCCTTGTCATTTTTTTCTAATCTATAATGCTTTTTATGGCTATGGAGAACAATTATAGTGAAATCCTTCTTCATTGCAAATCATTTATGAAACCTGCTTAAGTCCTGTCGAGTGTGGATTTATGGATTGCCAAGTCATTTGCTGTGGTTTCTGTAAAACTCAGGATAGATTTGACCATATTCGATGGTTACAGTATTTCAAACAGCAAACTGCTTTATATATTTTGTGTCAGAATAGCTTCATTTTTGTCAAACAACTTAAGAGTTTTGTTAATTTTATAATATCAGCATTTAGATATAAGTCCCTCATTATTGTTCTGAATAAATCTGCCCATAACAATACTGAAAGATATTTTGTATTTTCCATGTATTTTGGAGTATATAATTTGCCTTTGTAAATATATTAATCACACATAAAAATGCACACACTCAGAGATCTACACATGCTACTTGAAGAAGGTTTTACATGAACACGTAAGAACAATATCTATTGACGTCAAATGTCCTAGAAGAACATGCCTTTTTTATCTTTTTTTTTTTTTTTGAGTACCAGTAACTCTCACCTTCATTATTTAATTTAAAAATATTTTTTCAGGCTGGGCATGGTGGCTCATGCCTCTAGTCCCAGTACTTTGGGAGGCCGAGGTGGGCAGATTCCGAGGTCAGGAGATCAAGACCATCCTGGCTAACACAGTGAAACCCCGTCTCTACTAAAAATACAGAAAAATTAGCCAGGCGTGGTGGCAGGTGCCTGTAGTTCCAGCTGCTCGGGAAGCTGAGGCAGGAGAATGGCGTGAACCTGGGAGGCAGAGCTTGCAGTGAGCCGAGATCATGCCACTGCACTCCAGCCTGGGCGACAGCCAGACTGTATCAAGAAAAAAAAAAAATTTTTTTTTCAGAAATATCTCCCACTTGCTCTCCCTGCAATCTCATATATTTATCTCAATTTTGCAGATTAAAAAACTAAGAAGATAAGCACCTGCCCTGTATTTCCTTAGTTTTTACTTCATGTTCTTTTTCCGTTCCAGAATCCAGTGCTTAGGCTCCTAGAATCTGAGTCCTTAGGTGGATCTAGACTGTATCAATTTCTCAGGTTGTCCTTGTTTTTGATGGACTTTCCATATTTCAGCAGTACTGGTCAGATATTTTGTAGAATATTCTTCAATTGGGATTTATCTTATATTTTTCTCCTGATTACTGAGGCTATAGGTTATCAGGAAGGAGACAAAGGAACTGCCATTCCATTCACATTACATAAACTTAACACATATGCATACATTAAGCTAAACATGAGTTCATGTTACTCTCTTTAATTTTTGTCCAGTATATATGGTTCATTGTAGCCTTCTCCATTTGCTTATATCTAACCCCCCATTCCAACAGGGAGAAACCAGGCTGCCACTATCTGCCATGCTTTTACCTGTTCAATCACAGTATACATGTACACTGATTTCAGAATTGTCAACTGGTGCCCCCGTAGGAAACAACTTTATCATCACAGTGCTTATGAATACTTCCTCTTGCCTTTAGTGTTACGGTCTCCCAATTATTTCCAAAGTTCTGTTAGTTACCTCCTTTTTTCTTAACCTCTTTATTGAGATATGACATTCATTTGTAATAGAATTAGACTTTTTTTTGTCAAAGTCTGCATTCCATCCTAGGATACTCCAATTTCCTAAATTATGTTTTTAAATTTGTATACTTTATGGTCCACTCCTTGTTCTATGAGGTTATCAGGGCTGGACAAAAGCATAATATCCTTTATCTGCTACAATAATACCTTAGAAAATTATTTGACGCCCTAAAATATTCTCTTTTTCACCTATTAAAACATCCCCAATCCCCAGGAAACCACTGGTGTCCTTTTCATCTCTGTAATTTTTCCTCTTTTATAACACCACATAATGGAATCATACAGTATGTAGCCTTCCCCACTTGGCTTCTTTCTCTTAGCAACATGCATTTACAATTCCTCCATGTAGTTGCATGATTTATAGTTTATTCCTTTTTATATCTGAATAGTATTTTACATTAATCCAGGCATGTACCTCAGTTTATCCATTCAGAAGATTGTTTATCCATTCACCCACTGAAGCATTTCTCTGTTGCCCTCAGACTTTGCAATTATGAATAAAGTTTCCATAAACATTCATGTGCAGGGTTTATGTGGACATAAATGTTCAAGTGTTTTGGACAATTACCTACATGCATGATTGCTGGATTGTTTGGTAAGACATGTTTAGCTTTATAAAAACACTGCAAACCTATCTTTGATCATGGCTGTATCATTTTCCATTTCCACGAGCATAAATGCAAGTTATTGTTGTTCTGCATGCTTACCGGCAATTGGTATTATCAGTTTCGATTAGTTTTGTTTTGGTTTTGGTTTTTGGACATCTTAGTGGGCATGAAATGGTATCTCATTATTGATATACTTGCGTTTCAATAATGAAATATGATTTGAGCATCTTTTTTATATGCTTACTTGCCATCTGTATTTTTTTTGTGTGAGATGTTCTCCCAGACTTTTTGCCCATTTTTAATTGTGTTATTTTCTTATAGTTGAATTTAAAGAATGCATTGTATTTTCTAGCTACAAATCCTTTATCAGGTATGTAACTGGCAAATATTTTTTCCAAGTGTATAGGTTTTTTTTTTATTCTCTTAACAGAACCTTTTGTAGAACAAAATATTTAGTTTTAATAAAGGCCAACTTACCAAATTTTTCTTTCATTGATTTGCTTTCAATATTATAAGCAAAAATTTATTAGCAAACCCAAAGTCGCACGAATTTTCTTGTATGTTTCCCTATAGAAATATTATATACATTAAGTCTATGATCCATTTTAGTTTTCTTTTTGTAAATCATAAAGTTTCTCTCTAGTTATGTTTTTTTGCATATGGATGGCCAATTTTTCCAGCATCATATGTACATAGTTGTTTTTTCATTGATTTGCCTTTGTGCCTTTGTCAAAAATTAGTATATTATATTGGTAGGAGTCTGTTTCTGGGTTTTCTATTCCATTCCAGTAACCAACAAGTTTATACTTTTGACAACACCATGAAATCTCGATGAAGCTGGCTTTATAGTAAGTCCTAAAATCAGATCATATGAGTATTCTAATATTGACATCCATTGCAGAATTGTGTTGGTTGTTCTAGGTCTTTTGCCTTTCCATATCAATTGAAGGCCCACTTTGTCAATATCTACAAATAAGCTTGCTGAGAGTATGATAAGGATGTGCTGGATCTTTAGATAAAGTTATGAAGAACTGGCATTTTAACAAAATTATCTTCCAATAAATAAACATAGAATATCTGTCCACTTAATTAAATCATATTTGACTTTCACTTGTCTTTTGTCCTTTTCTCCATACATATCAAATACATATTTTATCAGATTTATATGTGTCTTTTTTTTATGTTGTAAAATTTTAAATAGCATATATATTTTTTAATTCCAATTCTTTATTGCTGGTACATAGGAAAGCAACTGACATTTGCATATTGATCTGAGTCTTAAGACTTTGCTATACTCACTTATTAATTCCAGGATTTTTATGTTTTTTAAATTTTATTTATTTATTTTTTGGGGACAAGGTCTGGCTCTGTTGCCCAGGCTGGAGTGCAATGGCTCAATCTCAGCTCAAAGCTAGTGTCTTTCCTCAGCCTCCCAAATGGCTGGGACTACAGATGTGTGTCACCATGCCCAGATAATTTTTGTATTTCTAGCAGAGATGGGGTTTCACCCCATTGGCCAGACTGGTCTTGAGCTCCTGACCCCAAGTGATCTGCTTGCCCCAGCCTCCCAAAGTGCTGGGATTACATGAGCCATTATGCATTAATTTTTTAAAACAGATTATTTTGGGGTCTTCTATATATATTTCATGCCATTTGCAAGTAAAATGAGTTTATTATCTTCTTTCCCAATATGCCTTTAATTTCCTTCCTTCCTTCTTTCCTTCCTCCCTTCCTTCCTTCCTTCCTCTCCTCCTCCTCCCCCTCCTTCTCCTTCTCCTTCTCCTTCTCCTTCTCCTTCTCCTTCTCCTTCTCCTCCTCCTCCCCCTCCTCCTCCTTCTTCTTTTCTGTCTCTCTCTCTCTCTCTTTTCTTTCTTCTTGTTTTAGAGACAGAGTGTTGCTCTGTCACCCTGGCTGGGGTATAGTAGCATAATCAGAGCTCACTGTAACTTCAACCTCCTAGGCTAAAGCAATCCTTCTGCCTCAGCCTTGCAAGTAGCTAGGGCTACAGGTGTGCCCAATCATGCCAGGATAATTTTAAAATTTGTATTATTTTAAGACAGGGTCTACCATGTTCCCTGCCTGGTCTTGAACTCTTCACCTCAAGCAATCCTCCTGTCTCAATCTCCTGATCTTTAATTTTTCTCTTTTGCACTAGCAAGGACTTCCAAAAAAAAATGAACATGAGTGACGAGAGGGAAGGAACATCTCTGCCTGCTCCCCACCTCAGTGGGAAAGTGTTCTGTCTCTCACCATAAAATATGATATCAGTTAAAGTTTTCTCATATATACCTTTATTATGTTAACATAGTCCCCTTTTATTCCTGGTTTTCTTGGAGTTTCTTTTATCATTAATAGGTGGTGAATTTTGTTAAGTGCTTTTATATATCTATTAATATAATCATGTGGTTTTTATTTCTATAATTTTTGTATGCAGATATAATCCATATATGGCAAAATGTACTTACTTAAATGTACAATTCAGTGTTTTGGGGTTTTTTTAGTATATTTACAGAAGTGTGCTAGATATTGCTAATTCCAAAACATTTTCCTTATCCCCGAAGAAACCCCTTACCCATTAATAATTGCTCCATGCCCTCCTTCTCCCAGTTTCTAGTAATGACTAATATATATTCTGTTTCTATGGATTTCCTATCCAAAACATTCAGTATAAATGGAATTGTAGAAAATGGGGTCTTTGTGTCTTGTTTCTTTCACTTAGATTAATGTCTGCAAGTTTCATTTGTGAACTTGCCCACAAGGTACATATGTTATGATGGGGTGGTTTATACTAATCAGTTCAACAAGTCTATGTTCATCTCGGTTACCAGATACTTATTAATTTTTAAATCATGCTGCTGTAAAGACACATGCACACGTATGTTTATTACAGCACTATTCACAATAGCAAAGACTTGGAACCAACCCAAATGTCCAACAAGGATAGACTGGATTAAGAAAATGTGGCACATATACACCATGGGATACTGTGCAGCCATAACAAATGATGAGTTCATGTCTTTTGTAGGGACGTGGATGAAGCTGGAAACCATCATTCTCAGCAAACTATCGCAAGGACAAAAAACCAAACACTCCATGTTCTCACTCATAGGTGGGAATTGAACAATGAGAACACATGGACACAGGAAGGGGAACATCACACACCGGGGACTGTTGTGGGGTGGGGGGAGGGGAGAGGGATACCATTAGGAGATATACCTAATGCTAAATGACGAGTTAATGGGTGCAGCACACCAACATGGCACATGCATACATATGTAACAAACCTGCACGTTGTGCACATGTACCCTAAAACTTAAAGTATAATAAAAATAAATAAATAAATAAAAATGCTATGTGTCATTATTGGTTCCCTGAACCCATCAGATATTTTTGATAAATCACAGGATCATTCCGGAAAGCTAAATGAGATAATGTCAGAAGACTAGGGCAAGTGTGCAAAATTAGATGCACATTTTCAAAGCAGAATCATGATGATAAAAAACAACTGAGTTTGATGCTTGGTTTGAGTCTCAGACCAGGTATGTCCAAATACATTGGTGTTTATCCTGATTTTCTGATGCTTTATGAATATTTTCTTATTTAGGAAATTACAGTCAAGTTCAGAAGGATGAGATGAAAACTAAAAAGTATTTTGGGTAAAAAACAAACTAAAAAAATTGGCATCTAATCCAGGACACAGGTGTGATGACAAAGTTAGGGATCCCATTAGTGTCTCTCATGGAAATACACATGTGTGACATGCCGATTTAAGATAGTAGACTCTATCTTGAAAGAAGAACAAAGCTGTGTACGCTGAAAATGTAAATTATATCATCTTTGGTCTGTTGTATAATAAACTATTTATCTAGAATCCACTATTTGAAAATTTTCCACTACATTTATTTTTACACTGATATATATTCAAATAAGTAAACAAATATCCAGTTTTATAAAATTTTAATATTTTTAGCATCTTATTGACAATTCCAATAAAGCAAAGTTTAATTCTGCAAATTCTCAGGTTTAAAACTGAAAACCAACAAATAAACAAATGTAGATATTAGAAATCTTATCTAGCAGCTAGAGATTAGGGTTTCAGTCATTTTCATTCATAAAATATGTTAACATTCCAACTGGGTTTCTTTACACAGCCCAAATACTGTGTTCTAAATCACAAGATTGAAATAAAGTCCATGATTTTTTTATTAGATTCTTCTGTCCTTGTATGTTCTGGGCACAACTCAATTTGTTCTCAAGTAAAAGTTCATGTTTTGTTTACATACTCAGTCTGCTAGCATAAAAGTTGATGATCCCTCCAGAATGGATTGTGGTGTCAACTAATTTCAGTAAGTCTATGTGCAGAGGTCTTTCCCACTGGCCTCATTGACAGCTCAAAATGAATGAGAAGGCTCAAACTAATGTTTGAAATACCAAGATTATTTAAGCCTAAAATCTCTGACAGATTCTGCTTGTTTTTGGCACTAACACTCCCTTTAAACTCATCTAGGAAAGTAAAAAATAAACATTGCCAAATGCAAAAGCTTCTTTTTGGTCTTTACATTCTAGAAACTCTGTAACAGCACAGGCAACTACACTCTGCTTCTTAAAACATGGTTTGTTTTCCTTCTTGATTTTAATTTCAGAAGACATAAATAAGAAACAAACCTGGACAATCTTTCTCTGTTTCATTCAATCACACTTCCTACTCAAAACTAATTTCTTTAATAAATGGCTTATTGCTGTATTTCATTGTAAGAATGTAACACAATCTATTCATTGGTGATCATTCAAGTTTTGTCTTTCATGAATGATCCTACTATGTACATTGCAGGGGGCAACATATGGGTGTATTCCTGTTATGTGTATACTTATAAATATACTTACAAGAGAAACTGAAGAAGTTCTTTAAATATATTTGCTTTAATAAATATAAACAAAATTTTTTCAGTGTGCTTGTAAAACCACCTTTGCAAAAATTATAACAGTGAGAAAATTATGACAGTGGAAGATACCTGATCTAATCAACCCCCATCTTGCCTTTAACCTCCAAACTGCCCTTAATCATTCCTGGGCTTGCTCCAAGTTAACTTCTGGAGACATTTACTTTATATTTTAAATGATAATAGCCCTTCTCCAAAAGTAAACTGCCTTTGTAAAGCCAACGAAAAAGCACCAGGCTAGGAGGATGAGGAGCATGAATTCTGCTAAGGTGTAGATCAAACTTGTCCAACCCATGGCCCATGGTCCACATTTGGCCCAAGGTGTCTTTAAATATGGCCCAACACAAATTCACAAACCTTCTTAAAACATAATGAGACTTTTTTCCCAATTTGTTTTTTTAGCTATCATTAGTGTTAGCATATTTTATGTGTGGCCCAAAACAATTCTTCTTCTTCCAATGTGGCCCAGGGAAGCCAAAAGATTGAACACCCCGGGTGCAGATGCTAAGGTGTTAAGTGTAGGTGCTAAAGTGTAAGGTGTACAGTGTAGATGCTAAGTTGCAAATTGATTACCAGCTACTATTCCCAATGTCATAAGATATGTAACTTCCCCAGTTACCCCTGCAGATAACATTACTACTGTAGAATCTAAGATTGGCCTCTTGTGATGTCTTTTCAGATTTTTGCATTTCTGACAACCTATGGCTTCCACTTGGACCCATCAATGCCTGCCAACTGGTCCTGCGGCCTCACCCAGAAGCTGACTCCCTGGCCCACCAAACTATTCTTGAAAAACTCTACCATTCAAGTTTTTGGGGAAATTGATTTGAAGAATAACTGTGTCTCCCAAGTGGCATGGCTGGCCTCTTGTCAATTATAATAATGCCATCAGCTCAGTGAATAGGTTTTGTCTGTGCAGTGGGCAGGAAAAACCCATTGGGTGATTACAGTTGTGAAAATTCACATACTCAACATTGCATAAAAATTATATTTCTTCAGATATTTGTTAAAAGTTGTTATTTTAGCTACTCTGTTGCATAAAAAGTGGTTTTTCATTATTATTGCATTCACACTTATCTGATGACAAGATGTCTTCCTTCTCATATGTGTTTGGCTCTTTGGGTCTTTTCTGAGGCCTGGATACAGTACTTTGCTCCTCTTTCAATTGTGTTGCCTGCCTTTTTTGTGTAGATTTTAAAAATAGAGAAGAAAGTGCAATTTGAGTTGGAATGTTACTTTTTTCTACATTCCCTGGAAACAATTGGTTATGTCAACTTTATTTTCTACTTAAAATTTTGTGTCAGTTTATCAGTGATGCTAGCTGGGCCTAGAATTATTTTCTGAAGCTTATTAATTACAAATTTGATTTCATTAATAACCATGACTACTCATGTTTTCTGAATTTTCTTGCATCATTATTAGTAAATTTGGGATTTGTAGAGATTCATAATTTTATTTAAATTTTCATTGCTATAATATTGTTAATAATACCCGCGTATCTCTTAAGTAGCTATAAAGAGTATAGATAGTTCTATTTTCATCGTGTATATTAAATAATCGTGCCTAATTACTATTTTTGTTATTCAGGTTTGTTAAAGGTTTACTAATTTAATTTACCTTTTTGGAAAGAACCAACTTTTTGTTGTATGGTATATTACATGTTTGGTTTTTATTTTACTAATTTCTTCCCTTATCTTTAGCACTTTTAGCACCAGTTTATTACTTTATAAATAAATTTACTGTTAACTTCTGTGTTGCTGTTATAGATAACTGGATTTTTAATCTCATAATATTTTCATTTTATGTATATGCTTTTAATTCGACACATTTTTAATCTTAAACCTGACTTAAGCTGCATTGAATATATTTTATTGTACATTTATTATCACTCAGTTATAAATAGTTTCTGATTTTTATTGAGGTTTTAACTTTATCCCATGGGTTACTTAAGAGAAGATTAATTAATTTTCATTGTCTCTATCCTCCATTGTTTCTGCTAAGTCAACTGCCAGCATTATTGGTGATTTTTGAGAATAATGTTTTAGTTTTGTTTGGTTTGTTCCAGTAATCTTTTAAGGTTTTTTTCCTTTAGGTTTTAATATGTTTTCCATGAAAGATGTACGTAATTTCTTGTTTCTTTGTCTTGATCAATTTTGGAAAATGTCTATTTGTATTACTTCATGATTCTAGAAAATATCATAGGACACTATTATAAACTTGTGTTAAGAAACAATTTTGGATATGATAGATGTCTGGGTTACACGTCTTGGATCAATTTACCATATCTTGAATTTATGCTTTTTTTTCTGTTTTAATGCTTTTATTTTCTATCTTGTTTCAATCTCAATACTGCAATTTATCTTTTAGTTAACTACTCTTTTCTTTAGCACTTTGTAGCCTGTTGTCCAAACTTATCAATTGAGATATTTTTTGTTTTATTCCACCCTATACCTCCTTCCTTCTTTGCCATCTGCAGTACCAAAAAATCTAGAGAAGGCTTCTAATTACTTGAACTCCTTTAAAGAATTCAGAACAAAGGTGCCACTCACCTCTTTTGGGGTCTACTCTTTTCTTTGTGAAGTTGAAAGGGTCATGGGTAGATTCTTCTTAGGTAGGAAGCTCTGTTTCCTCTATTGTATGACCTGACCTCTTTGGCTTTGTGAGTACCAGAGACGACCTTGTACTGTGAGAGGATTTGACCTTGGCATGTGTAATGGCAGATGAGAGCTACAAAGTTAGGTGTGGCCGAGCACAGTTTGCTGGAAGTGGTTTTAGCTGTTTTTTTTTTTTTTTTCTTCTTCTCCTAGGAAGTTGTTGTTTAAGGATTCTAATTCTAGTTCTGACATGCATTCTGATAAAAGAAAATCTCAGCCGAATTAAATTTAAAGGAGTTTAATTGAGCAATGAACGATTCGCAAATCAGTCAGCCCCCAGAATCACAGAAGATTTACAGAGACTCCAGCACAGCCACGTGGTGGAAGAAGATATATAGACAAAATAAAGTGGGGGAAATGACATACAGAAATTGGAAGTGAGGTACAGAATAGCTGGATTGGTTACAGCTCAGCATATGCCTTATTTGAACACAGTTTGAACACTCAGAAGTGTATGAATGGTTGAAGTATGGCTGCTGGGATTGACCAAGACTTAGCTATTGTTACAGGTGCATACTACTAATTTAGGTTTTCAATTTTGTCTGCCTATTAAGCTAGGTTACAGTTCATCCACAAGGACTCAAATATAGAAGTACAGAGTCCTTCTCAGGCCATAATCAGTTTGCCTTAACAATTCTAAAGTGTCTTCTCTATTGCTTTTTCTCTTAAAATTATATTGATTTGGCTTGTCTGTGCACATTTGCATGAGGAATTGAACTGTTGCTTTCATAGATAAATGAGAGACTGAGTTTTCTCAGCTCTGAAGAGAAAAGGCATTTGGTCTTCCTGCTGAAAGGCACCCATGGATAACCAAGGGCCTCATGGGAGTGTCTGGGTGGTTGACTCCCTGTGACATGCAGTGTCCCTATAGGGAAATCCCCAACAAATTTAATTTTTTAAAAGGCTCCTCTAGGAGACTCATATAAGGGCTGATCACCTGGAGTTTTGAGCCCTCTCAGAGGTAACAGACCTTTGGAGTGAGAAATTGAGACATGTAGGCGGGTAGAAATGACTCAGTGGTGACACACTGTGGATTCCTGCCCACAAGCAGCACACATTAATCCACCCCACAAAAACCTTAGGCCATAGCACAGTTCCTCCTTTTATGAAAAAAGTGGGAAATAAATATTCAAAGAATGAGGAGAAATCAAGCAGAATGATCCCCTTTTGAACACCACGTAGGTTTCATGGCACCTCTACTTGCCAGAGTTTATGTAAAATGAACATAATAAGGTCTTTGTGCACATTTACATTAAGGAAAAAGAGCCCTTAAAAAAGTTGACCTGAAAACTGTAGAGATCCTAAGTTATTTTGTTTTTCTCTATTCTCTTTTCTGTCTGCTTTAAAACTGCTGTAATTTTCTATTAAGATAAAAACCACTGTTTGGATTCAACAGGTTTTTTGTTTTGTTTTGTTTTTGTTTTTGTTTTTTGCAAGCTGGTGAATTTGTATTTATCTCATGGCTAAAGTTCTGAAGTAAAAGGTATAGAATCTTTCTGTGTTTGTGTATGTGCATGTGTATATATCTAGAAGGCCTTTATAATTTCTATAATTTTTATCTTTAATTAGCAATTAACTCCATTTTAATTTCCCTGTAGCACACCCGACTTTTTCCCTCCATATCATATGATGTAAATTTTGCTGTTTGATTTTCACCTGAGTTGTTTCCTTCAATATACATATTTAAGGCTATGAAAGTCTAAGATAGGAGGAAAAAGGTCATTATAAATCTATAAGATGTACTTCTATTGGCATACCTAATGTGTCTATGTATTTATGTGTTGTGCACACAATGTTTTACTATTGAAAATATATAAAAGAGCTCTAATTAACTGGCTTAATAAAAGCACTTGAGGCCAGGTGCAGTGGCTCATGCCTGTTATGCCAGCACTTTGGGAGGCTGAAGTGGGCAGATCATGAGGTCAGGAGTTCAAGACCAATCTGGCCAACATGGTGAAACCCCATCTCTACTAAAAATACAAAAATTAGCTGGGCATGGTGGCGCACGTCTGTAATGCCAGCTACTTGGAAGGCTGAGGCAGGAGAATAGCTTGAACACTGGAGACGGAGGTTGCAGTGAGCTGAGATCATGGCACTGCACTCCAGCCTGGGCAACAGAGAGACTCCATCTCAGAAAAAAAAAAAGCACTTGAATCAAATAATTTATCAGGAAAAAAGGAAAGAGTAGTCAAATGCTTTTTCAAGTTTATGTAACGTAAGTAAAATCTTTAATAAATAAGTTAGCTTTAAAATGATTGGTAAATTAATACTAGAAATGTCTTAAGAATTGCCAGTGTACTTTTTGTTTGCACTTACTAATCAAGCAATTTCATACTTACCTCTGTCAAATTCTATAAAGTGTCAAAATTTGGCATAGCAGCTACAAATCTATAAACCCAGCCCCAAAAAGAATGATCTTTGCTTATGTAATTTTTAATAAATAAGAAATTGATACTGGTTTAATGAAAATAGCTACATCTTGAATTTAGTAAGATGACCGTAACTTCTAATCTTGTGTCTTTAGGCAGTCTAGTCCACAGGCAGTAAGGTTTGTTTTGGGAAAATACTTTTATCATCTTTGTTTCAAAGCTAAACTATAAACTAAATTCTTCCCCAAATTAGTTCAGCCTATGCCCAGGAACGAACAAGAACAGCCTTGAGGTTAGAAGCAAGATGGAGTCAGTTAGGTTAGATCTTTTTCACTGTCTCAGTTATAATTTTACAATGGTGGTTCCATACATTAAATGGTGACTATTGCAGTTTTCATAAATAATCCAGGTAAATGATTAAAATAAAATAATTAGGTAAATACAATAGGATAAATACTGTCGAAAAACTCATCGTAATTTAGAATCTAAATTTATATAAAATTAAATAATAGTTATTTCATTATTTGTGTATTTTCCAATAAAAATAAATTGTAGAAAAACATTATTTCTAAAAATGTGTTTTTTTAAAGAAGAACAATTTTTGTCTAATTCAAAGCTTATTTAAAGTTTATATGTAAAACAGAATAAAAGGAACCAGGAAATAAGAGAGAAGTAAAGAAAGTTATAAAAATAATGAGGTTTTTTTGTGAGGGTAAGAAAGCTTGAAGATAAATAATTTTATAGGAGAAAGAAGCTTGTATGGCAAATTTTGTCCTAGAATAAAATGACTGGTTGTTCAAGAAAGAGGGATGCTCACGACAAACCAGAAAGTCCATGCCTGTCATTAACGGTCTGTGTATGTCAAAGTAAGAGGGTACATTTAAAAAAACACACAAAAACTTTTTATATGATGAAGTTGTCTATAATTAAAGGGAAATTATAATGGTATTTCTAGATGTTGGATTTGATGTAAAAATCACTTATACACTAAATAATTGGTTACAACAATGAAATTTTCTTAAGGGATTGACTTACTCTTAATAAATTGTAAGAAATTTTAATTTTTTTAAACCCAATGTTCAACTTTTATTGCATCTTGCCATTTTCGATTTTCTCTCCCCTTTTAAGGGTGAAAAATAGTAACACTCCCCATCAACTCTTTTCAGCTCATATAAGTTTTATTCCTCGAGTTTTGTTTGTTGTGGCCTGATGCTAACAACATTTTCTTAAAGGTCTAAAGGAAATGTTTTCTTTCAACATATTATTCTGTGCATTGCAGGAGGTCTTTTCTTTTGCCCTTTGGTAACTGGTCTAAGAGAGTTTATGGTGTATCAAAACAATTCCTATGCAATTATTATTACATTTTGGTTTTCTTAGAAAAAAACCTGAGATTTTTTTCTTTAATTAAGGTTATTACATCCATGTATCTTTCTGTATTTGCTTTTAAAGTTCTTGTGACATTGAGTTTCAGGGCTGTGATTCCTGGGTCTAAAAAGGATACCAAGTCCTCCTAAATCTTAAACACTGACAGCAATTAAAGCCTCATTTTCAGGCCTGGTAGCAAATTCCAATCAAAATAAACTGCATTCCTGAGACACAGGGCCAGAAATTAAAGCTATTCAACTGCTCAAGGCCCTGGGACTACCATAGAAGAGGTGGGTGTGTGAAATTAAATGGGCTGATTTTGAGAGATAAAATAAGTCCAATTTCTCTATAAATTAATCATTAATGTCAAAGGCACACTGTTGCAAAATGAGCATATGGGCCCCTGTGTCAGATTAACAAGGTTTCCTTGAAGCATTAACCAACTCCTTAAAAAAGGTTATGAAGGTTATAAAAGGCTTAGGGAAGTTATATCTTATGATCAAGAGTAAAATTTTAGTGATTGTTTATGAGATTTTGAAAAACAAATTTAATTGGCTTCATGCTGTTTTTATAAGGGCTTATAGTTTGGAAAATCAAGTCTCCTTTCTCAAAGAGTGAAGGTTTAAAACTTTTTTTTGAAATCCTTGAGTCAGCATGTTAGCCAAATAAATGACTTATTTTACAATGATCTGTGATATCAAGTGTTTTAAGCCTTTGATATTCGACAAACCTCAAAATCAAATTATAAGTTGTGTCTTTTTCTGACCCAACTAATCCTTTAAGGTGTCGTGTTCCCTAAAGTCCAAAAATGACAGAATTTGGCTTATTTTGTGTAAAAATTATACAGGAAGCATTGTCAAATATGAAATTGTGTTTGGTTTTTTGGGGGGCTATCTTTGTATAAATATGTTATTGGTATGTGTTCCAAAATTATGGGAAATGCCTATATTTCTGATATGACTTATTATACATTATCAGTAATAATTATAATTGTTATTTTAAATTATTATGTGCCACAGAGGTAACACATTTCCTTGTCAATTTTGTCTTTGACTATAGCTACCCTAAAACTTTTTGTCATCCACAGATGATTGTTGTCTTGTTTTGGTCCTCTTTAGAAGGCAGTTTTATAATCAGCTACAAAATTCTAACAATTGCTCTTGAATCCAGGTTTCTGTTAACTTTAGAGATGGTGACATCAGAATAGAGGAAAAACTTTCAGGACTCACAGAGAGCTAAAATGTTCATGAATATCAAGCAAAACAGGAATTAACTGCATGGACTGAACTAATTTGACTTTTTGCTTAAAACCTTGCTGGTTCTTTGTTTTGTTTTTTTAGAGTCAAGAAAACTTCTTTTGAGCTATTGACAGCTTTTAACAATTTAGTATACTTCTATAAACAGAATTTGAAGTATACTTGTTTCTCTCTACCTGATTTCTTCAGAATTTGGAAACTATTGGTGAGTATTCTTATGGCAAAATAGTTATTTGCATAAGTGCAATAAGAATCTGTTTTCATTTATAACAGGACACAATTGGAGAAACTGGTTATTTTTACCAAGGCTTTGACTGGAATGCTCTGCTTCCCTTTAAGGAATCAAACTTGATTTATGGGGCCAATAAAAGCCCCTTGGGAAAACTAGTCTCATACTTTACCTATGCAGTCCCTGAACAGGGTTCCTGACCTGTGATAAGTAAAGAATGTCACTTTCTGAAAGGCCCAGAATCCCCAAGTTTATCTTGGGACTGCAAGAGGAGAGGAATTCACCTAACTCATAGGTATTTAATGATACAAATCCATGGTTGCACTTGGCTTTAAAAAAGTGTTATCTGAGATTCCTTCTGTGTAACAAAGTTCCATCAAAGCCAATTTAAAAGCCTATGTAAAAAATAATTGTTCTTGCTGTACTGTATACAAATAATTTGACCAAGTATAATAAAGAAAATCAATCTTACCATGATTTGTCTTTAGTAAAAATGAAAAATAGAGAGATTAAAATTATGTTTCAAAAACTATAGTACACCTGTTAGATTCTAGTCTTGCCTAATATTTTTCAATTTTTCTTATTTTCTACAGTTTGGAAGAAATTCTAATTTTTCTTGGCTGCAAATCTTCAAAATAACGTTTTCAATTTTTTGCCTTCTTTTTCCCCTAGTTTTCCTAATTTGGAAGTCACTGAAAAGTAAGTTGTGCTTTCTTAAAGCCTTGCTTACTGAAGCTAGAGAACTTAAACTTCAAAAGATAATAACAGCAACCTATTTACATACACAAACCACTTTCATATCTCCCTACTGATATATGGACTTCAGAGTAATGTGGCTTGTATAGATTTTCCAGGATTGTTCTTTTGTTTGTGGTTGTTTTTCTCCCTACCTTGCCCTATTTTTTCTTCATAGGATATAAGACTTCACAACCTGCTAAAAATGAGCTTTCCTAATAACTTGAGACCTACCCATCTAGGAATAAACCATCCTAGCCATGAGAGATCAGACAAAACCTGAAGCCAGAGACTCATTTTTATCTAAAATGCTTTCTCCAAAAGATTTTTAAAAAGAAAAGGGGTAAATTATGAAAGAAAAATTAATCTTGGGGCCCCCAAATAGCTAAGCTAATGGGAAAAGTCAAGCTGGGAACTGCTTAAAGCAAACCTGCCTCCCATTCTATTCAAAGTCACACCTCTGCTCTCTGAGATTAAGGCATATCTGATTGCCTCCTTTGGAGAGGCTAATCAGAAACTCAAAAGCATGCAAATATTTGTCTCTTATCTACCTATGACTTGGAAGCCCCCTCCCCTCTTTGAGTGTCCTGCCTTTGCTTTGAGTTGTCCCACCTTTCCAGACTGAACCAATGTTCATGCTACATGTGTTGATTGATGTCTCATGTCTCCCTAAAATGTATAAAACCAAACTGCTCTGGCCACCTTGGGCACATGTAGTCAGAACCCCCTGAGGCTGTGTCACGGGTGCGCATCTTCAAACTTGGCAAAATAAACTTACTAAATTAACTGAGAACTGTCTCAGGTATTCATGGTTCAGTTTCCAGCAGGCGGGTAAAGTGGGGACAGATAATCACACTGTTGTCTGAAGTTGAGAATAGAAAGCTATCTTTAAGAAAGCTGGTGTAGACAATCAAAGCCTGAGGACCTGTTCTCCAATTTTTGTCCCCCATAAGACTCTCAAAAGTTCTGCTTAACTTCAGCATCTCTACCTTAGATTTCTCCTTAACTTGTAATTCCATATCAGGTTTAGAAACAGTAAGTAGCAAATCCAGAAAAGAAGTGTAACTGTTTTCAAAAGAGATGTTTGTGTACAGAGAAAAGCCTGTAGATTCAACAAATAAAAAGTATTAGAACTAATTTAACAAGGTTATGGAAGATCAGATAATCTTTTAAAAGTATCAATCACAGTTCTATAATGAGTTTTCAGGGCAAACTGCCACTTTAAAATCTGGAGAGACATGTTAATCCAGAGATCGCAGCTGAGATCTGGGTACCTGAAGCAAAAAGCCCCGGGAGCCATTAACTAGTAGGAACACTTCAAATGGTAATTGGGGCAAATTGTGAGGCTGAGTGTCACACTCAGCATGACTGTGACATTCATGTGGGCAGTTGTCTCAGGTAGACCCCACATTTTTGCAGGAAGACCTTACTTCCAGGAAACCTACCAGGTTGTCAAGGATCCAAGTAAGAACACTTTATGTGACTCTGGCAGGAGGAGAGGAAAAATAATTCAAGTGAAATAAAACCAGAGCCTTTTCCATAACTAACATAAACACTTCAGGTGGAAAGACTCTACCAAAGTCAAGTCTCAGAGCAATGAGGGGTAATTCCTTTCATTTCAGCCCCCATGTCACCTAAGTACAGTCACACACCATATAACAATGGTTTGGTCAAGGACAAAGTACATTTATGGTGGTCCAATAAGACTATAACGAAGCTAAAAAATTATTATTGTCTGGTGATGTCCTAGCCATTGTAAAATCACAGCACAAGGCATTACTCATGTGATTGTGGGAATACTAGTGTAAACAAACATCATGTTGCCAGTTGTATATAAGTATAGCAGATATAATTATGTACAGGATATAATACTTGATAATGATAATAAATAATACATTACTGGTTTATTTATTTACTATACTATACTTCTTCTTTTTGAGAAGAAGTCTTGCTCTGTCGCCCAGGCTGGTGTGCAGTGGCGTGATCTTGGCTCACTGCAAGCTCCGCCTCCCAGGTTCACACCATTCTCCTGCCTCAGCTTCCCGATTAGCTGGGACTTACAGGCACCTGCCACCACGCCCGGCTAATTTTTTGTATTTTTAGTAGAGACGGGATTTCACCGTGTTAGCCAGGATGGTCTTGATCTCCTGACCTCGTGATCCACCTGCCTCAGCCTCCCAAAGTGCTGGGATTACAGGCATGAGCCACTGTGCTTGGCCTATACTTTTGTTTTTTGTGTTTTTTGTATTTTTTTTGAGACAAGGTCTCCCTCTGCTTCCCAGGCTGGAGTACAGTGGTGTTATCATTTTTATTTAAAAAAAAAAAGTTGACTGTAGGACAGCCTCAGACAGGTCCTTCAGAAGGAATTCCAGAAGAAATATTGTTATCCCAGGAGATGCGAGCTCCACACATGTAGATGTCCCTGAAGACCTATCAGTGGGACAAGACGTGGAGGTGAATGACAGTGATGTTGATGATCTTAATCCTGTGTAGGTCTAGGCTAATGCATGTGTTTGTGTCTTCCCTTTCAAAAAAATGTTTAAAGTTTAAAAATAAAATGAAATAAAATATTCTTAAAACAGAAAAACCTTAAAGAATAAAGAAAATATTTTTGTACAGTTATAAAATGTGTTTTTATGTTTTAAGCTATTTTAATTTAAGCTAAGTGTTATTACAAAAGTCAGTAAGTTTAAAAAATTTAAAACTTTACAAAGTAAAAAACTTACAGTCAATTAAGGTTAATTTATTATTGTAGAAATAATTTCTTTTTCACATTTAATGTAGCCTAGAGTACAGTATTCATAAGGTCTATAGAAGTGTACATTGATGTCCTAGGCCTTCACGTTCACTCATCTCTCACTCACTGACTCACCCAGAGCAACTTTCAGTCTTGTAAGCTCCATTTATGGTAAGTGCCTTATACGGGTCTACCATTTTATTTTTATCTTTTATATCATATTTTTACTGTACTTTTTCTAGTTTAGATATGTTCAATACACAAATACTTACCACTGTGTTCCAATTGCTGCAGTCTTCAGTACAGCAATGTGCTGTACAGGTTTGTAGCCTAGGAGAAATAGGCTATACCATCTAGCCACCTATGTTTGTATAAGTTCACTCTGTGATGTTCACACAATCATAAAGTCACCTAACAAGTTTCTCAGTGGGTACCCTATCATTAAGCATGCATGACTGTAGTGGGAAAAGCTATACAAGAAGAAATACTCAAGAAGTTCAGAAGCCAAAGACATGGCTCCACAAGAAGACAAAGATTTAATTGGAAGATTATAGAATACTTCATTTCCCATTACTTGCCTTCATCCCAACAGGACTCAGGTATAATAACAGTGGATTATAGTTTAAAGAGTTACAAGGTACATCATACAAAGAAAAACCCAAGTCAAGAGGAGAAGCAAGAACAAGCACACTAGAAGAATTTTAAGCTTCTGGAACATGTGGCAAAAAGCACTAGAAAAAGCCCAACTCCTAGCCAGATTAACGTAAAACCTCACATTCTGTTAGTGGATTCACCATATCTGGTTGTCAGAAAAATACTCCAAAGCATGCTAAAAGCCAAGACAAAACACAGTAAAAAGTGATAAAGCAAGCATCAGAACCAGACTCAGAGATGATACAGATGCTGGAATTATCAGATAGAAAATGTAACATTATTAGGATTAATAAATGAAGAGTTCTAATGGACAAAACAGGCAACATACAAGAACAGATAAGTGATATAGGCAGAGATAGAAATTCTTGGAATGAATCAAAACAAATGCTAGGAGGCATTTAAAAACCCTCAGTGAACGTGGAGATAGGTAAATAGAAACTTCCAAAACTGAAAGACAAGAAGAATTTGAAAATTTGAAAAAAATAAAACATCCAAGGATTGTGGATAGATATGTATGTATGTAGATATGTGTATATATATGTATTTATATATGTATATATGGAATTTCAATTATGTAAATTATCAACTGTATATCAATACGATATATATCATACAATTGTATATCATATAATATGTAGGATATGTGTATCATATATAATTGAAATTCCAGAAAGAGAAAAAAATAGAGAACAAAACTGAGAAAATATTTGAGGTAATAATGCCCAAGAATTTTCCAAAAATGACATACATTAAACCACACATCCAGAAAGCTCAGAGAATACTAATCAGAAAAAATACCAATAAAACACATAGTTTTATGATTAAAAAAAAATTTAGAAATTTAAAGACAGAGACAAAATCTCTAAAGAAGCCGGAAGAAAAAAATACAGCGTGACTGCTTTCAAGATTTTGTTTTCCAACAATTTGACTATGATAAGCTTGGATGAGTTTCTTTTTATATTAATTCTACTTGGGGATAAGTGAACTTGTTACATCTGTAAGTTCTCAAATTTTCATCAAACTTGAAAAATATTTAGCTGTCATTTAGAAATATTTAGTTATTTTTTCTTCAAATGTTTTTGTATCCCAACCTAATTCCCATTTTCGTCCTTTACATTCATATTAAGCTATTGAGGATTGTTCCACTGATACCTGAATCTCTGCTGATTTTACTGAAATCTACTACCTCTAAGCTTTTCATATTGAGTAATTAATTTTGATCAGTGTTCATTTAAATGATTCTTTAATTCTTCTGTTAAGCTCATGCATTGAATCTTTCATTTTATTATATTTAAAGTTCTAGAATTTTCATTTGATTCTATTCCTTAGCTTTTCTTTCTTAGCTGAGATTTCCAATCTGTTTATTCACATTGCCTTAAATGATTTTAGAGTGTTTACCTTTAATTCTTCAAATATCTTTTTTTTTTTAAGTACATGAAAGCTTTTGTCTGCTGAGATCAACATTTGGGCCATCTTGTGTTCAGTTTCTATTGATTGCTTAAATATTTTCCTTGACTACACATCGTTCACTCCCATTTCTTTGCGCATCTAATGATTTTATGGTCTAGTGGATATTGTTTTAATATACTATAAAGACTCTCAATTTGTCATGTTCCTTGGGAAAAGTTTTATTCTTGGTTTGATAGGCAATTAAAGAACTGGTTTACTACCTCAAACTTTTGTAAGACTTGATTTTATGCTTCTAAGTATAACCTGTGGACATTCAAATGTGTCACAGCTTCTGTGGTAGTACTTGGTAGTACTAAAACTCCAAATTTTGCTTCTCTTGCTACAGCTTGGCTTGTAGATCTTTCTGTGTGGCGTAGTTCTGGCTTTTGAGGTCCAGATTTTTGCCTTGTGTTAACTGCATATAAAGATGTTAATAAGGTTTTAAAATTACCTATCCTTTCTCTCTGAGTCAGAACTGCAATGTCCCCTAACACCATTTTTCCTCCAACAATGCTTAATTTCTGGTTTCTCACTACTGTTCTCATATTCATAGTGGCTGCTAGTAGGAATGTTTTGGTCTTCCTCTGTTTAACTTAAACACTCCCCGCAGCTATGAATTTACCATAGCCCTCACATAAACTTCTGGAGATTCCTCTTTGCTCAGCTCCATAGTCTCAGAGGTACTACTCTGCATCACCTATTTCTGCTTCCTCATAATCTAATCTCTACGTCTTCAGCTCTTCAACACTATCATAAGCTGCAGGAAATCCAGTTCCTCAAGGCAATGAGAAAGTATCCCCAAACAGAGATTTGAGTAATTATGGAACAAACCACTTCCCTTCTTCCTTCTTTTCTTTCCTTCCTTTCTTTTTTTCTTTCTCTCCTTCTTTGCTTCTTCCTCTGTCCTGTTTTCATGGAAGTTTTAAGGTAAACTCTTTAAAAAAACTATAGTGCCTAAAACATATTAGCATTACATTAACATGGGGTGACTGAATGACTTGCTAAATTACATGGTATCATCGCTAAATATTTGGAAGAATCCACAGAAGTCGTTATGTCAGTGTGAGTTAAATTTCTTGAGGAAAAAAAATACAGATGAAGAAAGTGAAATAATCTTTTAGGTAAATGATATCCTCAGTTTAAAAAGGAAAAGAAAGTTAATTATTTGAATTATGATTTATTGGCAGAGGAGATAGTTTTGTCAAGGTCATTTGGAGGCTGGAAAGTAACTACTTGGTCCCATAGAAGTTGTTATTGAGAAATGAAAGAAAAGGAAGATCCAATTAACATTGAGCCAAGTATAATGTGGCAAAAAGCTTGGATACCTCAGATTAGATACACTTTTAACTGATGCTAACAATTTGGACTTTACTAGCTCATAAAGGATTTTTATAAGATATTAAGCAGGGAAGTTAAGTAATAGAGCCTACAACTTTTGAGATTATTCTTTCAATACTAAGTATGAAAAACTATACTGTTTCAAATTATAAATAATAAATCATAAAATTAGTAGAAGAAAAATTGTCACATTTTTGTCATCCATAAAGAGTTAAAATAGTGGTGTTTATTCCTTACAGAATTTTTTAAATTTCTCATAAAATAATTGTCATATATTTGAGAAATTCTATCTAGCATTCTAACATATATTCTAGAAGATCGTATTAATAGCTCTACAGTAAATCTTCTCATTACATTAATATTAAAATCACTTTATAACAATTACATAGAGTACATATAAGTAAAATAGATGCACACTCGGGATCACTACAATGCTTAAAGACTTAATTTAGTCCATTTTGAAATTTCTATAAACAGAAGAGCTATGCTTAGCCATGGTGATAAAAATTTACTCTTTGATTTTATAATTTGGAGCATTTGTGAAATTGTTTTAAAATTATGAACAACATCTTTTTTGTAGAAAATACATATTGGAAGAATAAAACCCGAAAGGTTATAAGAACAACAGTATTGCAACATTAGCTATAATAAACACTGCTATGAACAATGTAATATTCCAGAAAGGAAATTAATGGGTTATGAATACCCTTTGCTGGGGAGTAGAAGGGAGGTGCCATGAGAAAGAATGTGGCACACAGATGGCAGTCCTGCTTTGTCAAACACACTGGCGAGAAGAGACAAGAGTAGCATATATTTCATATTTAAGTCTCACAATTATTTAAGTATGTATGTCTACAGTGCTTAAACATCTTTTCTACATAACTAAGTAAGCTATTTTTGAAATAGTTGCCCTTGCTAAAAACTCTCAGTGTCCTTTTTGGCATTTCCCATAGTGCAGTAGCTAAAGGTAATGAAAATAAGAACTTTCTTTCAGTAGTCCAACTTTTCTTGTATTAACTAATCACTTAAAATGTATCAGAATACTTTTTCAAATGTTGCTGAAACAGAGAATATTCTTTCTGCTTAAGAAGAATACATTTTGTTTTGTAATGAGAAAAGGCATACACAATAAAGGTCCAATTCTTTCTCTGACAACCCCCCAAAAAATTATAAAAAGTAAGTAACTAAACAATTAATCTGCTAGATTAGAAAAGAGACATTTTTATATTTTTAGACAAATAGTGATAGATATTCTCCAAGTGAGGAAGTAGTATAGACTCAGACAATGTCCTTTTTGTTCTGTTTGAAAAACATAAACACAAATCAAACCAAAAGCAACAAATTTCAATACATGCAAAATGTGGTTTTGGGGGGTTAGTGGTAGGCATTTTATAATACACATTTTTTTCAAATAAGAATCTTCATGAGCAACTCAACAATTTCACAGACAAGCCTTATCTGAGACCATGTTACAGCAATATCTAAAACCAAAATTACAAACAAGCAAAACAAGACACACAAAACAAACAAACAAGAAACAACACCATGGAATAGCTCCTCATGACAAGAAGTAGATCTCTGTTTGTATTTTAAGGCAATTTTTTTTTAGTCCCATTCTCATAGGTATGCAGGGTTTAATCCCCACCTCCCAGTCCCCTGCTACTCTCTAACTTTTTAGCATTGTTGGAAGTAGATTTATTTACCAGCTCTCTTGATGGATTGTTGATTGCTGTAGTAGTGTGTCTAACATTGACACTTCACATTTCAGCATGGAAAGCCCCAGAAGGCAAGTACAGAATATTGACCATGCTCTGATTATAGAGCTGAGTCCAGTGTCTTACTTTGCAGGAGGTTTTGTATAACCCAACGACAAAGTAAAAAACAAATTTCCTGGAAATACTGCATTTGAAATATTAATATGTTAAAAAAACAGTAACTCTCCCTGTGGACAAACGAGGCGATCTTTAAAAAGGCATACAAACTAACTGAGAAGAAATGACTTACAAATAAAATCTTGTTGCAGGATTGAAGTAATACATGATTCGATTCTGAACAAGAATAATAATTTGCACTCTAGCCACTAATGGCTAGTTTACTGCTTTGTTTATGACAAGGGTTGGCCAGCTATAGCTCACAGGCTATCAATTCAGCTATCACTGTTTCTATAAACAAAATTTCGGTGGAACATCTCCAGTCCACTCATTTGTATGTTGTCTATGGCTTTTTATGTACTGTAAGATCAGAGTTGAGTCATTGCAACAGAGACTGTATGTCCCACATAGCTTAAAATATTTAGTATCCGGGCTTGCACAGAAAAAAAATTACCAATCCCTGACATGGCATTACCAACCTAACAGGGATCAAACATGAGAGGCATAAAAGCCAAATAGAATCCACAGAAGTATTTTGTTTGGCTGCACAATTTTTGTTATAACTTTATTTTTACTTGTTTTTTTTTACTGTTAGTTTTATTTGTGTGTCTTTACAAAGGATTTATCTTTCAGTTCTCTAAGGTACCTAGCTCTTTCTCTTGTCTCAGATACATTTACCTCTTTCATTTACCCTACCTACTTTAGGTCATTTACTTTAACCATCTGTCTCATGAAGGAATTTCAGTTTGAAAACTTTGAGGTAGACAAAGAATAACAAATGCAGCAGCATATAATGTTGTTAAATATATAGTATGTTTATGTATACCATTTCATTTGCAGCTTAAGAAATGAAATCTAGATGAAATAAGATATTGATTTACTTTCTAATTACAGCTAGGCACTGATCAATTAAGACTAAAAGCAATTTGGTTTAGTCAATTCAACAAATACTAGGAATCTTCTCTACTATATTTCGGTGTTCATTGGATATTATTTTCATATCGACTGTCTTTTACCTCCCATGTCTTGTTTACAATACTAGTCAGGGCCACAATACCAGCAGTTAAATCCATTGTGAGTCAACCGCATCTCTATTGCCAATATGTGACTGCACTGTTAATATCCTCACCTGCTGGCTAGTAAGGAATGTGTCACTTTACATGGTTAGTCTGACCAAAGAAAATATGACCAATATAAAGATACTTTTAGAGTTCCAAAGAAATAATGTCCCCAAAGTTATGGACCATACCTCTGCAAGGTCATTATTTTCAGAAGACCATCACTGGTCTCACCAAATATAACACTGTGTTCCTTGTAATTTATGACACTCCAATTATGATAACATTCACTCTTGCATTTCAAAGCAATGTCGCTCTTTCTCTCTCTCACTATCTTGTTTTTCTTTCTTTTTCCCTATTTTTGTATATTTATCACAAAATGTATAATATAATGTGATATGCAATATAATATACTGTAGTATAACATATGACATATAACATTTATATACTTTAAGTAACATGTCAAGTTGCTAAGACTGTTACCTCTCTGAGATAAATGTAAACTCTTGAGAATTAAGAAAAAAATAAAATTTATCAGCAGATAAATATGATACCAAATAAAATAGAAATTCTAGAACTGAAAACCTAATCGTTGAAGAAGAAACCACTGAATGTGTTTGATAGCAGAATGCAGATGACAGAAGAATGAGTCAATGAATGTGGATATAGATCAACACAAAGTACTCAATGTGAACAGAGACAAAAGTCTGAAAAAGCCTCAGAATTAGATGGAAAGTGCTTAAAAGTCTTACATATCTGTCACTGGAGTCTAAAAGAGAAGAGGAATAGATAGGTGCAGAAAAATATCAAAATAAATAATGGCTGAACACTTCTCAAATGCAGTAAAAGATACAAACTTATAAATGCAAGAGGCTCATTAATAAAAGAAATTGAATATAATAGAAAAATAATAATAGAAAATATAATAGAAAATAATAGAATAAAATCAAAGGAAACCACGGTCAGACACATCATAATCTAAATACTAAAAACCAAGGAAAGAAAGAAAAAAGAAACCTTGAAGCGTACAGAGAAAAGCAACACATTACATATGAAGGAGTTCTTCTTTTTTTCTTTCTTTTTTTTTTTTTTTTTTTGAGATGGAGTCTCGCTCTGTCACCAGGCTGGAGTGCAATAGTGCGATCTCGGCTCACTGCAACCACTGTCTCCAGGTTTCAAGAGATTCTCCTGCTTCCCCAGTAGCCGGGACTACAGGCGCCCGCCACCACACCCAGCTAATTTTTGTATTTTTACTAGGGACAGGACTTCACCATGTTGGCCAGGATGGTCTCGATCTCTTGACCTCGTGATCAATCCACCTCGGCCTAAGCATTTGCCATTAATTTTCAGACATTGTGTCTCATTCTGGGAATCCATACAGGAATAAAATAATTTCTTGGTTCCAAATTTGGGATACTCACCATTTTAGGGATTTGTCACTTCAAAGCCTACAAGCAGCAGATTAAATTAGGTGCATAAGAAGTTTATCAGGGGAAGGTCTGTGAAGGATAAAGTTGAAGGGAGCAGGTGACGGCAGGTTGGGGAGACTTCAGACCAGATGCATGTCTGACATTGGCAAAAGGAAACAGACATAAGGAGTATTGCACTGGAGAGCTTCAGATGCATCACAGCTCTGAAAGTTTTGGCCAGGCTGAGGACCAAATCTCTGTGCAAACGTTGCCCCACAGACTATCCCAGGTCAGGCGGAGATGACACACAGCCTTATGATGCTACATCTTCAGATCCCTCACGGGATTCACACGTCCCCTCGGACACTTCCATCATGGTCTATCATCATGGGAGTGGCCCAGGGGATGTGTGAACCCCGTGAAGGATCTTAAGGTGTAGCATCATAAGGCTGTCTGTCAACTGTGTTCTCCAAAGCAGGTCCTCTTGATTGGAATCTTTAAGGGACATCTGAATGGCGCAACTCCATGGTCACCACATGGATTTCTTAAAACCCAAGCATTCTTTTGGAAGAATATTGACATCTTGTCATATTCTATATATCAAACATCAAAGTGTGTTTCCATTGAGATCCAACTTTTTAAACTTCTCCATTATAAAATTCTTAAGCAGGAAAAAAAGCCAAAAAGTATAAAATAGCTATTATGAGAACAAAAAGAACATTTGTAGACACTTCACCTATCACTTATCACTGCTCTAAGAAACACCGTAAACAAATAGACACACAGATAAACAATTGTCTTTCATCTTTCAAGACTATCTCTCAATTCTGTTTATGTGCCTCTGCTACTCCAAGGCTCACCTGGGATTTTGATTTTTGTCTCTTACTCTTTTTTTTGTCTCTTATTCTAACTATGGTTAACTTTTTCACAACTGGCTGAAAAGAAAGCTCATGTTGCATTTAGGATATAATAATTATACACATGAAAAGTCCTAGCAAAGGGCTGCCCCACCGGAGATTAAATGTGTGCTAGAAAAAAAGCATGCTTTTTTTCCAAGATGCTTCTCTTGGAAAAGCATCTTGGACTCACTGACACACCCGAAAGAGTTGATATAGGTGAAGTAGCCTGTCACTGATTCCTGCCTTGTACTTCTTACAAATATATGGCACCTACTACATGAGATTTCTCTCTGACTGTGCCTCAGGCATCTCAGATATAACATTTCCAAAGGTAAATTTTTATTCCCCTTACCCCATTACCAAATATGTTCCTTCCACAGTCATCCTCATCTTATTAAATGACTTCTTCATCTATACAATTGCCCAAGCCAGGATGCTGTGATTTATTTGTGATTCCAACATTCACTTCCTTCTCAACATCTAATCAAATTTAACATCAAAATATCCTGACTCCTCTCCCAAATTGCCAAAATGCCTGCCAGTCCTCCAAATTAAAACTAAACAGGCTGGTGTTCACCAAAGATGACAGAAGATAGAGGATAGGATGCTGGCTGCACTGCTGAGCTTGGCCCAGACCCAGGACCAGCTTCACTTGTAGGGACATTTAGTCCCCTTGATGCAGCCCAGATGTTTTGCCCGAGAAACTCTCTTTCTGCACCTTGTCCAAACCACTTCTTGTCTTACAGCAAGGAGACATATTGATCACTTTGTTGCTAAAATACCTTAAGCAGAATCGTGAAGCCTTAGGGTTTTGGAGGTCAATGAGTTGTTCTCTAGCACCTCAGACATATGAGGCATCTGAGAATAATGAAAGTCTGGACTAAAAGGAAGCACGTTGTTGGGTTTTTGGCCATGTCTCTGAGAATAACACTGGCTACTCAGCAACCCCTCCCAAGAAGATCAACAGTTGCTGGTTTGTCCCTTTGGCTTTATCACTTCAATCTGGTGTTTCCAAGACTAGCTTCTCATCTCCATCTCCAAGGCTGTCACAACAGCATGTCTTGCTTAGGTAGATCATTAAATTAGAAATAGGCTCAAGCCTTAGGCGAATCCAGAGGTAGAGTCCAGAAGCTTCTGCTATAACTAGGTAAACCACCTGGCTTGGCTTGCCCAGGTGATTTGTGTCTGATATTCTGGAGTTATTAATTAATATATCACCAAAAATATCTCACAAGTACCCCAAATTGAATAATGAATGATATGAAAGCATGAAGGAGAGCTCATACACAACTGCTTCAGCATTTGTAGTTGGAGGGTGAACTCAGACACTGGGGTAGCACGACTAACTCTTTGAAAGATTACCCTAGTTAGCATTATACGTATGCAATCTTGGATATTGATCTCCATAACTAATAGCAGCCACAAAGTGAATTATTTAAATAATTTTTACCACATTTAAATAATTTTATTTAAAGAAAGTTATAAATGAACTTAATTATTTTAATTCTGGCTTTATAATTCAAAGAGTAGTTACATTGTGGCAGTATTAGCATCACCTTCATTAACTACAGAAGAAGAAATAGTTATATGAATGCATTGCGTTTGTATAGTGGATAATATATCAAGACTTTGTATGAATTATATCATTTAAATGGTATGATGACTGTTAGCTAAGTAAAGTAGTCCCCTCTATGTTGGAAACAGAATTAAAGTATTGTGAGAGTTATACGTTTTAACATGTTTATTTATAAGAAGAGGTTATGCTATAGAAGCACTTACAGCAATGTGCGTGTCTGTGTGTGTGTGTGTGTGTGTATGTAACAGAGAGAGAGAGAGAGAGAGAGAGAGAGAGAGAGAGAGAGAGAGAGAGAGATGTTTGCCAAACAGAATGGGCTGACACTGAAACTGGGAAGCTATAATCCCTTTCTTCTGTCTGTGGGTTCTGGTACATTGATTAGTATTGAGTAACAGCTGAACACTGTTTTAGATACCGTGAAGTCTGTAAACATGAAGTGTGCAAAGTGAACAAATCTCTAAGGGAGAAAACACTTGATCTTGGTCTCATTAGACAATCAGATCAACTGAGATACCTGTTTTAGGTGGATTAATAATAATACTTTGCATTATTCTTCAAAGCTACAGTTAGAATGGCATGTCAATAATGCATTTTAGGGATTTGGAAAGTACATATGTACATACATAAATATATACATATATTTATTTAAAGGAACACACACAGAGCTTTAATTGCACATTTGTGTGTAGAGACTTAGTTAAGGTCTTTCAATTAAATTAAGTAGCATGAATACTAAAAACTCAAAGATAAGCATCTAGCATCTGCTAGTAAGTATAATAAAATAAACCAAAAATTCTAAGCACTTTGAAAGCATTACTATGAGTAATCCCAAGCCAGCCGATTGCAGCACTTAGTGACCAATAAGTGGGCCCAGAAAACCCTGTAAATAAGCCCTTAAATTTAGATGAAGCTTTCACATTTTCAAAACCCTTTTGAACCCATTATTTTATTTTATCCATTAAATTCATTTATGATGATTTGTGGGACTGTTATTCCCATTTTACAGAGAAATCCAAAGAACACCATTTTCTTAAATTTTGTACAGAACTCTGTGACTAATAAAGTAGAATACTTTCATATATATTATTTCCATTATTTTTGAAGTTGGTTCAAATAGAAGCTTCTTCATATATAATTTTATTTGGAGTCTCACTTTAGGTAAGTGGAAAGCAAAGGTGTTCTGTTAAGGGTGACGGTGGGACGGTCCTTCCAAGCTCCGTCCTTGTGGCCTTCTCCTTGTCGCACACACCCCTGAGGCATCTCTGGGGAACACCCAGAACAGACATCCTATAAACATTTTTTAAAGCTGTCTTTATATTTTAGCAATCTTGGGAGGAAGTCATTTGCTTTACAATAAACAACCTAAGAAACAGGTTTTGTGATAGCAATCCTCTTATATAAAAGCAGTAGTTCAAACATGGCATACAGGACATTGAGCCTTGGGGTTATGATCTTTGTCCATTACTCTTCCACACTTTGAGAAGTGAAAAAAATGTGGTTCCCCATGATTAGGTGACTGAGGAAATCTGAAAGGAGCAGACCTCTAGTTCTGCAGGTCTGTGTGGCACTAATTTGGACACATGGTAGGACTGGTCAGTCTACCTCTCTCCTATGTCCATTTGAGATCTCCAGCAGGCAGCTTAGTCCCACTTTAATTAGGGGGAGCAAAAGATCTTTATTTTCTTTTGCTACTTGACCTTCTACCTGCTCAAGGGTAGTCTGCTTTTATGAGCGAGCTTAAGGTATCTTGAGCTATTAAATAGGGGGCTGGTCCATTAGGGATGAGCGTTGGATAGCAGAAGAGCCTCGTTCTCTTCTGCAAGATCCAATGGATGGTCTGGCCACTGTTGCCCAGTGCCCTCAACAGTATCCAGAAGGAAGACTGGATTCTAAGTTTCATGTTGCTCACTGGCACTGCCAGTGGACAGAACCTTCACAAGCACCGCCTACAGTACTGATTGGGGTGGCCTTCCTGTTCTCCCTCATCTCCTTCCTGTCCCCTTGTATGGAGACAGAGGATGATATAAAACATCCCCTCTAGTTGTGCATCAAAATTCTGGTCAATTATTTAGACCAAAAACTTTTAAAGATTATGTAGAAGAATGGCTCATTTACTTCCTGATTTTACCATGGCCCCTTCTTCCCAAATCAGTGACTTGTTCATATCCAGCTTTCTGAGATGGTAAAAAGGAGAAACATCAAGTACATGGGAAGGGATTTTAGGAGTGAGAGTAATACTTTTACATGTTATTTTGCCAAATATCTATCTATTACCTGTCTCTATCTACCTACCTACCTACCTACCTATCTACCTATCATCTATATGTATCTATGAAAAGCTACCACCTTAATTTAATTAATGAAATTATAAACAAATGATTTTCCACTGAGAAGGAAATGTTTGTCTAAATTAAATTGGTAATATTAAGAAGTATTTTTACTCATATATAATCATTATAATAGAGGGTAGGTAAGAAGTGGGTATTAATAAGTATTAAATGTATTGGGCATCTATACAATGCACTGGAGACGACATTAACTATCATGTCTTAATCCTAAGGAAATATCTGTAAATTTTGAAAACTAAATGGGTTCTAAGAGTCAAAATAATGCCGGATGGCAGGGTGGGTGGGAGATATTCTTGGGCAATCTGTCAACTTGGTATTCTCTTACATCACTTTATTTATCTATTTTTTAAAGCTTGCTCTGATTATAGATGACATAGTGACAGTGCAAGCAAAAGCAGTAGTGCTATTCTGACAGGATCTTAAAAATCTCATACCAATATGTGAAGTAGGAAATCAGTTTGGAGACTCTAGGATATAAAAGAAGTTGAAAGAGTTAAAGAGAAAAATGTAAATTCTTAATTGTTTACTATTCGCTTCTCGGAAGTTTTGTGTTATTGAACATGTATGATTATTTTCATTATGTCACTTTTGCTGAGCATGTGCATACAATGATATCTTGTTCTCAAGATCCCAGTCTATCCGTTTTTCTGTTTGTACAGTAAAATAGTATCACATACCCCTAATGCTATCTTTACTCTGGGTAACTTTTTATTCAGAATAAAAGCTCTGAATCACCCATCAGAGCTCACTGTTTGCTGCAGAATCACAGAAGGCATCTTTGTACAGCAATCTCGGTGGGCCTGCTTACCCAGGCACTAAGTAGTTTCTAAGTGTAATTAAAATAACCACCTTTTCTAATGCATCATTCAACATCCCTACCACACTACCCTGTTGTATCATACTACTTTCAATTATTTGGAGATTATGTATACAATATCAGATTAATTTAATGTCATTAACCCTGAAATATCTAGAAAGCTCAACAGAAATGTAGCTTTAGGTCAGAAAATATTCTGAGTACTCAAAGTTTAATCATCTCAAGAATTCTCATTTGTCTCATTCACTTGGTATATTTTTAACATAACTAATTTTATTTCTCTCTTGGAATTAGTAGAGATACTAGTTAGAATGCAATATCTTTGACAACTGAAATACTGGAGGATCTTCAGATCGTTGGTCAGAACATCACTTACTTTATATATCACAAGACATAATGACATAGAAGATACAGTTAGAAATGACTCAAGATTCATTATTGACCTATGCAGTCATTAAGATAAAATAGGTTTCTTTTGATTTTCCCTTCCTTTCCTGATAGTGGGTATCAGAGAACACTGAGTGTTTCAAAATAGCAGAATTGAGTGTTTAGGAAACCACCGATTTGAAAACAATATATATTCACTACCATGTAGCATAGATTCATGACTGGATCATTTTAAATATTTGCTTAAAAATTAAAATAAAATTTGCTTTGCAAAATTTGTATTTATTTACAACATCTTAGATTCACATTTATAATGCATGATTAACCAAAACTGTACGTGCTTTCAGACCATCCTTTGAGAAAAAAAGTGTCAGTTCAGGGCACCATTTAAATACAGAGGCTATAAAGCCTGTATAAAGAGGCTGTATAAAGAGGCTGTATAGAGCCTGTATATGTATATAGGCTATATAGAGCCTGTATATGTATAAAGAGCCTGTATAAAGAGGCTATAAAGCCTATGTAAAGAGGCTATAAAGCCTGTATAAAGCCTGTTCAGGGCACCATTTAAATACAGAGGCTATAAAGCCCCATAAGGGGGCTCAGGATAGTCAAGTCATTCAAGTAATTTGGGAGTTTTGAAAGACAACACATAAAGTGTTTAAAAGTCCAAATCTTCGTATAATATTGCATCCTTTAGTGACTGATCATTAGATTCAAATATATTGAGATGAATTGAAATTACCAGTCACCTGACAATGCTAATATATGTTAGATAATGCATGAATAAAGAAGACTAACTAAAATAATTTGATTCACAGCAATTCAAGTTGCCAAAGTGAAGCCATTAAGTATATAAAGGTAATCATTTGTTCATGCATTCAACAATTATTGAGTATTTACCTTGTCAGTCCCTACACACACAAAGATGAACACACAAACCCTAACAATAAAATAACTCTGAATAATCAGTAAAGCTGTTATTTTCCTCAGTGTCAGAGTAAGTGGCAAAGAAATAATACAATAAAATAAAGTGCTAAGTGGAATAAGCAGTCTTTTCAACAAATGGTGCTGGGACAAGAGTAAACGGTGTAGGTATTTTGGAAATAAGCCTTTCCTCAAAAGGCTAAACATCTTATTTTATGATTTAGTAATGCCTCTACTAATTATATATACAGGAGATTAAAAACATACCGCCACAAAAACTTGTGCACATATTTTCAAAGAAGCATTATTCATAATAGCCCCCAAATGACAACAGTTCAGCTATCTCTCTCTCTATCTCTCTATGTATCTATGTATCTATCTATCTATCTATCTATCTATCTATCAGTCAATCTAACTATCTACCTACCTATCATCTATCTCTCTGGAGAGAGATACATAAATGTGTCACATTCATACAATAGAATATTAGTTTCATTTTCAGATTAGTCATTGTGAGTATATAGAAACACATTGATTTTTGCATGCTGACCTTGTATCCTCCAACATGACTAAACTCATTTATTAGTGGCTTATAAACAGTAGAGATTTACTTTTTTCAGTTTTAGTGGCTAAAATCCTGAGATCAAAATGGCAGCATGGTTGAGTTCTAATAAGGGCCTTCTTCCAGGTTGTGGATTGCCAACTTCTCTTTGTATCCTGACAAGGTGGAAATCAGCTAAGACAGCTCTCTGGGGTTCCTTTTACAAGGGCACTAATCCCTTCAGGGGCACTCCACCGTCATGACTTTATCTAAGCCTGATTACCTCCCAAAGACTCCACTTCCTACTACTATCATTTTGGGGGTTAGGACTTAAACATATGAATTTGGGGATAGGAAGACAAACATTCTGTTCATTGCCATTTACTATGTTAAAGTAAAAATAATAATATCAACTTAAGTTGGTTCTCAGGGCCCAAGTATTGTGGTTCTCTTGACTCATGATTTTATTTGCCATTAGATATATAATTGCTCAACTGAAGAAAAATATGCAAAAAGAAATTTATATTTAATTTTGGCGAGATATAGGTAGTATTGGTTTGGCTGTGCATATAAATTATGACAAAATATTTTGAAATTTCCTAAAGACAGATTATTCTTATATTTTCATGAGTATGATATCATGTTCATTAACATTAATCAATCCCTTAGTGAGGGTATAGGCTGTAACATCATCTCCATGAACCACAACAAAGCACTCCTATCACAAAAGGTGATTAGCATTGTCCAGAATAGGTAATAACAAAAGGTTGATTTCTTTTTCCAATATTCCTTGTTATGGGTCATAAAAATCCCATTAAGTGTCAACTGTTGCAGCTACATTGATAAAATGAGCACATATCATTTGCCCAATAAGGAGCTAAAGTTGGGTACGTATCTGCATGCTATAGTGACTCAAAATGATGTATCATTTTTTTTTTACTAAACTAAAAAAGCAATTTCTATAATTAAAAAATTATGAATCTCTCAACAATAATTTAAAATATCTTCTGAACTGAGCCCTATAGTCTTCTGTCAACTTTAAAAATAATTGTATCTGCTTCTCCCTTCAATATGTTTTTTTCAGATGTAGTCAGCGTTCTCCAAAGAGACAGAACCAACTGGGTGTGTGTGTGTGTGTGTGTGTGTGTGTGTGCATGTATGTGGGGGGCAAGAGAAAGAGAGAGAGAGAGAGGAAGAGATTCATTTTAAGGAATTGGCTCATGCAGTTACAGAAGAGGGCTAGTCCAGAATCTGCATGTGTTCTGGTAGGGTGGAGGCTCACAGAAGAGCTCATGCTATCGCTCAATTCTGAAGGTTGTAAGGCCACATAAAATTCACCATCACAAGTCCACCCCCTTTCAACATGGCACTTCTACACATTTACTTAAAGCATACTTAGTCTTCACATGAAGAAAGTAACAATGTCATACTTCTGCCCCACATGGTACAACTATCTAGAGTACAACCAAAAATGTACAATCCCTTTCTCAGAAAAAGAAAGTACAAGGTACTTGGGACATAGTTACTCTTCTCCTTGATGTAATATAGCTTAAATACTATAATGTAAAATTAACAATACTTAAATACTATGATATTAAGTCAATACATGCTATGTTACATGAGAGTGGGTATTTGCTTTATACACATTCCCCACAAACATATTGATAACACAATAAAGAAGAAATACTCATGATAATTTCAGTCCTTATTTATATAATTGTTTATACAGTCGAAGCTGGTATTTATAACTACTTTAACTACTTACTTTCACTATCCATTCTGTCTGTATTCTTTTTTTTTTTTTAGACGGAGTTTCACTCTTGTCACCCAGGCTGGAGGACAATGGCACAATCTCAGCTCACTGCAACCTCTGTCTCCTGGGTTCAAGAGATTCTCCTGACTCAGCCTCCAAAGTAGCTGGGATTACAGGTGCTCGCCATCACTCCCAGCTAATTTTGTATTTTTAGTAGAGATGGGGTTTCACTATGGGGCCCTGATGGTCTCAAACTCCTGACCTCAGGTGATCCACCTGCCTCAGCCTTCCAAAGTGCTGAGATTAGAGGCATGAGCCACCACACATGGCCATGACTGTATTTTTTTGTCTAACAAGCACCTCAGCTGGTCATGGTTCTTTATTTGGTGGAGTGACCCAAATATTTGTTCCTGAAGGATATGGGACATCAACAGTTCTGTCTGGATTGAGTCATTGTAGTTTTTTACTAACTTTAATTGCAGGGCATGGTAATATTAACAGATGCCCTAAGGAATCTCTTGCATTCTAGTCATGATCTTCCTTACCTCCATTGTGGAGCAGAAGTTCAATTTATCCTTGGTAGTCAAGAACAATCACCCAAGCCAGTACTGTATCCCTTTATTTCCCTGTTGATTTAGAGGAATGAAAGCCTAGATTGGCCAGGTGACAGTGGTAACTTCTACTTCAATGAAAATATTGCCATTTCTCCAGGCAGAATCATTCCTTCTTTTAGAATTAAGACCTCTAAGCTAACAGAGTTTGAGGCAGTGGATACAGAAAGCAAAAACTTTGCTACTGAGTCACTGTGGATAATAGTGAGCAGTTTCATTTCCATTTTCACTCCTGCATACCTGGAACCATGAATTGCAGCTATAGAGAATACAGCAATTACCCATGGCTCTTACCCTCCCAGTCAGAGGAGAAGCTTAAGGAGTGTATTAGTCTGTTTTCACACTGCTATAAAAAGCTGCCTGAGACTGGGTAATTTGTAAAGAAAAGAGCTTTAATTGACTCGCAGTTCTGTATGGCTGGAGAGGGCTCAGAAAACTTGCAATCATGGCAGAAGGCAAAGGGGAAGCAAGCACGTCTTACCATGGCAGAGCAGGAGAGAGAGCTAAATGGGAAGTGCCACACACTTTCAAACAACCAGATTTCCTGACAACTCACTCACGAGAACAGCAAGAAGGAAGTCTGGCCCCATGATTCAGTCACCTCCCATCAGGCCCCTCCCCTGACATGTGGGGCATACAATTCAAGATGAGATTTGGGTGGGGACACAGAGCCACATCATATCAAGGAGGTTAGTTGACAAATGGTGTTTTCAGCACAAGTTCATCTCACTGTGGGCCCGGTGGATCCCTGAAAGCATCTTGTTTTTTTTTGTTGTTTGTTTGTTTTTGGCTTTTTTTCCCCCCTAATTCTTGAATGATAAATAGGAATCACCAGAATCCTCAAATAGTTTCCCTGACCTGTGGAGTGAGGGCCAATATAATGGGAAAGGTCAAGTAGAAGCCACTAGAACTGCCTGTACCTAATAAAATAGTAAACAAAAAGCAATTTCACATTCCTGAAGAGATTGCAGACATCTGTGTCACCGTCAAGGACTTGAAAGATGCAGGGGTGGTGATTTCCACCATATCCTCATTCAACCTACCTGGCATATACAAAAGACAGATGAATTTTGGAGACTGACAGCAACTTATTATAAGCTTAACCAAATGGTGACTCAAACTGCAGCTGCTCTACCAGATGTGTTTTTATGGCTTAAGCAAATTTTCACATTCTCTAATACTTGGTATGTAGCTATTGATCTGGCAAATGCTTTTTTCCACACCTCTGTTAATAAAGACCACCAGAAGCAGTTTGCTTTTATCTGGCAAGGTTGGCAATACACCTTTACTGTTTTATGTCAGAAATATATCAACTCTCTAGCTTTAGGTCATAATTTAATTATCAGGGTTCTTGATCAACTTTCCCTTCTATAAGATGATCACATTGATGATATTACTTTGATGACATTGACCTATTGGCCTCTGAACAAGAAACAGCAACTACTCCAGACTTATTGATAATACAAGAGGGTAAAAAATAAATCTGACTAAAATTCAGGGGACTTATTTCTCAGTGAAATTTCTAGGGATCCAGTGGTGTGGGGAATGTTGAGAGATCCTGTCTAAGGTGATGGATACATGATTGAATCTGGCCCCTACTAAAACCAATAAAAAAGGCACAATGCCTAGTGAGAGTCTTTGGATTTGGAGGAAATGTATGGCTCATTTGAGTGTGTTGTCTCACCAAGTGATGGAAAAACCTGCTAGTTTTCAGGGGACTGGAAAAAGAGAAGATTGAAACAGGCCCAACCTGCTATGCAAGCTGCTGTGCCCCATGGGCCATATGATCCAATAGATTCAATGGTGTGTGAAGTGCGAGTGCCAAATAATGACTCTGTTCAGAGCCTCTGGTATGCCCTTACAGATGAATCATACTGTAGGCTTTTAGAATCTTGGAACAAATCCTTGCAATCCTCTGCAACTAGCTACTTTTCTTTTGAAAAGGAGCTTCTGGTCCGCTATTAAGCCACAGTAGAAGCTGGACACCGAACCATAGGACACCAAATTATCATGTGATCTGAGCTGCCCATTATGGACTGGGTGTTATCTGATTTGTTTGGCTATAAAGTTGGGTGTGCACGTCAGTCCTTCATCATCAAATGTAAGTAGCATATATGAAATTTGGCCTTAGCAGGCCTTGAAAGCACAAGCACATTGCACAAATAAGAGGCTCAAATGAGGCTTGGTGCAGTGGCTCACACCTGTAATCCCAGCACTTTGGGGGGCCGAGGTGGGCGGATCACAATGTGAGGAGTTTGAGACCAGCCTGGCCAACATGATGAAGCCCCATCTCTAAAAATCCAAAAATTAGCTGGGCATGGTGGTGTGTGCCTGTAATCCCAGCTACTCAGGAGGCTGAGGCAGGAGAATAACTTGAACCTGGTAGGTGGAGGCTGCAGTGAGCTGAGATTGTGCCACTGCACTCCAGCCTGGGCAAAAGAGTGAGACCCTGATTTAAAAAAAAGAAAAAAAAAAAAAAAGAGGCTCAAATGCCTATAAACCTCACTTCTGCTATACCTTCTCTCTCCCAGCCTGCACCTGTAGCCTCATGGCGAGTGCCCTATAGAGAGGATGAGAAAACTTAGGCCTGATATACAAATGATTCTATATGATATTCCAGCACCACCTGAAAGTGAATAGTTGCAGTACTAGAGCTTCTTTATGGGATACTCGTTGTATTAGGGTTCTCTAGGGGGACAGAACTAATGGAATAGATATATATAAAGGGGAGTTTATTAAGTATTAACTCACACAATGAAAAGGTCCCACAATAGACTGTCTGCAGGCTGAGGAACAACAAGAGCCAGTCTGAGTTCCAAAACTGAAGAACTTGGAGTCTGCTACTCGAAGGCAGAAAGCATCCAGCATGGGAGAAAGAGGTAGGCTGGGAGGCTAGGCCAGTCTCTCTTTTCACATTTTTCTGCCTGCTTATATTCTAGCTGTGCTGGCAGCTGATTAGATTGTGCCCATCCAGATTAAGGGTGGGTCTGCCTTTCCCAGCCCACTGACTCAACAATTAATCTCATTTGGCAACACCCTCGCAGACACACCCAGGATTAATGCTTTGTAACCCTCAATCCAATCAAGTTGACACTCAGCATTAACCATCACAAGTCCATCAATTGTCAATTTGAAACAATACACATATCCTAAGGTCATACATAACCTTCAAATAAAGACAATAATAGGGTCATAATTATGCCTAACATAATACAAATATCCTTTGCACAACCAGAAATGCACCAATCCCCAACCCAAATACTATTACTATTACATAAAGTTAACAACACTTAAAAGCGGATAAGAAGTCAGTAAATCTTATGTGTCATGATAAAGGAGAAAGGGAATGAAATGAAGATATTTTCTTAGTACAAGCATATACATTACATGAACAAATGTTTTTTAACAAACGGAGGAAATACTGATGACAATTACTTCCCCGTTTCTACAGCTGGTCATGTGGTCATAGCTGGTATTGATGAGTACCTTCTTCTCATACCCATTTTGTATTCCCTTTGCCTTCAGCAAGCATCTAAGCAGGTTATGTTATATAAATATATATATGTGTATATATATATATTTGTTTTGTTTTGTTTTTTTCCTGCTGGAGTGACCCAGACCCTCATTCCTGAAGAGTCTGTGTAATTTGTAGTCCTGCCTGAATCGGGCTGTTGTAGTTTCCTGTTGACCTTAATCACAGAACATGGTAATACTAAGAGACGCCCTAATGAATCTCCTGTATTTGATGCATACTCTTCCTTACTCAGATACGGAGTAGTAGACTGATTTCATATTGATAGTCTGAGTCAATCACTCCAGCCAACACTGTGCCTCTCTTCTTAGCCTGTTGACGTAAGATAGGAGGAACCCAAAGTGTCTAGGTGGCCATCCTAACTTCCAGTTTAATGGAATCGTTGTTATGTCTCCCAGTGGCAGCATGTCTCCCTCTGGAACTAAAACATCTAGGCCAGCAGAACATAATGTCATGGGAAGAGGAAGAGAAAATTTTGCTAATGAATCACTAGGGGTGATGGTGAGTGGTGCCACTTTCACTTCCACCCCTTGATTTCTGGACCCATGAATCCTGGCTATGGGATAAAGAGTACCATATATTGGACACTGATTCAAAGCATACATGGCCTTCTGGAGAACTTTGCTCCAGCCCTGCAAAGTATTGTCACCTAGTGACATACTAATGGCACTGTAATTGTGACTTCAAAAGGCCATTCCACTGTTCTATCAATCTAGCAGTTTCAGGATGATGGAGAATATGGTAAGACCAGTAAATTCCATGAGCATAAACCCACTGCTGCAATTCTTTAGCCATAAAGTGAGTGCATTGGTCAGAGACAATGCTGTGTGGAATACCATGACTGTGGATAAGGCATTCCATGAGTCCACTGATGGTAGTCTTGGCAGAAACATTGTGTGCACGATAGGCAAACCCATATCCAGAGTAAGTGTCTATTCCAGTGAGGACAAACCTGTGCCCTTTCCATGATGGAAGAGGTCCAATATAATCAACCTGCCACCAGGTAGCTGGCTGATCACCCCAAGGAATGGTGCCATATTAAGGGCTCAGTGTTGGTCACTGCTGCTGGCAAATTGGGCACTCAGCGGTAGCCGTATCCAGGTCAGCCGTGGTGAGTGAAGTCCATGTTGTTGAGCCCATTCATAACCTCCATCCCTGCCACCATGGTCACTTTGTTTATGGGTTCATTGGGCAATAAAAGGGGTGGTGGGTGAAAGAGGCTGAGTGCTGTCCACAAAATAGGTCATCCTATCCACTTGATTATTAAACTTCTCCTCTGCTGAAGTCAACCATTGGTGAGCACTCATATGTGATACAAATATCTTCACAGTTTTGAACCATTCAGAGAGGTCCATCCACATACCTTTTCTGCAAATTTCTTTGTCATCAATTTTCCAATCATGTTTCTTCCAAGTCCCTGACTATCCAGCCAAACCATTGGCTACAGCCCAAGAGTCAGTATATAATCACACATCTGGCCATTTCTCCTTCCATGCAAAGTGTACAACCAGGTGTGCTGCTCGAAGTTCTGCCCACTGGGAAGATTTCCCTTCACTGCTGTCCTTCAGGGATGTCCTAAAAAGGGTCTGTAGTGCTACAGCTGTCCACTTTTGGGTGGTGCCTGCATATTGTGCAGAACCATCTGTGAACCAGGCCCTAGTTTTCGTTACGTTCCTTGGTTCTCTACATATGTCCACTGATCATAGGGAACTCCCCATGAGGCCATCGGTGCAGGCTGGGGGAGAGAAGGCAGGGTGGCAGGAGTAGAGACCACGGACATTTGAGCCACTTCCCCATGTAACTCACTTGTACCTTCAGAACCTGCTTGAGCCTGATCACATATATATCACTTCCATTTCATGATGGAATGCTGCTGTGCACAACCCAATTTATGGCTAGATGGGTCAGAAAGCATCCAATTCATGATAGGCAGTTCAGATCACATGGTGACTTAATGACCCATAGTCAAACTTTCAGTTTCCACCAAAGCCTAGTAATGGGCCAAGAACTGTCTCTCAAAAGGAGAGTAGTTCTCTGCAGAAGAAGACAGGGCCTTGCTCCAAAATCCTAGAGGCTTCCACTGTGATTCACCTATGGGGGATGACCAAAGGCTCAAAACAGCATCCCTGTCTGCCACTGACACCCAGCACCATTGGATCTACTGGGTTATGTGGCCCAAGTGGCAGAGAAACTTGCACAGAAGCCTGTTGCAGAACTGTCTCTTCTTCTGGACCCCACTCAAAACAGACAGTCTTTCAGGTCACTCAATAAATGGGCCAGAGTAACACGCCCAAATGAGGTAAGACTCTCACTCAGGACAATCTTAACAGATTTGATGCTCAGTATCTGCTTCTGATGCTGGTAGATAGAATCCCTGAGTTCATCATTGTCTTTCATCACTTTGTCCACTGAACTTAGAAGCCACCAACCAACTTCATTACGTGCCTTGGTTCTCCACATATGGTCAAAGGTATTATGTATAGAGTCACTAAACTCCTTGCCTCTCATGAGCGGTGAATTAGGAGTGTCAAATGCATTTATTTTGCATAACTGTCCAAACAGTTCACGATAAGGACTATCAGTGCTTTCATGCTAAGGACTATCAGTGTTCTCTATACTATTAGAAGTAGAGTCCTTGTGTTTTGGGGTCTAATAATATTAAGGAGCCAACTCCAGAAACCCCAAAACCAACGAAAGAACTCCATCCTTAATATTCTGTTCCTCTAGAACCACTCCTGGTATGAAAGTCTGTATTAGAGTTCTCTAGAGAAACAGAACTAATAGATATATCCATATATATGGATATATATAAAGGGGAGTTTATTAAGTATTAACTCACATGATCACAAGGTCCCACAATAGGTCTTCCTCAGGCTGAAGAGCAACAAGAGCCAGTCCGAGTTCCAAAACTGAAGAACCTAGAGTCTGATGTTCGAGGGCAGGAAGCATTCAGCATGGGAGAAAGATGTAGGCTGGGAGGTTAGGCCAGTCTCTCTTTTCACATTTTTCTGTCGGCTTATAATCTAGCCATGCTGGCAGCTGATTAGATTGTGCCCACTCAGATTAAGAGTCTGCCTTTCCCAGCCCACTGACTCAATGGTGCATCTCCTTTGGCAACACCTTCATAGACACACCCAGGATCAATACTTTGTATCCTACAATCCAATCAAGTTGACACTCTGTATTAACCCTCACACCCATGAAAGACAGTAGTGAAAGGAGACCTTCATAGTGGACAGAAGTTTGAGGAGTGCACCAGGTTGTTCATTTTGCTTGGAAGGAGAATGAGTCAAATATGTCATTATATACTGATTCATGGCTGTGGCCCAGACTTGAGTCATTTGGCTGAATGGTCAAGTACTTAAAAGGAACACAGTTAGAAAATAGATGACAAGGAAACTTATGGGAGATGCATGTGAATAGGCCTCTCTTAATGGATAAAAACCATGAAGATATCTGTGTTTATGGTAATTCTCACCAAAGGGTGACTCAGTTGTGGAGAACTTAAATAATCAAGTGGATAGGACAACGCTTTGTGCAGATACCAGTCAGCTTCTTTCTCTAGTCATCCCTTGCATTGCCCTATGGGCTCCAGAGCAATGTGTCCATGGTGGTTGGATAAAGGTGATACATGGGTTCAGAAACATGGACTTCCACTCTCTCAAACAAACCAGGCTGAAGCTATGGCTGAGTGTCTAATCAGCCAGCAGGAGAGACCAGCACTGAGCCCTTGATATGGCCTCATTCTCCTGGTGGATCAGCTTGATACCTGGTGGCAGGTTGCTTACATTGCACTGCTTCCATCACGGAATGGACGGTGTTCTGTTCTTAACTGAAATAGACACATACTCTCGATAAGGATTTACCCTCCCTGAACAACATGCTTCCAGTAAAACTACCACTTGTGCACTTATAGAATGCCTATCTGCTGTCCTGGTATTCCACACTGCATTGCTTCTGATAAAAGAATTCACTTCACAGCAAAGGAAGAGTGGTAATGTTCCTAGCTCATGGAATTCACTTGTCTTAACATGTTTCTCACCACTCTCAAGCAGCTGGCTTGACAGAAGAATAGAATGACCTTTGAAGACACAGTTACAGCATCAGCTTGCTGGCAATACACTGTAGGGCAGAGTAAGATTCTCAGAAGACTTGTGCACTTTGAATTCGTGTCCAATATGATGCTCTTATCCCCAGCATTTCTATATAGTTACACTTATTAATGTTTTAGCAGGCTGACTTCTTTTAGAGCTTAGCCATGAAAAAGACTATATGTCCAAAAGTCTATCAATATTTACAGTGTAGCCAGTATGTTACAAACCCACCATAATTCTTGTGTGGCTACTGTGTAATAGGCATCTCCATGTTGGAAGCCACAGAATGGCATAGGAAGACTCTGGAATTTATTTGAATCCTAGTTCCAGCACATTTCAATGGTGAAATTTTGGGTAAGTCCAATGTGAGTATGATAATACATGAATATCTAAGCCCTATTTAATTTTCTCTTTTTCTTTCCCTAACTTGTTTCTTCTTTTTTCCTTTCTTCTGTCCTTCTTTTCTTTTTTTCTTTTCTTACCCACTTTTCATTTCTAGTTAGTGTCAGTAATACACCTGGCCCTGTATTCAGTGAAATGGATAAAAAAAAGTTAACTAACTAGGCTTGCTTCCTTGTAAAGTTAGGTGGGGATGTTTGCATATAAATAAATCAATCTAGTGAAATTATAAGTGCAGTAACATTGCTAGTGAGTACACATTTTAGAAGGACAAATGTGAATGCAATCAACTTAGCTAACTGAAAGAGGGATGCCAAGAAAATATGGAAGAACAAACGGAATTTGAACAGGAATTTGAAGAATGGCAGGTGACTTCTAGGGGCTATAAGGCAATTTAATGGGGATGCTTTACTTGCTTTACTGATTTTTAGCAATTGGTTAAGCCAGCAGAAATTGGTTAAGTCTGGCAACATGCAAAACGTATCATTTTTCCAAAAAGAAAAACGTTTTGAAGTGAAAGAGAGGCACTTACTTGAAGCAGGCTGTTTCAGAGTTGGAGAACTCAATGATGCTCCAGTGAAAATACTAGAGAGAAGAAATTCTGGTCCTGTGTAAAATGTGAGCTCTTCATATTCCCTGTTTAATATGAATAATTGGATAATTACTATATCATAAGTGCAACAATAATAACAGCAAGATTATGGGGTGGTATGAAGAAGAAAGATGCAGATGAAGGAATCACACTAGATTTCCTAGAATTGATAATGCATAAACTGAGTTTTAAAAGATGAATATGAATTAGAAAGTTCAGCTTATGAGCCAGGTGCGGTGACTCATGCCTGTAATCCCAGCACTTTGGGAGGCCGAGGCGGGCGGATCACGGGGTCAAGGGCTCAAGACCAGCCTGGCCAACACGGTAAAACCCCATCTGTACTAAAAATACAAAAATTAGCTGGACTTGGTGATGCATGCATGTAATCCCAGCTACTGCGGAGGCTGAGGCAGGAGAATTGCTTGAACCCAGGAGGGGGAGATTGCAGTGAGCCAAGATCATGCTACTGCACTCTAGCCTGGGTGACAGAGCAAGACTCCATCTCAAAAAAAAAAAAAAAAAAAAAAGGTTTCTGGATCTGATAGGAGATGAATTAAGGAGAAAAGCAGATAATGAAGGGCCTGTTTGTCATACAGTAGTCCCCGCCTTATCCACAGAGGATAGATAATACTGAATCTTTTATATACTATATTTTTTCTTTAATATATGTATGTACCAATGATAAAGTTTAATTCATAAATTAGGTAAGAGATTGTAAGATTATAACTTATAATACAATAGAACAATTATAGCAACATGCTGTAATTAAAGTACGATAAAGTTTACTTGATCACAAATTCTGTGATGCTGCAGTCAATCTGGTAACCGAGAAGGCTGTGAAGTAAGTATACAGCATGTATATGCTGGACAAAGGGATGATTCACGTCCTGGGTGAGGCAAAGCTGGACAGCACATGATTTCATCACACTATTCAGAATCGTGTGTGCAATTTAAAACTTATGAATTGTTTATTTCTGGAATTTCCCATTTAATATTCTTGGACTGAGGTGGACTATGGGTAACTGAAATCTTGGAAAGTGAAACCTTGGATAAGGAGGGACTACTTTACTGAAGAACTTGAATTTTATAAAAGTAAAGGGGAGTGTGAGTTATTCCTGCTACATTTTTTAGAGGCTTCTATATTCTGGACAAGTTTTCTTGTGGTCTTGGTCCTCCGTGGGATTTATCTCTGCTCTTAGTATCTTCAGTTGCAACTGTCAGCTCTCCCTGAAGTAATTCCCCTGGACTCTCCCTGGCTCACCTAGTCCAGACTTTTGTGGGTACTCAGCTGGCTCATTTTGGTCCCAGTGGGTTCATATTGTCATATCCAATATGGTGTAATTGGTTTGAGTTCAGGTAATGTATATGACTTGCTGACAGATGACTCTTGCTGCTACATTGTATAAGGAAATAAGTTTAAAGATAATCTGACACTTGCAGATCAATGTTACTTTCCACACAGAAGAGTTTTTCTATCACTAGAATCAAGACTAAAGCTCAGCACATTTGTGTCTAAAAAAAAAAAAGAAAAAATTAATCTCTGATTTACTTCCTCATCAGGATATTCTATAATTACCACACATGGGCATCATTGTCAGTGAAGAAAGTAATTTTGGAATTTGTTTGGAACCAAATGGCAATAGGAAAGATTATACATAAAATCTTTTGCTTTGTTGCTTGCTATATCTCAGCCTGGATGTTTCAGGTAAGAAATTATGTATTACATATATGTCATGCAAGAAAGAACATAAATGATTTATAATATTTAGTCTGACTCTGATTCATTTTAATCTTATTTCTTTTTATTTAGAAAGTGAAAAACAAGCAAAAACATCCTAGTATCATTGTACTCTTTATATACCTAATTAGAACTACTCAAGTCATTTTCTGGCAGTGTTTTCTCTGATTCAATTCCAGAGAACATACATAATTATCAAGGTAGTTTCAACTTTCCTAATTTTTTTTTTCATTTAGTAAATTAATTTTAAGTTCAAGATTTTCACATCTATTTCATACATAATGGGGAGATAGATGCCTATGAGGTGTTAATATTCTCCTTTTCTGAGGACACTACAGAAAGGAATTAAGTTACCTTACATGGGGAAGAAAGCTTATAGAGCTTAATAGACATTAGAACATAGAAGTTTTTTAAAACAAGTGATTTTTAGAGAATTATTTATTCTGATTTTTGTAACTTTTAAGTTCTGGGGTACAGGAACAGAATGTGCAGATTTGTTACATAGGTAAACATGTGTTATGGGGGTTTGCTATACAGATTATTTCAGGTATTAAGCCTAGTATCCATTTGCTATTTTTCCTGATCCTTTCCTTCTTCCCACCTCCACCCTCTGGTAGTAGGCCCCAGTGTGTGTTGTTCCCCTCTGTGTGTCCATGCGTTCTCATCATTTAGCTTCCACTTATAAGTGAGAACAATTGGTATTTGGTTTTCTGTTCCTGAGTTAGTTTGCTAAGGATAATGTCCTCCAGCTCCATCCAAGTCTCTGCAAAGGATGTGATCTTGTTCTTTTTTATGGCTGCATAGTGGGAATTATTTATCCTAAAAAAAGTTTGCATAGTGGGAATTATTTGTTCTAAAACATGGATGATGTAGATTAAAACTTCTGAAGATCATCGATGAAACTAGTCCTGATCTTGTCCTTTAAATTTACATTATGTAATTTTGCATGCTCTAAAAATAATAAGAAATTTTACAAAGAACTCTTAATGGACTTTGAACAAATGTCCTTTAAGACCATAGTATTTGTCTTCCGTGGGAGCTCATCTAAGTGTGGAGCTCATCTGCATATTCCTTCATTTATTTGTCAAGTATTTATTTATCTTCTCAATTCCTTGCATCTGCTAGTTGCTGAAGACACAAAAAGGAAAACACACAGTCTCTGATCTGAAGGATTGCAGAGTCTACTGTAGAGGTAATTGGTTGGTAAACAAATAATTTCACATAATGTAATGGCCCCATTTCTTTTTCGGATATAGACATTTGCAAAGACAAACTTGCTCATCCCAACAGCGAAACTCAGAAAAGTGACAAAATAGATGGTTAAAATTCCATTATTGTCATGAAACACACATTGTGTAATTTCAATTATTTTAAAAAGGCTGAGATTTTTTCATGGCTAAGGATGGTCGATCTTGGTGAATGTGAATCACTTATTGATTTTTGAATGTTAAATAAGCTTTGCCTTCTTGAGACAAATCTCATTCAGTTATGATGCATTATCTATTTTTATATATTACTGAATACAGCTTGCTAATATTTTGTTAAGATTTTACACCTTTTCTCATGACAATTTCATATTTTCATCTACTTTTGGTATTAAATTCATGCCGGTTGCATCTATCTTCTGGAAGCTTTTTTGTACATTGGTATTACTTCTTTCTTAACTGTTTGATAGAATTGCCCAGTGAAGTCATTTAAGTCCTGGAAATTTCCTGGTTGAAAGGGTGTAAACTGCAAGTCCAATTCATTTCCATAAATACAATATCATTTTGATTATTTATTTTTAAGTAAGAATTGATAATTTGCCTCTTAATTTGTTCACTTCATGTCAGTTCTTAATGTATGAATATAATGTCATCTACAGTAATAGAATCAAATTAGAAATCAATAGAAGAATGACAACAGGAAAATCACAACACATGGAAATTAAACAACAAATTTCTAAAAAATTTATTGGTCAAACAAGGAATCTTATAAAAATAAAAATACATAGAGATGAATAAACATGAAGGTACAATGTCTAAAAACATGTGGAACAACTTTGTTTGGATGAAATGACATACCCCAGTTTTCCCTGTTCCAAACCCTTATATGCAACTATAAATTCTGGAAGTGACAAAAGAGACAAAAAAAGAACTCTGAAAAGTAATCGAAAAAAATAAATCAAGGGTCCTAGGACAGGAGGAATGAAACAAAGACAGGGTGTCTGTTGTTCCAAAAGTACCAACAGAGGGAGGACATCCAGACTGAGCATTTTCCTCACCATTTAGTTAGAGACATAACTAAAAAGAGCCTATCTTTTTTCAAGTTGGGCAGAAATATAACTAAACAAACTAGCAGAATCTATTGACATATACAAAACACTACACAGGTGCAACTACAGCAGAATACATATTGTTTTTCACTTCATGAGCCCATGAAATATTCACCAAGTTGTACCATATCCTTGGCTATAAAACAAACATAAAGTATTTTAAATTAATATAAAATTTTTAAAAAGTGAAATCAGTAGTATAATGATAAAAAAATTTCTAAGCCTTAAAATTAAATAGTGAACTTTTAAATAACCCATGTGTCAGAAAAAATGTTCAAAAAGAAATGTAAAAATATATAAAAAAGAATAAAATAGAAAAGTCAACTTATAGTGATTTGTAGGGAGCAGCTAGAGCAAAATTTAGAGGACAATTTACAGCACTAAATGCTTTCATTACAAAGGAGAAAGGTCTTAAATTAGTAATAGATGTTCTTACCTCAAGACACTGAAAAAGGAAGAGCAAATTAAACTGAAAGCAAGCTGAAGGAAGAAAATAATATCAGAACTAAAAAATTAAAGTGAAAAAGACAGAATATTGAGAAAATCAGTGGAACAAGTATTTATCCGAATAAATCAATAAAATTGATAAGCCTTTAGCAAAATTAACAAAGATAAAAAGAGAGACAACCTAAATCATTAATATCAAGAATAAAATAGGTAAATATATCCTACAGGCATCAGAAAGATAATATCACATTATGAATAACTTTACAAACACACAGACATGAATTTAAAAACCTGTAAGAAGTGGATTCTTGAATGGATTCCATAAATTCTAAAATTTACCAACACAACCAAAATGAAATAATCTGAATAACTTCATAAACTTCAAGAAATTGAATTTATAATTAAAATTTTCCACCCTCCAAAAAAATCTAAAACTAAATTTTTTCACTGGAGAATTTCATCAATTTAAATAATATCAGTTTGACAATATCTACTAGAAAAAAGTGCAGTCCAGTCTATCGCTGTATCTTAAAAAAAAGAAATAGAGGAGGGAACACTTTATAACTCATTTTATGAAACTGGTATTACCTTGATACCCCAAAAAGTATAAAATAGTATTAATAATGAAGGCCAATATCTCTCATGAATTTAGCTATAAAATCCCCTTCAATATATTAGCTTACTTAATCAAGCAATGTTTAGAAAAAATTATATACCATGTGTGATGGTTAATACTGGGCATCAACTTGATTGGATTGAAGGATACAAAGTATTAATCCTGGGTGTGTCTGTGTGGGTGTTGCCAAATATATTAACATTTGAGTCAGTGGGCTGGGGAAGGCAGACCCATCCTTAATCTGGTGAGCACAATCTAATCAGATTCCAGAGAATATAAAGCAGGCAGAAAAACATAAAAAGGAGAGACAGGCCTAGCCTCCCAGCCTACATCTTTTTCCTGTGCTAGATGCTTCCTGCCCTTGAACATCAGACTCCAAGTTCTTCAGCTTTGGGACTCAGACTGGCTCTCCTTTCTCCTCAGCTTGCAGACAGCCTATTGTGGGACCTTGTGGTTCTGTCCCTCTAAGAGAACCCTGACTAATACACCATGACCAAATAGGAAATATTCCACAAATGTCAGGATGGCCTAATGTTTGAAGGTTGGTCAATCAATATAACCTACCAGATCAAAACCTAAAGAAAAAATTATCTATCAACTAATGCGAAAAAATATTAGACAGAAGTTAACATCCAGTCATGAAACAGCCTTATAAAATAAAAATAGAGGGGAATTATCTCAACTTGATAAAGAACAATTATTAAATACAAAAAAAATTACAATGACAGCATATTTATAGATAAAAGACTGATTATTTTCCTCCTAAAATACAGAACAAGCGAGAATGCCCATTCTTACTATTCCTATTCAACATGTTATTGAAGTTCTAGCCACTGTAATTAAGGTAAAAAAGTAATGTATAAGACATACAGATTTGAAATAAATAAATAAAATGATCTCTATTTGCAGATGGCATGACATAATTGTCTATGTAAAAAATCTCAAGAAATCTAATAATATTAATAACTCCTCCTGGAATTTATATGTAAGTTAAGCAAGAACACAGGATAAAAGATCAACAAAAAGTTGATCACATTTATATGTACTAAAAATACTCATGCAATCAACAAAATTAAAAGCACAATACCATCTACAAATGTTCCAAATATAGTAACATATTTCAGTACGCTATTAACAAACATGCAAAAGATCTGTATATGAAGTATTTTAAAATGTTGATGATAGAAATCGAAGAAGATCTCAATAACTAGATAAACGTACCACCATCCTAATTTGCAGAAGAGTGTAGTAGCATATTGGTGGAGACAAAGAAACTTAATGAACTCAGATAAAGACTCACAAACTTATGCTCAACTGATTTTTGACAAAGAAGCAAAAATGTTCAATTTCAGCTAAAGGTACTGGAACAATTGGAAGTTTACAAGGAAGAAAAATGAAAGAAACCTTGAACTAAATATCATACAAAAATTGAAATAGACTTAAATGTAAACATAAAACTATAAAACATTTGGAGAAAAGCATTTAATTCCCTAACTCCCCCACCAAAAAAAAAATGCACAACAGAAATAGAAGAAAGTTTTCAGTATATAGGCAAGGCAAGGAGTTCTTAAACTTGACAAGAAAGAATTACCTAGAAAAGGAAAAACTAACAAATAGGACTTCATCAAAATAAAAACTTCTGCTGTGTGGAAGCCTATGTGAAAAAGATACAAAAACAAACTACAAAATGTGAGAAAATATTTGCAACTGACATATCTGACACAGGAGTAGTTTCTATATTATATAAAGTCCTATTCAAAATCAACAGTACAAACATCCAAATAACTGACCATACCAAGTCCTGGTGAGGATGCAGAACCACTGGAATTGTGTACATTGCTGGCATAAATCCAAAATGGTATAACCATTTTTGAAATTGGTTGGGCAATTTCTCATTAAGTTTATTATTATTATTAATTACCATATGTCCCAGCAATATCACTCCTGTTATTTACCCTTGTGAAGAAAACCTGTTCATGAATAGTTTATTAAAAATCACCTAAACCTGGTAAAAGCACAAACATCTTTCATTTGCTAAATGGTTAAATAAACTGTGATGCATTCATACAATAGATTATTTCTCAGCAATAAAAAGGAGCAAACTATGTACCATTCTGTGCTAAAAACATCAGACTCAAAAGGATGTAAACTCTATTACTCTATTTATATAGGATTCTGATCAAGGTAAACCTATCAGTGGCTATTTAGGGGTAGGAGTTGGAAGAATGAGACTGCAAAGGAACACAAGACATTTTTGGTCTGTTCTACATTTGTGCAAAGGAGCACAGGACATTTGATCTCTTCTACACTTTAATTATGGTGATTGCTAAAGGACTGTGTATCTTGTTAAAACTCTCAGAATTGCACACTGAAGAGAGGATTCAGCATTTTACTTTTATTTAATAAAAATATAAATGGCATAAAAATTGTGAAACACCTAGGAATAAATGGAAAAACAGACATGTAAGACCAAACAACTATAAAACTATTGAGAGAAATTATATAAATGGTGAAATCCATTATGTTCAGGGATTGTAAGACCCAAAGTTGTTCATTGCCCATTCTCTACATTTATTTAAAGGTTTAATGGAATTTCTACCAAATTTCCAACAGGCTTTTCATTTAAAATAAATTCTAAAATTTATTTGGAAAGGTTAAGTTTGTTAATCAGCAGAAAAAAATCTTGAAAACAATGAACTAAGTTGGAAGACGTATTACTTGATTTTAAGATTTACTCGAAAGCTATACTAAACAATCATTGATTAAAGGCTGCATAAATATTTCTGTGTAACAATAGAAAGTCATATGTGATATATATGATGTGTGTGTGTGTGTGTGTGTGTGTGTGTGTCTGTGTGTGTGTGTAGGCAGTTTATTTTCAACAAATATACCAGAGCAATTAATGAGAAAAAAATTTACAAGTGTTTTCACAAAAACTGTTTTGTGTTTTCATATGAACATTGACACTTTTCCTTCTCAGACACAAGGAGTATTCTGAAATGGATCATAGGCCTACACATGAAATTCAGAATCATAAGGCTTCTAGAGACTGTAATAGAAAATTTATAATTTTGTGGTAAGTACAGATTTCATGGACAGGATAAAATAAGCACAAACCATAAAAAAGTCTAAAATTGGATTTTATCAAAATTAAAAATTTTACTTATCAAATGACAAGATTAAGGACACAAATAGGCAAGCTACTCTCTAGGAAAAATAGTTGCAGCAATATATGAAAAAGGAACTCTACCCAGAATACATAAAGAATATTTATAAATCAATATTTAACAATATAATAATTACTAGGTAACATAATTGAATAGACTCTTTAAAAAATGAGACATACAAATGGTCTGTAAGGCATGAAAAGATATTCGGCATCACTATTAGTCAGGGACATGGAAATTATAGTTACAATGATATTCCACTTCATGCTTACTAGAATGGTGAAAATTAAAAATAACTAATAAAAACATATCTAAGGAGATGGGAAAACTGGAGTCTTGATACATTGCTAGTGGGAGAATAAGATTCAAACATTTAAAAAATATATACCAATTTTCTAGCAAGTTTAATCATAACAGCCTCCAGCTGGAAAATAAAGTCCTTCAACTTGTGAATGGATAAACAAATTGTGTTACAGCCATACAATTGAATACTTGATAGCAATTTGAAAAAGTCTACCATATTAATCAAAAACATTAATATCAAAAATATTGTATTAGGTTAAAGGAGCCTGCCCAACACAATAGAATACATAGGATATAATATCATTCATATTGAATACAGTAAGTCCTCAATGTCATTGATAAGTTCTTGAAAAATGAGACTTTAAGCGAAACGATGTATAATGAAACCAATTTTTCCATAGACTAATTGGTATAAATAAGAGCTAAGATTCTACGACATATTTCATGATGATTCTGGTGTAAACTGAGTTTGAAAACCGGTGTTCAGTGGGAAAGAGTATGATCAGAAAAAAACATTTTCATGGCTGCAAGATCCAGCACCTTCCTTCTTGGCTCTTCATCTATGTTCCATCCTAGAAGATTAGGATCTGATTATTTTATGTAGGTCTGAGTTGGCCCTTAGGTATTTACACTATAATAAATTCCATCGGATGCTGCTGCAGCTGGACTAGACACCACAGAAAACCGAGGATTATATAATTAAGGACAAAAAGCGTCTTTATATGAGGAAAGGGAAGCTTTCTAGAGAAGGTGATACCAATGTGAGCCTAAAAGGGATAGGTTTTGGCCACAAATGTAAGAAGTAATTTCTATTTTTAAGAAATAATATGTGCACATGTACCCTAAAACTTAAAGTATTAAAAACAAAAAGAAATAGTATGCAGAGTTGACTTTTAAATAATGCAGAAGTTGGGGAACCGTCACCCCACCAATGCAGTCAAAAATCCACTTATAAATTTTGACATCTCAAAAACTGAACTACTAATAGCCTACTGTTGATCAGAAGCCTACTGACAACATAAACAGTCAATTAATTCATATTTTGTATGTTACATGTATTACATTCTTACGCTAGCATAAGCTAGAGAGAAGAAAATGTTATTAAGGAAATTATAAGGAAGAGAAAATATATTTACTATTCATTAAGTGGAAGTGGTCATAAAGGTCCTCATCTTTACCATCTCCATGGTGAGTAGTTGGAGGAGGAGGAGGAAGAGGAGGGTTTGGTCTCACTGTCTCAGGGGTGGCAGAGATGGAAGAAAAGCCACCTATAGGTGGATCTCTGCAATTCAAACATGTGCTTGTAGAGAGTCAACTGGAATAAGAGGACTACCAGCCAGTCAAAAGCTACATGCTTAGAGTTGAGATGATGTGAATTAATTAGGTTGGTGGGAAAATCAATAAGAATAGTAAAGAGATATGTTATTCTATCATTAAAATGCCATTGGGCAATAGTAGAAAATAAAGGCTGCATGGCCGGGCACAGTGACTCATGCCTGTAATCCCAACACTTTGGGAGGCCGAGGTGGGTGGATCACCTGAGGTTGGGAGTGCAAGACCAGCCTGACCAACCTGGAGAAACCCCATCTCTACTAAAAATGATTAATTAGCCAGGCATGGTTGTGCATGCCTGTAATCCCAGCTACTCGGGAGGCTGAGACAGGAGAATCATTTGAACCCGGGAGACCGAGGTTGCAGTGAGCCAAGATCGCGCCATTGCACTCCAGCCTGGGCAACAAGAGCAAAACTTCATCTAAAAAAAAAAAAAAAAAAAAGAAAAGAATGGCTGCAGAGAACAACGGGAGCTTATCCACTGATTGACCACAGTACATGCTGGTGGCCGATGGCCTGCCTTCCAGCTACTTGCTTCACCAATTGACTCTCAAGTCCTTTGGAACTGGATTTCTGCTTTGTGGCCACGTGAATTGATCTTAATCTGCTGCTTGCTAATCTCTAAACCTGTCACGCTGGTCTCTTCATATCTTTCGTGTGTATCTCATTCTGTTCTCCTCATCTAATTTCCTTTTGCCAGTAAAGAAATTTGTTTAGTGTAATACACACTTCACTGTCATTTTACATATCTTAGCCAGTTTTTTAACCTGACAACTGCTACTGAGATATGTATTGTTCCACTTTCCAGTGGAATTAGGGCTCAGATGGCTTAAGTGTCCTATCCAAGGTCATATGGGTTGTTAGAGACAGAGTGATCCTGCAGAAATCTTCTTCATATTCTTAGATTATTACTAATTTTGATTCACTCTGGCTTCAGGATTGCTTTCTGGGAAGTCAGTGGAAATAAGAAGAAATCATTCTTAGACTCTTTCCAAAGCATAACTCTTAATGTTTGTTGCTGCCTTTTAATTTTCCCCTGCTGCCTCCTATTACTCTTCTCAGTAACTGCATTATTTAACTCTATTAAATATTTAGGAGTGCAGTATGAGAGATGTCATACAAAATAAAGTTTTATTATCCACAGGATACAGGTACACACATAAATTATGTGCACAGACAGATGCACAATCCAGAGAAAGATTATGCCCCTGGGGGAATGACAATTGTTGTATCATCTGCCTGAGCTCATATTCTTTAACTTCTTTCCTCTCAGGCTTGGGTCGTGGCATGGCTATTTATGCCTTTCTGATCTTGAAGTGGAATGACCTCACTGCTGTGTTCTGCTAGGAGACAATGTCAGGGCTGATCAGAGAGCTGATTCACTGTGCCCCATGTAACAGAATTCATCCCTCAAAAGGAGTAAAGGTCAGGAATCTCTTAGATAGTTCCAGTTCTGTGGTTACAGACTGCATCCATTTCCAGAATGCTTAGCCTCTAACTCATAGGCAAGGTGACATGATGGCTAAATGGCAAACTTAGAACTAGAATCCTGTATTTGCTAATGTTGAAAATTCTTTGCATTTACTTTTGGGTTCCAGAAGTTAGTTTTGCCCTCCTATATTGAATGTGGTGATTGTTGACCAGTGGTGACAAAGTGACTGTGGGCAGAAAGAATAAATCATGCTGACTTTCTGAACATAACTTCTAGAGCAGCAACATCTGCATATCCATACTGCCTCTTCCTCTGATGGTCTTTCCACCTGCATGCCTTTATGTACACAAGCATTGAGCCCTGGCAAATAGTTACTACACAATAAACATTTGCTTATCCATTCCTTTTTTTAACAAATATTTATTTGTAAAGATTTTATGCTAAATATTGTTTTAGCCACTGAGGATAAAACCCTAAGTGATAGAAACAGATTGTACTCTCTAGATCCTAGCTGGGGAGACAGCTACAATTAAATAAATACATAAATGAATGAGAGTTGCTTAGTGCAGTGGAAGTGTATAAAGGGAGTTTTGGAATACATTATTTATTGAATGTTTAATAAGTAAATATGTGTCATAAGTGAATGTATGTCTGAATTACATAAAAAAGATTACCCTTTAGCTCCTGATGGACAATAAAAATAATAATAAGTGGAGGTTGTAAAACCAATATGGGGTTAAATAAAAAAATATGGTGGTGATGGCACTGTGGTAGGGAGAATAATGACCCCCAAAGATGTCCAGGTTCTAATCCCTGGCATTTGTGAATATGTTACCTTATGTGGCAAAAGGGACTTTACAGATGTGAGTAAGGCGAAGGGCCTGGAGATGAGGAGGTTATCCTGGGCTATCTGGGTAGGCCCAATCTAATCACAAGAATCCTTAAGAGTCGAGAACCTTTCCTGATTGATCAGAGATAGATGTGCCAACAGAGCAGGTTCATGGAGATAGCATTGAATGAAATCAAAATATTTTAATTTTGATTAGAATATCAAAAATTATAAAATAAAGAAGTATACCCCAAATATACTTCTTTGACATATTTTGTGAGGACTATTCAGAAGGCCTGCAGACAGAAGTAGCCCTGCTGAGCTGTCTTTTGTGGGGGAGATTTGCATCTGTAGAGAATCTGCATTGATGCAGACGTGCTTTCTCTGAGGCCTTCCCTTGTCCAGAACTAGGGAAGATTAACTGAGAGTCTAACACCTCTAAAGGTCTGAAAGAAACATTTTCCAATCCTTCTCTCTGAGAGCTGCTACCTGTCAGGGTTCATTTACATATCAAGACCACCTTTGCTAGCCAGTCCTCCTCTTCTCCCGCTCCCATAACCGTTTTTGCCAGGATCCAAGTTCCCATTCTTTCTGTCACCGCAAGATGGCATATAAGCTTCTGAACTCCACTGGGGCATTGGGCTAATAACTGTGGCTCTCCCCGATGTGCACGTTTAATAATTTGGTATGCCATTTCCCTTATTAATCTGCCGCTGTCAGTTGATTTTTCGGTGAACCTCGAGAGGGCAAGGAGGAAGATTTTCCTTGGATTCTACAGCAGCATAACAGATTTTGAAGGTGGTGGAACAGCACCCCAAATCATGGTCTGCAAGCAGCCTCTAGAACAAAGTGTAGGTGAGGGAGCAAGATTTTCTCCATAATCTCGAGAAGCAACACAGTCCTGGCAGACACTTTCGTCTTAGCCTAGTAAAGCTGATGTTGACATTCTGACATGTAAAATTGGTGTTGATTCAAGCCACTGAATTAGCATTGATTTGTCAAAATAGCAACAGGAAACTAATGCAGTCACCATGGACTGATATGATGTCAACAGAATCAGAACATCATTATCTTCACTTACTCTCATTTGTCCTGATTTTTCTTTCATAATAGCATTATATTTTTTTTTCCCGGAGCCTTTAATTTTGCAGACTCTCAATCTTTTTGAAAACTTTTGAGGTAATCATATCACAATGATGTGTTGAAACTTCATGTTCTGTTTCTCTTTGGAAACAAAAGTTTTTGGTGAATGCAGGATTGCTGCTATGAGATCTCTCAATGAGCCCCTGGCAACACTTTTATTTGAGAGACTAAAGTGTTTGAAAAGAACTCTTTTTATCCCTGTTTGACTGTTGAAAGTAATTGTCTCTGGTAAAAATGAAAACAAAAACAAAAACTTTTTTCTCTTAGTGCTATATAAAAAATAGAAAAAAATCTACTTTTTAATTTTAATATACTAGAGAAGTTTCCAAAATGTTCTTTTTTCTGTCTGCAGCATGTAGCAGAAGATATTTAATTATTTTCTCCTGTTACTTATTTGTTGGTATTTTTTGTCTGTTTAATGTTTATCTTCTCCCATTTTTTGGAGCATATTTACTAAATACTAAAATTTGGGGGATTAATTAATTAATCCTTTAGTTAATGAATGTATAAATGAATGGAAGGATTTATATATTGGATTTTTAAAAATCATATCTTATTGCAGCAGAGTCATACACTCCTGAAGAATATTAAGTAGCAAAATAATGTGCTTTGTTTCACTGAAATTGGTTTTTTCTCTGCATTTAACATAGCAAATCTAACCCTCCTCTTGTTGAACATGAGAGGTTAGCGCTTTGTGAGATTTTCCTACTGCAAGACATTTAATAAGTGCTTTACATGTGCTGTTTATTGCTAGAACCAAACTTCTCTATGTTGCTTCTCAGATGAACACTCTTTTGCCAGAATGCACACATACAGATTGAATAATTATCTTATTTTCTGAACTTGAATTGGGCTATGGTCTGATACAAGAATATCATTTGAACCCAAGACTACAACCAAACCATCCTGAATATAATTCTGTGGCCTCTAATAGCCTATCATATACTTTGACAGACAAGGAAATGAGTCATAGCTTATACCTTTGAGGAGATTGGTGAAACTATCTATAATCTCTCTTTCTCTCCCTCCCCCCATACCCCCTTCCCTCTCTGCATCCAATTTCTCTATATATCTATCCCTCTATTGTACTTGGGTGCCCAGCCCTTTGTGTACCCTTTTCTATTTTGGTGAGAATTGCTGTGATGGCCCTTTCCCAGGGCCAGATAAGAGGTAGTTCATACTAAGATTCCCATCCTTTAACTAGAATATGTCATAACACAGAGACTAAAGGCTTTGGATTTATTGTTGGCCAAAGCAAATTCTTCATAGTGATTAAATGAAGGCAGTGATGGTCTAGCAAGACTATCTGAACATCCGATATCCTCAATGGTTTTGGGCTCTCCAGTTCTGCCTGTCTGGGAAATATCAATAAATCCAACTGGTTCCCTATAAAGACAGGCCCCTGAGGCCGATTATTTGGTTAAGCATTAGGCAAATGAAAATGCAAGGAGTCAATGCTAGTTTGCCCTGCTGGGATATGCCGGTGGAAGTGTTGGCCCAGCTTTGGGCACAAGGAGAAAGGGGTCAGCCTTCTGAAGAACCCCTTTCTCTACCTTTAGCACTTTTAGAACCTGCCTGGAATATGTGAGAATCTGAAAGTGTTAATGTTGTTCCCTGTCTCCCTGTCTTCTCCTCTACCCTCTAGTGTGAAACAAAAGACAGCCTTTGTATATATTTGTATGCTTTTTGTTTGTTATATTTTTTTCATGCTAAGGGTTTCCATAGAAATATTTATTCAGCATGAGAGAAAAGTAACTGCTCCAGTTCCACTTCTGAAGAGAATGTGTGTGTGTATGTCTTAAAAAGACCAATAGAACTATCTTGAACCATCTTGAAAAGAGAGAATATTCTTTCTATATTATTTGTTCAGTGTTCATGCATTTTGCTGTGTTGTTTCCCCACTGGATAGAGGCACATTTCTTGTGCATACTTGGTGGATACATAAAGACCCATCAAGATCCAGCCCACATGTCACTCTGTTGGTTTATCCATCACTGGTAAGACAGTGCGTTTCTCTCTGTGCAGGGGCCTCTTTGTATATAGATATTACCTCATCAATGACATTGTGTTACTATTGGCTTATCTGACTTCCTAACCATCAGAATCTCAGGAGGGAAAGGGTGCTTTCTTTCTTTGTGTATCTGGCATAGTTTTTAGCACATAGCAGGTGCTAACTGAAAGTATGTTCAATAGAAATGTATATGGCTGAATCTCACTTTTAAACCTCTAACTTTAGTCTCTCCTTTAGTATGCCAAAGATGACTCATTTGTCTATCCTATGATGGTCAGCACTGATACTTGTAAAGAGTCAAAAATCTGTCCTGTAATTTAGAAAGCTTGTGTTTTGTTCAGGTAGTCATCTTGAAGAAACAGCCTGAACTTGATAATAACATGCATTTGTAAAATTGCTCTACAATTGCAGCTCATTTACAGTTGCTGAATGTATATTTTAGATTATGATAGCAATATACTCACGTTTTAGCAAAATTAGAAATGAGTTAAAAATTAACCATAATTCTAACTCCTGAAAATTATTGCTGTTAGCAATTTAAAGTTGTTTATGTCACACACACACACACACACACACACATACACATAAATATGTCTATGCTTTTACTTTTAAAATAGCCATGCCATGTTTTTCATTGTGCTCATTGTGATGAGGTGCTCATTGGGATAGATGAGTTCATCATAGATGCTCATTGTGAACTATTTAGGAAGATTACATTTACTTACATCTCTTAGACATAATCATTATTAGTATTGTGTTCTTTTCCTCTAGATTTAGATCCATGAAAAAGTTCACACACACACAAACACACACACCCCCACATGCACACACACATTCACTGGCGTATACTTTGGTCTACGAGTTCCCTTCATAAAATAAAACTGAAATGTAATGTTGCAGTGCCTCAATGTTAAAGTTGCTTTAGGGAGAGTGTGGAAGAGGGAAGTAATTTCACATCAGTCATCTAAAAATTATTCACAGATGTTAAACTCCCAGTAGATTTTTTATAGGCCTAATGGCTGGAAGCCTAGATGAGACATGTGATTGAAGAACACAACAATAAGCTTACTTTATGAGTAAGGTTAGTGATCTTGAGAAAAGTTATCTTTCATTATCCTTCTGGGATGATCCACAGAGTTAAAGTAGGTCCATGCTAGAACTAACGAAAGGCATGATTAGAAATCAGATTTAAAAGCAGAGGACTCAGTAGGACTCCACATCCTTGAATATGCCTACGCCCTTCACAATTAAAGTGAAGGCTTTAATTTTGAAAGGCGTGGATATATTAATGAGTGTTAAACTTGCAGAGACCTAACATGAACCATAAGGATATGTGATACTCAAATCTGGTAAGACATTGAAGGCTAGATAGATTTTGCAATATCCATTCTCCTGCCTTTTCTGCCTCCCATCAACAAATCTGATAATTTATCATGGTTACCCAACCTTTAACTGCTCTTATTGGTCACAGAATTATTTTCCTGTCCTGACCACCCATCGGAGCTTTGTAATAATACCTTCTAGAGCGTACTCCATTTTCCATTCTTGGGCCCAGGATATTTTCTGACTATCAATGAATCATAATTATTTTCTGTAACAATAAGAAACATATGTAATTTTTAACACCACTAGTTCATTTTGATCCAAGAACAAAACGAAAGACTTTATTATATTATGGTGGAGACTGAGGAAAATGGAGTGTTTGATGCTATAGTGGGTAAATTCTCTGAAAGCCACCTTCGTATATTTGTGATTAAGGCTACATTATTGAATGTGAGATGCTATTACTGTAATTGAGGCATAAGTTAAAATTTCTCATTTTGTTGGCATATTTGGGATCATAAAGATTAGTTAATCCTTATTCCAGGTGAAAACTACAGATATTGGAAGACATATCACCTCAAAAATATTTCCTACAAGGGTAAACATCTCAAATTCCTGTAAACATTCTTGCTCTGACACATCATGAACATTTACAATATAATATTTAACCTGCCTTGAATACATTCCAATTTCACTCTATTTCTTTTAAAATATAACTACCAAGACAGAAGTTAGAATTTCAAGAGTGTGAGCAAACAGGTCACACGAGAGAAAGGCTCCTCTCTCATTTTCTAGAAATATGGCCATTAATAACAGCTATAATCACATTAGCTATAGGCAGACATATTACAGTTTTAGTGTGTTGAACATATTATTATTATCAAATGCCCTTAAATATTTTAATGAAATTTTAGTTTCTCCGGAACTTCTCTCTTCTAATCTTTGTTTCTAGAAACAAATGTATAAATATCGATTAAAAATTCCTTTGGTTTTTTTGGGGGAGTGAGCAAATGACATTATTCTGGTATATTTTATATATTATTGAAATGTACATTATTGACATATATTACATGCACATACACTTTTTTTTTAAATGGGAGTGTCCGTGGAGTCTACTTCTCCCATTTTCTGCTAATAAAGATGGGTTTTGGATTCAGGTGTGACACTTCGGTTTTATCCCTGATGAATATTATTTTATTAGATTTATCTCATCACACAAACCTTTCAGAATCTTTCTAGATCTATGTGTATCATCTAGTATATTTGATATCTCTCATATGTTTATTCCATTCTTCATTTACTTTATGGATGAAAAAGTTAAAGTCAGAGATTTGTCATGTATCTTCATTATAAATTCATCAGTTGTTGACACTGTTGAATAATAAATCCACCCAATTCTGGATATTGAAAATAAATAACAATACAACATTTTATAAGCACAATGAGGATCTATATCTATTATGAACATATAAAATTTTATAAAATTCAAAAATATATCATGGGGCAGCTTCTCTCAAGTTAATAATGTTAGGTACCCATCAAAGAACTAATTGAAATGTATTTGTTATTTTTTGTTTGATCTTCATTGGTCACTGTGTATCCTGATAAGAATTTTCAACTTCCAGGTGCTCATATTGTCTCTTTTATAATTTGTTTCTTACATTAATTGTCTTCCGAATTTTTATACTTTCTAAACTCTTGCCATTTGAGTTGTTGATGTTGCTTTGTTTTTGTCCTTCCTTAAATCAAATGTACAGATCTGTATCTGAAATTATTTTGTAAATCATCATCACCACCACCATCATCACCATCATCATAGCATTTGTAAATCTGCAGTCTTTCAGCATCTTTTGTGCTTTAAAAAAATAAACTTTGGCCTGGCAAGGTGGCTCATGCCTGTAATCTTCACACTTTGGGAGGCCAAGACAGGTGGATCACCTGAGGTCAGGAGTTAGATACCAGCCTGGCCAACATGGCAAAACCCTGTATCTACTAAAAATAAAAAAAAATGCCTAGGCATCGTGGTGAGTGCCTATAATCCCACCTACTCGGGAGCCTGAGGCAGCAGACTGGCTTGAACCCAGGGGGCAGAGGTTGCAGTGAGCCAAGATTGCGCCACTTCACTCCAGCCTGGGTGAAAGAGCAAAACTCTGTCTCAAAATAAATAAACAAACAAACAAACTTTTTGGAATAGTTTTAAGTTTACAAAATAGTTTAACACAAAGTACAGTACCCTTCTATACTCCCTCTTCCTCCTCTCTTTCTCGATATTAACATCTTGCAGTACTGTAATATATTTATTACTGCTGATGAACCAATATTGATACATTATTATTAATGGAAGCCCATAGTTAGTATTAGGGTTCACTCTTTATATTGTATATTCTGTGGAATTGACATAAGTATAGTAACATGTTTCAGCCATTACATTATCCTATGGAATAATCTCACTGCCCTAAGAATACACCGTGCTCCAGCTTTTTATCTGTCACTTCTCCCTTCATTACAAACCCGTGGAAAGCACTGATCTTTTTACGTCTCCATAGTTTTGCCTTTTCTGGAATGTCACACAATTGGACTGACACAATATATATCCCTTTCAGACTGGTTTCTTTTACAGATCAATAAGCGTTTAAGTTTCCTTCATGCTTTTGTGTGGCTTGATAGCTCATTCTAGAATCTCTTTCCATCTTCTCAGTTCCTGAAATACAATGAATTGTGATTCAATTGCCATAATAGCAAGTTTTCCCAATGTTCTAATAATTATACAGCCACTTTTTAACTTTCCCCTTCATCTCATCTCCTAAAATAAGTTTACCTTTCTCAATATTTCTTCTTCATTTTTCCCCAGTTTGCAGATTTTTCTCTTTAGTAGGCAAGTAGACTGCATGTGCTTTAGGTTTTCTAAGCCATTTGTTTCTATTTGATACCAGAGAAATTGGATTAATCTACTTTCTTCCTGAAAGAACTGTATGCAGGTTATCGGATGTTGAAAAATCTCTTTGAGTTTTCCTAATAAGTTTTAACTCATTTCCTCCACAAGGGAGGTAACACTTTGCTAGGAATAAACAAGGCCAAAAGTTCAATTCTGTTGGCACAACAATTCCTGTTCTCCCTAGGGCCTCAGAACTTGAGCAGCCAACCATCAGTGTCTGTTTAATCAGCATAGTAACCAAAGAAAGCATGCTTTCATGGATACCAGAAATGAGAGGAAGTGCACAGAGCTTGCTTAATTAATTAGAAAACAAGATGTCATTTATTCCATTGGCATCAGTAACTATCAAAAACAGATATAACCTTCTTATAGCATCAGACTGTAGAATGACAAGCTATGTGAAAGTTTTCTCAAGAGACAACATTTAAAGATAGCCTTAAGCAGAGTTGTTCCTTAGCTTTAAAGCAAAAACCAATAACTAATTACATAAATAAAATCATAAAACAGGCATGTAAGTAAGCACACCAATCAACAATAATGCTTCTTTCTTCAGGGTTAAATTGGGTCTAATAACAATTATTACACACAAAATCTGGGAGGTTCTTTGGTGTTATCTCATATTTTTAAATAAGGAAACAATCTTCACATCACTTTACTTGTGAACAGGCAAACTCAAAGGTTATATAGTTTCTCTGGGTCACAAGGCTAATACATAGGGGTGATTTCATAGTTTTCATTTTATTTCCTACATTCTCCTTCATAAACTTTCTACTTTGATCAGATACACTTTCTAACCAGCCTCTAGATAAACATTGTGCATTTCGGCCGGGTGCGGTGGCTCACTCCTGTAGTCCCAGTACTTTGGGAGCCCGAGGCAGGTGGATCTCCTGAGGTCAGGAGTTTGAGACCAGCCTGGCCAACATGGCGAAACCCCGTCTCTACTAAAAATAGAAAAATTAGCTAGGCCTAGTGGTGGGCGCCTGTAATCCCAGCTACTTGGGAGACTGAGGCAGGAGAATCACTTCAAACCGGGAGGCGGAGATTGCAGTGAGCCGAGATCCCGAGATCATGCCACTGCACTCCAGCCTGGGCGACAGAGGGAGACATTGTCTCAAAAAATAATAAATAAATAAATAAACAAATAAATAAATTGTGCATTTCAATTGTTAGTTTTTTCTACACTTACTAAAAAGAATTGTTCAGTCTTCCACTGAATGTTGGAGTATACCATGAGTTAGCTTAAGTTTTTTATTTCCTTCATTTACCAGACACCCAATGTAAAAGTTCATTTCAAAGGATCCCATTACTATATTAATACAAAAGGTGGATATGATTAATCTAAATTTTATCGATCACATATTTGAGATCCCAAAATTAAATAACCTGCCCAATACTACAGACTAAGTGGTTCAAAGCAAGATTTATATCTAAATTTGTCTTTTTTTAACTTAACCCTTGCATGTTCACATTAGTGAAGCCATATTGTTGAATATCTCATATGAATACCATTAAAATAATTTCCATTTATGTATAACTGAATAATTTTACTGAGAAGGACATTTTGAAATAAATTCTATATTGGGTATCCAGACAATATTTGTAGAGCACCTTGGATTTACCACATTTTGTACTAGACGGGGAGGACAGGCATCTGTTAAATAACGTCTGCACTCCCTCCAGAAGAAGCTTGCCATCAGCTGGAAATATAGGCATGGGAATAAATTACTGCAATTAAATGGGTTAAGTCTTAGATTGGAAATTTTTAATTTAACCTATCCTGATTTAGTACTAAATATAATCGCCCCATTGGCCCTTCCTGCATGCTGCACAGACAAAATCAATTTGAGACCAACATGTTGTGGTCGATAAATAGTTTAATTGACATAAGGCCAGCTACATGCGAGAACTGCAGTTATCACTCAAATCAGTCTCCTCAAAGGCTCAGTGGTTAGGAATTTTATGGACAATTTGGTGGGCAGGGGCTAGGGAATGAGTGGTGCTGATTGGTTGGGGCTGAAATAATAGGGATATGGAAAACACTTCAGGGACTGGTGCACTGACTTTGCCTCTGGGTGGGACCACAGAACCAGTTGAGTCATGAATCACAAGTCTGCGTGGGGTCAATCGGAAAAAAAAAATCTCAAAACAACAGTCTTAAGTTCTACAGTGGTGATGTTGGACGCAACTGGGAAAATCACAAATCTTGTGACCTCTGCCCACGTGATTCTTGAGCAGTAAATGATTACAGAAACTGGGCCTACATTTTAGCAGAGTTCAGGCCCCTCTTATAATCCTAATCTTGCGAACTTTCACTAGTTTTACAACAGTGGTTTCACTTAGGCAAGGACTTCTATTATCCTTGCTTAAAGATTAGACTATTATCCCTCCCAAAGTTAGCTTGGCTTACAGCCAGGAATGACGAAGGACAGCTTGGAGGTTATAAGCAAGATAAAGTCAACTATGTCAAATTTCTCTCACGGTCATAATTTTGCAAAAGTGGTTTCATAACTAAATTTACCAAATCTATAAGTAAATATTTGGGTGGGGGAATGCCCAGTCCAATGTCATCTTTTAGGGACAAATAACTTTCCAATCCCCATATGTACTCTCATCACTGGCCATGCTGAATGCCTTGGAATTCTCTGAACATGGTAGTTCCTAGTTATCTGTGGGAGATACTTTCAAGATCCCTATGGGATGCCTGAATCCCGAGGTGGTACTAAGCTCTATATATACTATGTTTTTCACTATACATACAAACCTATGATAAAGTTTAATTTAATTAATCTGACACATCATGTTGCTACCAATAATAATATATTTCTGTATAGTCTTCTACCCACAAATTTCATGCTTTTTCTATCCTAACCAGGTATTTATCAAGCACTGTGGCTATACCTTTTGCAACTTGAGGTATGGCAACAAAACTAGCACAAGTTCCTTTTACCTTCTTCAAAATTTCACATATCAAAAGTTTGTTCTTACTGTAAAATTTTAGCAAACTGTGAATTTTTTCTTTCCTTATTAATTAGAGAATTTTCACTTAAAGGAAGCACTTTACAGCTGCTCTTTGGCGTATCCGAATTGCCAGCAGCTACACTTGTGCTTTAGGACTATTATTAAGTATAATACGGGTTACTTGAACACAAACACTCCACAGTTGATCTGATAACCAAGACAGCCATTAAAAGACTAACAGGTGAATAGCTTCTACCCGGTGGATACCTTGTACAAAAGGTGGGACAGATTGGGGACAGCATGAGATTTCATCTTGTTACTCAGAAGAGAGTGCAATTTAAAACTTATGAATTGTGTATTTCTGGATATTTCCATTTAACATTCTCAGATCACATTGACTGCAGGTAACTAAAAACAGAGGGAGGTGAAAGCACAGATAAGGGGGAACTACTGTAATTTACCACATAGGTTCACACCTTTAAAAATACGTGGGAGTTGAAAAATGAGAATACATGGACACAGGGAGGGGAATATCACACACCTGGGCCTGCCGGGGGGTTTGGAGGCAAGGGGAGGGAGAGCATTAGGACAAAAATCTAATGCATGTGGGCCTTAAAACCTAGATGATGGGTTGATGGGTGCAGCAAACCATATGGCATGTATATACCTATGTAACAAATCTGCATGCTCTGCACATGTATCCCAGAACATAAACTACAATTTTTTTAAAAAAAATATGTACCCTCAAGCTTTTCTGTCCTGAAACCAGCTCCCTCCAACAACCAGATTACAGATTACCTCCTCTAGGACATATTCTTTGAGAACCACACCAATCCTAATTCAATGCTGGTTTTCTGTGCATCACTACATTCTGTAAATAACTCAATTACAGCACAAATGACATATTTGTAAAGTTTATTTTACCTAACCTGGATCCCCACTAGATCCGATAGTGCTTGAGGATGAATATCCAAGGGTTTGGCTACTCCTTAGCCTATAAACACTGCTCAATAAATTGTAGTTGCTGGGAAAATCTATCAATCAATAAAAATCTATTTGCTAGACCCTTTCAAATGTTTTTTGTTTAGTTTTATTTTTTAGTGGTGGGGGGGTCTCAATATGTTACACAGGATGGTCTTGAACTCCTGGCCTCAAGGGATGCTCCCACCTCCCACCTCCACCTTCCAAAGTATCGGGATTACAGACAGAAGCCACCTTGCACAGCCCTTTTTTTTTTTTTTTTTTTTTTTTTGGAGATGGAGTCTCGCTCTGTCACCCAGGCTGGAGTGCAGTGGTGCGATTTCCGCTCACTGCAAACTTCACACCCTGCGTTCACGCCATTCTCCTGCCTCAGCCTCCTGAGTAGCTGGGACTACAGGTGCCTGCCACCATGCCCGGCTAATTTTTTGTATTTTTAGTAGAGATGGTGTTTCACCATGTTAGCCAGAATGGTCTCGATTTCCTGACCTCGTGATCCTCCCGCCTCGGCCTCCCAAAGAGCTGGGATTACAGGTGTGAGCCACTGCGCCAGCCCTTTTTTCTTTTTAAGGCTTTTCAACATTCCATTTTCCCTTTAATGTACTCTTTTTTGTGAAATAAAATAAAACTCAAGAAAATACAGAAATTTCATATTTAGAAATGATTGTATGCATTTATTTGGTCAACATTATATTTCCATTCATTTAATATTTATACATATAAATGGATAAACATCATTCTTTGTATTTTATCTCTGGTATATGAACATACTATGTTTAATTTATATATTTTTAAAATCAGACATTTAGGTGCATATTAGTAAAGGTAATCTGTGTTCTGCAACAGTATTGTAAATATTGAAATACCATTTCTTAATATAACAGAGATTTATTTGGGGTCCACCTAAACTCTAGGACAAGGAGCGTTCCTCTGTCTTGTGAGTCCTCAATCTGGAAGATGTATCTGCTGTACTGTGGTAGGAGAAGAAAGGGATAGAGAACTCACACTGATTATTTTAATCACTTTTGCTCAGATTAGATGGTAAAAACTAGCCATATGTACCGAACATAGGTGCAAGGGTTTCTGGAAGATGCAGATGTGTATATGGAATATTTGGGCTCAGCTATAAAGCGTGTCTAGATTGTCATTTTATAGTGCCAGGAGCCTCTTACTCTTCTATGTTTGGGCCTATATGTAAGAGTTTTTCTGGGGTAGAAATAGGATTGCTGGTATGGTTTCCATATTTTCTATTTTGCTAGAGCTGACACATTGCTCTCCTATTAATTATGCTAAATTCTGTTTTTTTTAATTAGCTCTGAAGCAACTATACTGGCATTTTGATGTATATCTCTCTAGGCTCATTGTGGTACTTCTCAACTGTATTCAAATCAACAATGGAAGATGATTTTGGACTTTTTTTTTGTCTTCAGTGAGGTCCCTAAAACACCTGTAGCCCCACAGATTTTTTAATTTCTTTATGGAGAGCGATTTATTCTCTTGACCTATTCCTATGTCAATGGTGTGTTTGTTTATTTATTTGTTTGTAAAGAAAAGAGATTTCTTTGGCTCATGGCTCTGCAGGCTGCACAAAAAGCATGGCACCAGCATCTCCTCCTGGTGAGGGCCTGAAGCTGCTTCCACTTACTGTGGAAGGGGAAGGGGAATGGCATGTGCAGACATCACAGGGTAAGAGAAAAAGCCAGAGAGAGAGGGAAGTTGCCAGGTCCTTTTTAATGACTAGCTCTCAAGAGAACTAATAGAGGGAGAACTCACTTATTTCCCACCCGCCCCTCCACAAAAACAGAGAACATTATCTGTTTATGAAGTATCTGCCCTCGTTGTGTTGCTTTAAATTACTATATCTTTACAGTCTGGGTATTAGTAGGGTTGGTCCCTTTCCACTTTCTTAGTATTCAGAATTGTTTTGCTATTCCTGCATATTCAAAATTTTGTTGGAAGTTTTAATAAATGGCATTATATGGATTTTATAGATTTATTTGAAGATAATTCCCATGTGTCTATTAATAAACATTGGTTATAGCAAGATACTGTATTTTCTTTAATCAAGGGTTAAAATTTTCTCTCTAAGCTATTTTTTAGGATGACATTTTTAAGTCATTTAATTTCAGTCTTTCTTATTCTACCCTGTGTATATTTAAAGCTATCAATTTACTTCAAAAGCTAATTTATCTATGTGAGACTGTCTTAATGAATAAATTTCATACTTATCCTACTCTAAATCTATTAATTTTTATTGTGAGTTCTTCAGTAATTCATAAAGTATTTAGACTGGTATTATTTTTCAAATATTATGGCAAATTTAGTTTCTCTTTGACTATTTATAATTTCATTGCATTATATCCAACAAATTTCTCTCCTTGACTCATATTCTTATTAACTGATTTTTCCATTTGTTGTTCATGTTTTGTGAAAGTAATTTGTCCTTATACTTTGAGACATTCTGTTTTTCACAAGTTTCTAGAGATTTGATTGTGATGTGCACCTTGGTGTTGACTACATTGTTCTTTCCTACTTGTGGTTTGTTGCATTTTCTCATATTTATGAGTTCTATATTTATATCATATTTGGAAAAGTTACATTCATTTCCTTACATATGTATATGTAATCCCCTATATTGCCTCCTCTTTCTGGGACTCCAATTTTACATATGCTAGCTACATTATGCCACCTATATTTAATGTCCCACAGATCAATAATGCTGTGTTTTTGTTTTTATTCCCTTCATTCTGTTTTTCTCGAGACTCCATTTAGATAGTTTGTAGAGTTGTATACTCATGGTTCATCATTCTTTCCCTCTGCCATGTTTAATATGCTATTAATCCCTTCCAGTGGTTTTCAAAAATTACTGATATGGTGTTTTATTCTCTAGAAGTCTCATACATTTCTTTTCATGTCATTTGTTTGGTATTCACTTCATTTTCATATTTTGTACATGATTAAACAGATGGATCATTTTCACAATAGCTGTTTTACTGTCCTTTTCTGCTAATTCTATCATCTTTGTCATTTGTGAGTCAGTTTCTTTTGATTGATTTTTCTTCTAGTTATTAGTGATAATTTTAATTGTTCATTACTCTAGCACTTTTGAATTGGGTGTTGGACATTTGGAATTTTATCTTTTTGAATTCTGTATGTTGATTTATTTATATTTTTACCTGCCTCTAAAGAGTGAAAGAATGGTGAATTTGTTTTCCAACAGTCAGCTAAGTACTTTTGAATTAGACTGATCCTTTAGAAGTTTGTTTTTGGGTTTGTTTTGAGTATAATTATAGTAGTCTTTATACAGCTAGTTTCATGGACTGAAAGCCTGTTGTATTCAGGGAAGTCTGTGTACTCGCTGAAACTCAAACAATTCCTGGCTTTCTGTGACCTTTGAGGATTGTTCATATTATAGCTTCATATAATGATTTTTTCCTTCATATAATTGATTTTTGTTTACTCTTATGGGATTTCACACTATGCATATTGGCATTCAGAGAAAGACTCATGGGCCCTTGCACAGATTTTCTGAGCTTTATAGTTTTGTAGATTTAGTTCTCTAGTTCTCTCTAATTCCCTGAATAACAACTTCTGGCTTTCTCAGACTCTGCAAATTCAAAGCTCTGTTTTCTCAACTCACTGAGATTCCCCAGCTTGGTTTGAATTCTCCTGACTGGGTTGCAGCACAGAAATTACCTCTAGACAGAAAGACTAGGCAGTAGTTTAGCTCATCTATTTGTTTCCCTTTCTTGTGAATTACAGCTCTGTGCTGCCTGTAGTACAACATCTGAAAATAGTGATTTACTCTGTTTTCTTCAGTTGTCTAGTGGTGGAAAGAGGATTATTTCGGAACATATTATTCCTTATGGCTAAAAAGCAGAAGTGCTCCCCATTGTTTCTCTCTCCTTTTAAATTATGGTTATGCATTTTGTCAAGTATATTTAAAAGTGTTTTACCTTTTGTTCTATGTTTAGAGTTAGAGAACTACATGATGCTCACCCTCCCATTTTTGTCAGAATTCCTAGACTACTCTAGTTTTTTTTTCTCCAAGTGTTTTAAAATACATACTTGAGCCACACAATTGGAACTCATATGTTCTGATGAAAAAGGACTTCCTTAGCTATTAATTTAAAAATACAGAAACCTAATTCAACCCATATGAAGGGGAAAAGATAAAATTAATATGTTTATGTTAGTAGTTTGAATTTTTTTGTTTTAAGTACTGCTTGATCCAGGGACACTAAAAGCATTTCTCTCTATCTCTGCCAGCTCCCCTCTCCCTCCCCCATTTTTGTTATTACTTGACTGTTCAGTCCCTTATTGCCTCTATTTGGCCTCATCTTCTGCTCCTACAATTACCAATGGGAGTCTATTAATGATCAATGAAGTCCTAGTGGATACAGCATCTCCCTTTTCCATGCGGCAGTTTCAGGGAAGTCCTCTTATTGAACTTCTTTTCTGTAGGCATTCCAGGAAGGGATATTATAATTAGCCTGTCCTAAGTCACATGACCATCATGTGCAATGGATTTGTAGGTAGTTACACAAAGGAACAAATGTTCCATCTGTCCTTGTGTTGCCAGGATTTGTCTGTTTGTATAACCAGATACAAATCATCCACTGCTTTGTATTTGTGACACACATTTCAGTCATACTTGATTTCTGAAAAATGTATACACTCATTAAAGACTCAGATTATATTTTATAAGTCAGTGAAAAATATCCCAAGAAGGTCTAAAATTAAAATAGAAACATTATGGTCACAGCTTTTGTTTCCAGGCTTATTTCTTACTAAGTCTCCAACTTAAAGAGCTGTTACAATCAGATTGCTCTATTCACTGGCTACTGAAACATGTCCCATGCTTTCCTCGGCCTCATTTCTCCTACCACCCTTCCTACCTAAATGCCTCCAAATTCCCTACATTCTCAGCCAATGAAAAATTCTACACAGTCTTCAATACTCACTCTACAAAGCCTTACCTATTCACCTGGGCTTAAAATAATCTGTTTTTCTTCCTCTGAAATTCCTTAAGTGTCAAAGGCATTCCTTTGGCACTTAGTGATGCTAGTTATCCTTTTTCTAAATGTAGTTCACTTATCTTACCTACTAGGTTATGAACTTTTTTAGGTTAGACATTTTTTGTCTATATTTAACATGTGGATCGTAAAATTAAGAGGACAAATTTCAGAGTCAGAAAACTGGGTTTGAGTTCAAATGTAACCCCTCATTCTATGTAAGATATTTTTGAGTGTGTCCCTTAATAGTTCACACAGAGTATCTATGTTTGTCATTGTATTAGTTTGTTTTCACACTACTAAAAAGATATTACCTGAGATTGGGTAAGTTATAAAGGGGGTTTAATTAACTCACAGTTCCATATGGCTGGAGAGGCCTCAGGAAAATTACAATCATGGTGGAAGGTGAAGTGGAAGCAAGGCACATCTAACATGGCAGGAGGAAAGAGAGAGTGAGAGAAGTGCCACACTTTAAAACCATCAGCTCTAGTGAGAACACACTCACTATCACAAGAACAGCATGGGGGAAACCTCCCCCATGATCCAGTCACCTCCCACCAAGATCCTCCGTCAACACTTGATACATGGGTATTACAAATCCAGATGAGATTTGGGTGGGAACACAGAGCCCTACCATATCATTCTGCCCTTGACCCCTCCCATATCTCATGTTTTTTTCACATTTCAAAACCAACCACACCTTCCCAACAGTCCCACAATGTCTTAACTCATTCCAGCATTGACTCAAAAGTCCAAGTCCAAAGTCTCATCTGAGAGAAGGCAAGTCCCTTCTGCTTGCAAACCTGTAAAATTAAAAGCAGGTTAGGTACCAAGCCCCACTACCTTGGTACCAATTTTCTGTATTAGTCTGTTTTCACATTGCTATAAAGGTACTACCTGAGACTGGGTAATTTTTAAAGGAAAGAGGTTTAATAATTGACTCACAGTTCCACATGGCTGGGAGGCATCAGGAAACTTACAATCATGGCAGAAGGCAAAGGAAAAGCCAGGCACATCTTACATGGCAGCAGGAGAGACAGAGCAAGAGAGTGAAGAAGGGCCACACTTGAATACCATCAGCTCTAGTGAGAATTCACTGACTATCATGAGAACAGCATGGGGTAAACTGCCCCCATGATCCAATCACCTCCCACCAGGTCCCTCCGTCAACAGGTGAGGATTACAATGCAAGATGAGATTTGGGTGGGGACACAGAGCCAAACCATATCAGTCATATAGAGATGATATCTGTCTTCATTCTTTAAAACACCTTTGCTTATAATACAGGGTAATTTTCTTAAAATAAACCTTTTTTTTTTTTGCCTTCTTGCAACTAGTACTAGGCCTCATACCCAGCCAGAGCTGAGCACATAGTTATTGATTGATTGCATATTATAAATTAAGCAAGACTCCTACTTGACATCTCAGAGATTTTTTACTTCAATATATTCAGTTTAACACATTTAGATGGGAAATTAAAATGCAGAAAGAATCAGATTACATTTTGCTTGATTTTTGCTATTCTCAGCTAATTTTTTCAATGGACTTAAAATCTGAGGTTACAGCTTTTTAGCGTGACTATAATGATGATGCTTTATTTTTATTTTATCAAAGAATATATGACTATAATGGTTTTATAATGTTTATTGGTAAATAGTTGTTGGGCCTATCAACACAAACATTTTCTAAATAGCATAGTTTTAGGTCATGACTGTTGCTCATTTTTTTTCTTTACTCAAAACTGGGCTAAAGCTTGGGAAAAAAAGAGGAAAATTTACAATTATATTTTACCCATATCATCATGGCAGAAGAGAATTATGTTAATAATACCCACCATTTATTAGGATTCTTTACTTATACAAATCATCTCAAAGACAGAAAGAAGTTTCATAATTCCATTATTAAAGTGATGAATTTAAGGCTCATAGAATTTAGGTAAGTCAAGTAAAAGTGCTTGCTGCTGGATCAGAACCCAAATGGTTTTGATTCTGATTCAGTATTCACACTGCCACTCTACTACCATTTCATTACCCTCCATGAAAAGGCTTCACTAAAAGGTTCTATAAACAACCCTACTACAAAACGATTTTGAAGAGAGGATCTCTAAAATAGCCTCTTTTTTTAAGGAAGAAATTTTTATCCCAAGAGGATATTTGCTTGTATCATTCATCCTGAAGATCTGCTGTTTTTTCAAATAATCTGATGTTTCTACCTTGCATTTGCAACATCAAAATCCTTTCCTCAGTGTCTGTAGTGTTATCACAAATAGAAGATTACAACATGAGGACTGAATGAAGCAGGAGGAGAAAATAAACTCTAAAGAAACAAAGATCTCATTTTCATAGTAATTTTCCATGCCGTGTGTAACAAAGCACTTGGAGGCAAAGCACATGATCCAGCCTTGTGATATAGCCCTTAGGAAATATCCTTGTATAAATTAACTGTATGTGACGTCAGTCACTATTTTTAACATCAGTTAGACTATCAGTCAAGCATCTTTCACTAAAAAACCAAACCAAAAGCAGATATTAGTCTGAAGACTGGAACAAATAGTGAAAGAAAAAAACATTATATTTTTAATTTATTTATGTGACCAAATTTGTGGTGAACTCTGATAGTTATTTTTTGTTATTATTCTTAAGGTAATTTTTAAAGTTCTACTTATTCTTTATAGTGTCCATATTATATATAATTTAACTACCAACCTGTCCTTCTTTCCCATATGTTTATAAACTTTTAATATAGAAATGTTCTTTTATGTAAACTGAAATTCCAATACCAAATATTGGCCTATAATAGGTCACTCACTTTGACTGTTGAAATAAATATAATTTTATACATTTAGTCTTTTATTTATTTTTATTAAACACATCTCTATTTAAATATTCCAAAATATTAATTTGTTTAAGGTTATTTTGCTAGGCAATAATTGTAAATAATTATAGTTTCTTTTATAACGAACCTTACTACATATCTACAAATAGCACAAATGTAATATTAAGTGGATGCGGTAAAAATCTAGAATGGTCTAAGTATTTTTTTCATGTTTTTACCGAGATACATTATTATATTTCTTTTACAGTTATATTGTATAAAAATGGATATTTCCAACTGAACTTGTGATGTATTAATCTCATAATCAGAATTTTGTGGAATGGGTATATATTTACATAATATAATTTTCTTGTTGAATTTCTGCTTATAAATGTGCTAAAGTCCCATCAAATAAACATAAAGCAAAGTAAAACAACAATAACAACAAATGTGTAGCTTTCTCTGGCACCATGGCAAATGGTTAACTTGGACAAGTTAACCAACTCTAATTTATTCAATTAAAGCAATAAAATCACTATTGATAGATTTTTTTTTAAAGGGAGACTCAAACAGAAGTCAACTAGTATGAAACTCAAGAGGCAGATGGGAAAACATCATAGATCTAGCCTGCTTGTAACCCCTTAAGCTAATTTCTCTCAGCCTGAGACCTCATAAATGCAGGGTGTAAACAAACACAGGCATTAGAATCCATCAAGAAAACAGACCTGCTCATTGCTCTTATTCCTCATCTTTCTAAATGATGTTTGCCCATTTCCTCTTCTTATTAGTCTTCTCAAAGTTGCTTATCACAGTGATTTAGGGTTTTCATAAGAATGTTATTTATTTCACATATTTTCCTTGGCTCCTTTTTGGAGTGGAAACTTTACTATTCTTAGGGTGATCATACAACCCAGTTTGCTTTGGACAATCCTGTTTTATACCTGTTTTCCTGTTCTCATGATTATTAGCACTTTGTGTTCTTTTACACATCTCCCATTCTGTGGTTACAAATTATATGATTTCTCCATCCAAAATCACTAACCTTAAGACCATTGATTTTACACTATCCTAATCTGGTGATATTAGTCCATTCTCACACTGTTATAAGGACATACCCAGGACTGGGTAATTTATAAAGGAAAGAAGTTTAATTAACTCACAGTTCTGCAGGGCTAGGGAGGCCTCAAAAAACTTACAATCATGGCAGAGGGGGAAGTAAACACATCCTTCTTCACAAGGGAGCTGGAGAGAGAAGAATGAGAGCTAAGCAAAGGGGGAAGCCTCTTATAATACCGTCAGATCTCCTGAGAACTGACTCACTGTATGAGAATAGTGTTGGGGAAACTACCCCCATAATTAAATTACCTCCCACCAGGTCCCTCCCAGGACATGTGGGGATTATGGGAACTACAATTCAAGATGATATTTGGGTGGGGACACAGCCAAACCATATCATCAACATACAAGACACATATGCCTAAACAGCACCTTCTTTCTATCTCTCTGTCTCTCTCTCTCTTTCTCTCTTTCTTTATTTCTCTCTCTCTCACACATACGCACACACATAAGAATGCAGCTGAGTTGAAAAGAATGATTAGAGAAGAAAGATAGGTATCTGGAGAGGTTCAGGGTATAAGGTAGGCGTTAATCTGAACATTGATAATTGAAAGAAATAAAACATTATTTCCCATTGTTCAATTCCCACCTATGAGTAAGAATATGCGGTGTTTGGTTTTTTGTTCTTGTGATAGTTTACTGAGAATGATGATTTCCAATTTCATCCATGTCCTTACAAAGGACATGAACTCATCATTTTTTATGGCTGCATAGTATTCCATGGTGTATATGTGCCACATTTTCTTAATCCAGTCTATCATTGTTGGACATTTGGGTTGGTTCCAAGTCTTTGCTATTGTGAATAGTGCCGCAATAAACATACGTGTGCATGTGTCTTTATAGCAGCATGATTTAGAGTCCTTTGGGTATATACCCAGTAATGGGATGGCTGGGTCAAATGGTATTTCTAGTTCTAGATCTATGAAGAATCGCCACACTGACTTCCACAATGGTTGAACTAGTTTGCAGTCCCACCAACAGTGTAAAAGTGTTCCTATTTCTCCACATCCTCTCCAGCACCTGTTGTTTCCTGACTTTTTAATGATTGCCATTCTAACAGGTGTGAGATGGTATTTCATTGTGGTTTTGATTTGCATTTCTCTGAGGGCCAGTGATGATGAGCATTTTTTCATGTGTTTTTTGGCTGCATAAATGTTTTCTTTTGAGAAGTGTCTGTTCATATCCTTTGCCCACTTTTTGATGGGGTTGTTTGTTTTTTTCTTGTAAATTTGTTTGAGTTCATTGTAGATTCTTGATATTAGTTCTTTGTCAGATGAGTAGGTTGTGAAAATTTTCTCCCATTTTGTAGGTTGCCTGTTCACTCTGATAGTAGTTTCTTTTGCTGTGCAGAAGCTCTTTAGTTTAATTAGATCCCATTTGTTAACTTTGGCTTTGTTGCCATTGCTTTTGGTGTTTTAGACATGAAGTCCTTGCCCATGCCTATGTCCTGAATGGTAATGCCTAGGTTTTCTTCTAGGGTTTTTATGGTTTTAGGTCTAACGTTTAAGTCTTTAATCCATCTTGAATTCATTTTTGTATATAAGGTGTAAGGAAGGGATCCAGTTTCCGCTTTCTACATAGGGCTAGCCAGTTTTCCCAGCACCATTTATTAAATAGGGAATCCTTTCCCCATTGCTTATTTTTCTCAGGTTTGTCAAAGATCAGATAGTTGTAGATATGTGGCATTATTTCTGAGGGCTCTGTTCTGTTCCATTGATCTATATCTCTGTTTTGGTACCAATACCATGCTGTTTTGGTTACTGTAGCCTTGTAGTATACTTTGAAGTCAGGTAGCGTGATGCCTCCAGCTTTGTTCTTTTGGCTTAAGATTGACTTGGTGATGCGGGCTCTTTTTTGGTTCCATATGAACTTTAAAGTAGTTTTTTCCAATTCTGTGAAGAAAGTCATTGGTAGCTTGATGGGGATGGCATTGAATCTATAAATTACCTTGGGCAGTATGGCCATTTTCACGATGTTGATTCTTCTTACCCATGAACATGGAATGTTCTTCCATCATGGACACAGGAAGGGGAACAACACACTCTGGGGACTGTTGTGGGGTGGGGGGAGGGGGCAGGGATAGCATTAGAAGATATACCTAATGCTAAATGACGAGTTAATGGGTGCAGTACACCAGCATGGCACATGTATACATATGTAACTAATCTGCACATTGTGTACATGTACCCTAAAACTTTAATTATAATAATAATAAAATAAAATAAAAAATAAAACATTATTTCCAAAAGGGAAAAAAAGACTGTTTTGTTTTTTAAAAAAATTCCCATGAGTTCTGTAACAAATTAGCACCAAGTTTGTCTTAAAATAACAAAATACATTTTCTTACAGATCTGTATGTCACAAGTCCAAATTTAGTGTTGCAGGACTAAAATCAAGATGTCAGCAGGACTGGTTCTTTCTGGATCCTCTAAAGTAAAATACATCTCTTGCCTCTTTCAGCTTCTAGAGGATACCAGCATTCCTTGACCGATGACCAAATCACTATAACCTTTTCTCCATTGTTACACGATATTCTTTGCTACTTTGACACTCTTACCTCCCTCTTATAAGAGTGTTTGTGATTATATTGGGTCAATCCAGATAATCCAGGCTAATTCCTGCTTCTCAAAACTATTAATCACATCTGCAACCGTCCTTTGCCATGTAAGGTAACACATTCAGGGGTGTAAACATTTTCATGCGCAATTATTCAGTCTACCATAGAATACATTCTAGCTTTAAAGATTTACGTTCTTCACACATGTAAAATATGCTTAGTATAATTGCTCTCTCTTTATCGACCTGTGGAAGTAGAAAACAAGTTATCTATTCCCAAAATACAATGGTAAAAGAGGCATAAGAGAACAGTCATAGAAATTCCCCGTCAAAAGGGGAGAAATAAAACATGAAAGAAGTCACTACAAGAAATATTGAAATCTAACAGGGCAAAACTCCAGTAGATTTCAAAGCCTGGGTATAATCTGCTGTGACTCATTTCTCTGCCCTCTGGGCTCACAGAGCTGGCCTTGGAGACATATTCCTTTTTATTAAAGGTAGCAAATGTTTGCAGCTGAGTTGTTTTATCAGCCTATTTTCTGCCTATAGAACTGTGAGATTCCTATAGGCTTCTTTCATTCTGTTTCTTCTCTGACTCTTTCAGTCTCAGCTGGCAGTGTTTCTGCTGGTATAAATTTCTCAAAAATATTATGGTTTTCTCATGCATTTCACAGAAATATACTCCATTAGACAAAGAGATTCTCCACAGATCTTTCCTAAATTATTTTATCTCTAGTTTTTTACTTCTGCTTAATTGGCTGAGGGATCCATGAATCATACACCTAATGTCTTCAAAGAGCCCTCTGTGTGACAGAACACTCTGACTTTTTTATATTTTCAAAGTTATAACCTAAGGTTTTCCAGCCATCCCTTTTATTTCCTCCTCTTGTGATCATAATTTACTGTCAGTGATTTTCTTAATTTTAGCATTTTCTGCAATCTGGACATGCTGAGAAATTCCTAAATCATCTAGTCCATATTCCTTTGTGTTTAATATTTTTTCCCTCAATTTTTATATTTCCTCTGTCACATTACTATAAAAAAATAAGAAATAACAAGGATGCTTCATCAACAATTTGCTTGGAAATCTCAGCTAAATATCCAAGTGCCTCACTTACAAGTTCTGTTTTCTATGCTTTCTATAAGACAAAATGCAGCTAAGTAAGAAAACGTACTAGAGATTATGTTAATAGAGATAGGATAAATCAGAAAGGAAAGATGAAGAAAAGTATAGAGCTACAGCTTCATTTGTGTTTTCAAACATGCTCTAATTACCTAAGTGGAACTAAAATCTGTGCATATGAAGATAAATAATAAGCCCTCTCTGCTTTCCTAGAGTTCTTGGCCTAGTGAAAAGAACAGATGAGTACAAGTGACATGAAATATGCATTTATTCTTACACTTTAGGTTGCATATCTACTACCAGAGTAATTTAAGCACAATGTTCACATATTTACTATAGGTTATCATCCAGCTCTAGGAATAATGAAATGGAATCCACAGTACATAACAGTCTTTCTAAGAATTCCTCTTTACACATCACTTCTGCACTAAGTACCCATGCTCAAGGAAAATCACCATACGCTCACTTTTTCTCTTTTGCTCTTCTATTCACCACTCTTTCTTGCAATAGTTTCTAATCTCCAGACTCACTCCATCCCTTTCTCATGCGTTACTTTCATAGCAGGTTGGCATGCTATTGGCTTCTGCTATTCTTCGCTTAATTTGTAAACCTAATAGATATGCCAGGAAAGAAAAGAAATGATTAAAAATAAAAATAATGTAATTATCTCCCCATTACTCAATCAAAAAGGTTAATCAGGCTATAATATATAACACATAGGACACAGAAAGCATAGTAAATTTCAAGGAATATTTTGGGAGCATCTAGCTCAAGCTGAATGCTTCAGTAACTAAGTTTATGTGGGAAAAGTGATGATAATTAAGATTTTTCATAATTAAGATATTTTATCAAACAAATATTAAATTGGGAGGAAGGTTGAGGAGGTTTTGCATTGCAGGAATAGCATGTCTAAATACTATGTCTTTGGTAAACGTCATCTTTTTTATCATAATTACTTTTTAATTTTATTTTTACATTATTTTAGATTCAGGGGGTACATGTGTGGGTTTGCTACCTGCGTATATTGTGTGACAGTGCTGAGGTTTCAACTTCTATTTGAACCTCTTGCCCAAATAGTGAACGCAGTAGCTTATAGGCAGTTTTTCAGCATTTGCCCCCTTCTTCTCTTCCACCTTTTGAAGTCCCCAGTGTCTATGATTTCCATCTTTATGTCTGTGTGGACTCAATATTCATCTTCCCCTTATAAGAGTAAACACATGATATTTGATTTTCTGTTTCTACGTTAATGCACCTAAGGATAATGGCCTCCAGCTACATCTATATTGCTGCAAAGAACATAATTTTTTATGGCTGCATAGTATTTCATGGTTTATATATACCACATTTTCTTTATCCAATCCACCACTGATGAACATCCAGGCTGATTTTATCTCTTTTCTATTGTGAATAGTGATGCAATAAAGATATGAGTGCAGGTGTCCTTTTGGTAGTGCTTTTTTTTTTTTTTTTTGTCAGTGGGTGATATATACCCAGTAATGGAATTGCGGGGTCAAACTGCTTTCCACAGGGGCTGAAATAATTTACATTCTCACTAACGGTGTAAAATCATTCTTTTTTCTTTGCAACCTCCCCAGTATCTTTTTTTAAAGCTTTTTGATAACAGTCATTCTGACTTGTGTAAGATGGTATCTTATTATGGTTTTGATTTGCACTTCTCTAATTATTAGTGATGTTGAGCATTTTTTCATATTTGTGTTAGCTGCTTGTATGCCTTCTTTTGAGAAGTATCTGTCCATATGTTTTGCCTAGTTTTTAAAATGAAGTTGTTTTTTTCTTGTTGATTTATCCAAGTTCTTTATAGAATCTGATTGTTAGTCTTTTGTCAGATGCATAGTTTGCAAATATTTTCTCCAATTCTATAGGTTGTCTGTGTACTCTGCCGATAGTTTCTTTTGCTGCGCCCAAGCTCTTTAGTTTAATCAGCTCCCGCTTGACCATTTTTGTTTTTGTTTCATTTGCTTGTAAGGCCTTAGTCATAAATCATTTCCCTAGGCCAATGTCCAGAAAAGTATTTCCCAAGTTTTCTTCTAGAATTTTTATAACATTAGGTCTTGCATTTAAGTGTCTAATCCATCATAAGTTAAGTTGTGCATATGGTGAGAGGTATGGATTTACTTTCATTCTTCTGCATATGATTAGTCAGTTTTTCCAGCACCGTTTTTCGAATAGCATGTCTTTTCCTCATTGTTTTTGTCAACTTTCTGGAAGATTGTTTAGTTATAAGTGTCTAGCTTTAATTCTGGCTCTCTATTTTGTCTTATTGGTTTATATCTAATTTTTGTGCCAGTACCAGGCTGTTTTGGTTACTGTAGCCTGGTATAATAGTATAGTTTGAAGTCAGATAATGTTATTACTCCGACTTTGTTATTTTTGCTTAGGATGCTTTGGCTATCTGGACTCATTTTTGGCCCTCTATAAATTTTAGAATTTTTTTTTAGTTCCATGAAAAATGACATTGGTAATTTGAATTTTGCTGAATCTCTAGATTGCTTTGGGTAATATTAACAGATTAATTATATTGATTTTTCCAATCCATGAGCATAGAATTTTTTCCATTTGTTTGTATAATCTGTGATTTCCTTCAGCAGTGTTTTGTAGTTCTCTTTACAGAGATCTTTCACTTCCATTGTTAGATGTGTTTTTAGGTATTTTATTTTGTGCATGTGGCTATTTCAAATGGAATTTGTTCTTGATTTAGTTCTCAGATTGAATGTTGTTAATATACAGAAATGAAACTGATTTTTGTGCATTGATTTTGTACCCTGAAACTTTACTGAAGTGGTTTATCCATTCTAGGAGTCTTTTGGAGAAATTTTTAGAGTTTTCTCATTATAAAATTGTACCATCAGTGAACAGAGATACTTTGACTTTCTATTTCAATGTTATACTAAATGGGCAAAAGCTGGAAGCATTCCATTTGAAAACCAGAACAAAACAAGGATGCCCTCTCTCACCACTTTTATTGAACATACTATTGGAAGTTCTAGCCAGGGAAATCAGGCAAGAGAAAGAAATAAAGGGTACTCAAACAGGAAGATAAGAAATCAAATTGTCTCTGTTTGCAGATGACATGATTGTATATTTAGAAAACCTCATTGTCTCAACCCAAAAACTCCTTAAGCTGATAAGCAACTTCAGCAAAGTCTCAGGATACAAAATAAATGTGCAAAAATTATAAATAATCCTATACACCAATAATAGACAAACAGAGAGCCAAATCATGAGTGATCTCCCATTCCTCCCATTCACAATTGCTACAAAGAGAATAAAATACCTAGGAATACAACTTAGAAGGGACGTGAAGGATCTCTTCAAGGAGAACTACAAACTACTGCTCAAGGAAATAAGAGAGGACACAAACAAATGGAAAAACATTCCATGCTAATGGATAGGAGGAATCAGTATCATGAAAATGGCCATACTGCCCAAAGTAATTTATAGATTCAATGCTATTCCCATCAAGCTAACATTGAGTTTCTTCACAGAATTAAAAAAAAAAACTACTTTAAATTACATATGGAATCAAGAAAGAGCCCATATAGCTAAGACAATACTAAGCAAAAAGAACAAAGCTGGAGGCATCATGCTACTTGACTTCAAACTATACTACAAGACTACAGTAACTAAAACAGCAAGGTACTGGTACCAAAACAGAAATATATAGACTAATGCAACAGAACAGAGGCCTCAGAAATAACACCACACATCTACAACTGTCTGATCTTTGATAAACCTGACAAAAAGAAGCAATTGGGAAAGGATTCCCTATTCAATGAATCGTGTTGGGAAACCTGGCTAGCCATATGCAGAAAAGTGAAACTGGGCCCCTTCCTTACGCCTTATACAAAAATTAACTCAAGATGGATTAAAGACTTAAACATAAGACCTAAAACCATAAAAACCCTAGAAGAAAACTTAGGCAATACCATTCAGGACAAAGGCATAGACTTCATGACTACAGCACCAAAAGCAATGACGACAAAGCCAACATTGACAAATGCGATCTAATTAAACTAAAGAGCATCTGCACAGCAAAAAAAAAAAAAAAAAAAAAAAAAAAAAAAAAAAAAAAAACTAGCATCAGAGTGAACAGGCAGCCTACAGAATGGGAAACATTTTTGCACTCTATTCATCTAAAAAGGTCTAATATCCAGAATCTACAAGGAACTAAAACAAATTTACAAGAATAAAACAACCCCATCAAAAAGTGAGCAAAGGATATAAACAGACACTTCTCAAAAGAAGACATTTATGTGGCCAAAAAACATATGAAAAAAAAGCTCATCATCACTGGTCATTAGAGAAATGCAAATCAAAACCACAATGAGATACTATCTTACGCCAGTTAGAATGGCTGTCATTAAAAATGTCAGGAAACAACGAATGCTGGAGAGGAGGTGTTGAAATAAGAATGCTTTTTCACTGGTGGCGGGAGTGTAAATTAGTTCAACCATTGTGGAAGACAGTGTGGCGATTCCTCAAGGATCTAGAACAAGAAATACCATTTGACCAAGCAATCCCATTACTGGGTAGATACCAAAAGGATTATAAATCATTCTACTTTAAAGACACATGTACACGTTTGTTTATTGCAGCGCCATTTACAATAGCAAAGACCTGGAACCAACCCAAGTGACCATCAATGATAGACTGGATAAAGAAAATTTGGCACACATACACAATGGAATACTATGCAGCCATTACAAAAATGAGTTCATGTCTTTTTCAGGGACATGGGTGAAGCTGGAAACCATCATTCTCAGCAAACTAACACAGGAACAGAAAACCAAACACTGAATGTTCTCACTCATAAGTGGGAGTTGAACAATGAGAACACAGGGACATAGGGAGGGGAACATCACACACCAGGGCGTGTTGCGGTGTTGGGGGCAAGGGGAAGGATAACATTAGGAGAAATACCTAATGCATGCAGGGGTTAAGACCTAGATGACAGGTTGATGGGTGCAGCAAACCACTATGGCACATGTATACCTATGTAACAAACTTGCACATTCTGCACGTGTATCCCAGAACTTAAAGTATAATAAAAAATAAATACATAAAAATAAATAACTAAAGAAATAAAATGTGAATACATAAAAGAGGAAGAGGATATGTAGGTCAGAAAGATGGCAGCATGAGAAATATTTCACCAATTGTGCTTGCTTTGGTGATGGAGGAAGAAGGTCATGATCAAAGCCTATGGAAGCCTCTAAGTGCTGAGAATGGCCTTCAGCTTACAGTCAATAATAAAATGGATCATTCTTACACTCAGAAACAACTGAATTATCCTAACCATACACATGAGCAGAAAACAGATTATTTTTGCTCCCTCTGGAAAGGAATTCAACATATTGAAACATGGATTTTAGTGCTGTATGGTTCCATGGAAAGAGTTGTAAGATTATGAAGTTTTGTTGTTTTAAGCCACTGAATTTGTGGTATTTGTTATAGCTGTGATTAAAAAAAACTAATATGAACTTATTTTTTTTTTACATTTCTGAAAACAGCTGCACTTATACCTATAAAAAAAACAGTGCCCAAGCTAAGAATGTAATGGTTGAGATGGGTCAGGTCATAATTATTAAAAGAGAGTCAATTGAGCCTACTGTTGGATGAATTAAGTACAAAAAATAAAATGTCAAGAATAGATTCCAGTTTTATTGTTCTTATTTTGTTACTGAATAGAGTTAGAGACCTTTCCATTGACTGAGACAAAGGAGATTATCAGGCTTGGTGTAGGAGACCAAAAAATAAGTTTGATTACAGTAAAATCAACATGTTTATGTAACATCCAACTAGGGACATCTCATTAGATAGGTGTATAGGTCTGGCGATTATCAAAATTTTTATTTTATATATCTATATTGCTATGTCTATATGAATTGACATGTAGACATGAATATAAATATATAGATATAGAACTATAGATATAGACCTCTATATATAGAAAAGTAGATATAGATATAGATTATATATAGATTATATATAATATATATATTATTTATAATATATATAATATATAATATATATTATATAATATATCTATATATAGATATAGATTATATATAATATATATTATATAATATATCTATATATAGGTATAGATTATATATAATATATATTATATAATATATCTATATATAGATATAGATTATATATAATATATATTATATAATATATCTATATATAGATATAGATTATATATCTATATCTGAAATTTAACTATTATATACTAAGGATTCATAAGGATCAGAGTTCACAGACTAAGTCTGAATATATATATATAGGTATATAATCTATATAGATTATAGATTATATAAAATCAGTTATATAACTTTTATTTGAAGCTATGAAAGTGGATTGGAATCTAGGCAGGGAGAGGAGGCAGTTTGAAGTTATGTCCAACAATAGCAGAGACGTTGATAGGGATGGTGGCCAAAAATAAATAGTTATCAGGGAGATTGTAGAGTATCCAGTTAGGAACAAAATAAGATTACAAATTTGAACAAATTACAGTGTTGAGAGTTTCAAAAAGTGATTGTTGGTCAAAAATATCATAAATAGTTTTCAAGTTACATAAAATAAAGGCTCAAACTCTTTCAACTAGACAAAAATTAAAGTATTTGTCACTAGGAAAACACAATTAGATGACAGAGGGAATAAAACTGACTTTGGAAGCTGGAGAATAAAATAATAATTAATTAATAGAAGACACATGTGTAGATAACTCTCTCAAGTGAGAAATTGAGCAGAGCAATAGGACTGTAACTAGTGTCCAGGAAGGAATTGGCTTCTGCATTATTTTGTATAAATACCCACATCTTAATAGAGATAAAATTTTATATCTTACTCACATAACAATCCACCTTAGGTATTTATTTGTAGTCTTGTAGTGTTCCAGGAACCCATTTTCCTTCCATTTTGTGGCTCATATGCCTTATGGTCTTAGACTCATTTCCGCCTTCTCTATTAGAAATCACATTCATTTCTTAACCATTTCAGCTCTGATGTGGTGATGTGGCATCCATCATTTCCTCCGCACTCCCATTGGATGGAATCCAGTCACATGTCACTATTAACTGTGAGGGCAGCCAAAAAATATAGTCTAATTTTTTTGGTAAGAAACAAAAATAATAATTTGGGTAAAAATGTAGTCACTGTCTATCAAAACAAGTAATTGTATTTTTATTCCAGGAGATATTTGTAAAAAAAGTTTAAAAAGAAAAGAAATGAAGAAAAATTTAAAAGAAAAAATTCTGAGAACAAAAACTAGGAGAAAAAAATAAATTGAATATAGGGGAAGGTGGGAGAGCTATATAATACGTTGTCCCTTTCATTTTTTTAATTCCTTTTAATTTCTTTTTTGCTCACTTTATTCAACATTTCTTCTTCTCTTAGTGATTTTTCTCCCTTATTATCCCCTTTATTTTCTCTCCTGATCCCTATGGTTTTTATTCTTCCTGTTTTTACTATCTTGTCCTCCTTTTCTTCTTACTACCATTTATTTTTCACAAAAATGACTTACTCATAATCTCTAAGGTCTTCTGAAAAAAAAAAAGGAAGAAAACAAATTTACCTTTGTTGTCATATTTATGGAAGCCACTCTTAGAGTTAGATTTCCAAGTCAGTGGAAGGACAGGCTGCCTTTGAGAACAGACCTACAGAAAGTACCCAGTGTGCATTGCTAGCCCTCTAGGCATGATAGGCGGTGCCTAAAAAAAAACAACGCGAATATGAACTCCGAAGCATTCTGTCTATTCTTCCGTTTAAATAGGAAGACGCTACTTCTTTCATAAAAATAATCCTCAAGTACCTCTAAACTGAGACATGGAAGCTGATAGCCAAAGAATCCTTTAATTTTCTGTGTACATTTTTAAAAGACGAAAACATCACAAGTGTAATCACACTGTCGTGCATAAGAATCGTTAGCTAGTATAACCTATCTGTCCAGGAAGCAGCAGGGGCTTGTCTGGAGTGAAAGAATGTCTTTTTTCCCCCTATAAATTGTACTGTATGCAAATACAATGAATAGAAAAGAAAAATTGCATTTGATTTTCCTGCTGTAGGTTGATGTATCACTTAGTAATTCATTTGTAGCTGTACCTCCTTTCTATTCTGAGTCACTGTATAGTCATCTTAAATCTGTAAACCTAAATAAATTTAGGTTAGTTTGCACAGAGGATGATGTGTACATGTGCATGTGTGTGTTCTTGACAGCTCTAAATTATTCTTTACACATTTTATTTACTGGGTTTCTAACATATGTCTACACAACCAGGGAAAAATGTTAGTTGACCTATGTTTGAGACTATACTTGATAAACTCTAAGAACTCCCATTAACCTAAACTGGTTAGATAATAAGAGAGATACTCCAGAACATTTATTTCATTTTATAGATGATAAAATGGAGACACACAGAGAAGTTACTTGCTCAAGGCCACATATTATGTGACAAAAAATTTTATGTATCTTAGTATTTCTATCACACGTTCTACAATTTTCACTCAGTGTATCAAAGGTAAATGTACAGTCCGCAATAAATTATTGTGTGTTGTCTACGATAGGTTGGTACAAAAATTCATGCTCTGATTGTAGATGGTCATTATTTTTCTCAAATAGAGTTTCCTACATATTACCTTAGAAAATAAAGTACAATAATAGCTCTTTTCATTTAACTAAAATGACATTTTAATTTAGTAAAGCAGAATACAGATACATTTTTTACTAACTTTATCATTCCATTCTATTATGTTGCAAGTTGCTTTTATTCTTCCTTCAAAACTTTCTTTTCCATTGTTTTATTTCAAAACATATTTATTTGTTCCTGAACATAAAATAAATAGAAGTTCACTATGGAAAGTTTAAAAATAGACAAAGAGAGCACAAAATATTCATAACAAATAGCTGATGTCTTTTAGTATGTCTTATTTCTGTTAGCATATAATAGTTACATTTCAGAAAAGAAAACTAATAATTTTGTTGTCTGAAATGTAACTATTATATACTAAGGATCCATAAGGATCAGAGTTCACAGACTAAGTCTGAAATGGCACCTCCAATTACATGGATACAAATTTATATTTGTGTACAAAATATGTAATGAGGCACAGGATTTTTTTTTCATCTCTACAAATCTATCGAGTGACAATAAGAGCTGTAATATCTTCAATTAATCTCACATTTTAATAAAAATTTACACCTGAAAGTTGGTAATATATAAGTTATCAATCTATAAAATACTATATAACATTTTAATTGCTTATCCCAAAATATCAATATAATTTTCTTTGACTTAGTATTTAAAATTCTAAAAGGAATACTTTATTGAAAGAAGCAGATTATCAACCTTGTAAGAAAGAATTTCTGTATTATATTAGGAAATATTTTTTATGAAAATGTGTTTTTAACACACTAGTCCTTTTTTTTATTTTATTATTATTATACTTTAAGTTTTCGCGTACATGTGCACAACGTGCAGGCTCGTTACATATGTATACACGTGCCACGTTGGTGTGCTGCACCCATTAACTCATCATTTACATTAGGTATATCTCCTAATGCTATCCCTCCCACCTCCCCCCACCCCACAACAGGCCCCGGTGTGTGATGTTCCCCTTCCTATGTCCATGTGTTCTCATTGTTCAATTCCCACCTATCATTCTCAGCAAACTATCGCAAGGACAAAAAACTCTCTAGTTCTTTGTCATTTTTTATTGTATATTTTTAATCACATCACTACTATTGCTAGGCTCTTACATGCATATATTGTTTCAATATTAATGACAGCAACACATGCACACCTACCATTAGGTGCAAAGCACCACTTTCAGAACTCTACATTAATTTATTTAATCCTCATAACAATTAAGAAACTGATGCACAGACATATTAAATGAATTGACAATGGAAGACCTAAAACCTGAAAGCTGAGTTCCAGATCTCTGCTATAAATCTGGATATAATCTAAATGTACAGCCTCTCTCATGCTAATGCAAAAAATAGCATATTTATCTCCTTATACATGGCATATTATTATGTGTATGACATATATATGTGCACACACATACATGTGGAGATATATATATATATATATGGAGAGAGAGAGAGAGAGAAAGAGAGAGAGTTATTCCTAGTAAGTTTGACATGCATTCTCACCACTTAAACTCAGAAGTCTTCCTAAAATAGGGGAGGTAAATGTGTGAGATGCATTTGTAACCTGCTTGTCCCATGTGTTTTTCTTGTTTTTGTTTTTGATTTTGTGGGTTTTTTTTTGTTTTGTTTTTTGTTTTGCCTGATGCTTACTTCAACCTTCCACTTTTCCAGGTCAAAAATGTTTGGAATTATCTTCAGCTTCTCTCTTCCTTTACCAATCCTTATTGAATTCTCCAATAAATACTGCCTATCCATTTCCTGTCCAAACAGTGGTAGCACCTCATGAGCTACCTTTTTTGGTCCATCATCTTTCTCCTGAATTATAACCTAACTGATCTCCCTGTGTCTATATTTGCCCACCTTCAACTGTCCTCCACACAAGTTCCAGGGCAATACTATTAAGATGTAAGGATACAACAGTCTTGGTGTTTTCTTGCTCAAATTCATCTGATACCTCTTGTAGTGAAATGGCATTCGTATGCCCTAAAAGTTCCTATTTATTGTGGACTCCGGCTTTCTCCTCAACTTCAGGGCCTTCCATTCTCACCTCTGCTCTTACTCTGTTGCAGGCAAACTTCTGTGCTTATTTCAGAAGATGTCAGAAGATGCCTTTGCCATTCCTTAGACCTGGGGTGCTTTTCCCAAGTTATCCATTTGACTCTTTCCCTCACTTCCTTCAGGTATTTATTCGAACATGTTAACTACTTAGTGAGAACTTCCCAGACCACTCTGTCCAACAGTTTTACTATCTCCCCTTATATAAACTCTCAATATCATACTTATTAACAAATTTCTCAGCTTCAGGTTTTATCTTAGAACTCATGGCTACCTAGCATACTACAGATTTAATTTAGTCATATTGTTTATTATCTTTCTCCTTCATTTGGAATGTGTTCTTCAGGAAATTAAGGGTTAGCTTCTGTTTCATTCACTTCTATATCCCTACCAAGAATAGAGCTGGAGCCTACTAGGTACCCAATAAATGTCTATTGAATGAATGTAAATAGGACACCTAAAAGTCATGTGTCCTTAAATAAGGGTGTATAATAAAGTGCAATTCACATTTACAAGTAAAGAAATTAAACTTGGCTGCAGATGTCGGCTCTTTATATATTGCTGCCTTTATTAATAACAAGTATTTGAATCAAGTCCTGATTTTCATACATATTTTAATACCCTCAAGTTTATAAATGTATTGTCATATGTCTAAATTATTATTTTTTAAAAATTATAATTATGGGGTGAAATTAACCTGACATAAAATTATAAACATTTTAAAGTGAACATTTTAGTGGCATTTATGATATTCATGTTGTACAACTGCCAGCTCTATCTAGCTCCAAAGTATTTCCATCACCATGAATTCAAAGTAAAACTCCTAGCCTGTTAAGCAACTTCTGCCCATTGCTCCTCTGCTGAGTCTCTGGTGACACCAACCTGCATTCTGTCTTTTCCTGATATTTTATAAATTATTTTATATATGATTTTTCCTTATATTTTTTCCAAGTGGAATTCTATGTGATTTTTTTGCATCTGGTTCTTTTACATGATACAATGTTTTAGAGGTACATCTACATTGTAACACATATCAGTCCTTAATTTTCATTGCTGAATAATATTCCACTTTATCTATATGCACCAATTTGTTTATCCATTCATCTGTTGATGGGACATTTGGACTTTTTGTACATCTTGGCTATTGTGAAGAGTGCTGCTCTGAGCAATCGTGTACATGTACTTGTTTGAATGTCTGTTTTCGATTTGGGCAGGAATATATCTAGGAATGCAATTGAGGCATTGTAGGATAATTTTTGCTTAAGATTTTGGCAGGAATATACTAGGAATGCAATTGAGACATTGTAGGATAATTGTATGCTTAAGTTTTTGAAGGATTGCCAAACTCTTTTCCACAGCAGCCGAACCATTTCACATTTCCACCAGCAATATAGGTTGGTTCTAATTTAATAATTTAAACACATATTCTATAACACTGGTTGTTTTTCTGTTTTTTTAAAAAAATAGCTATCCTAGTAGTGTGATGTGTATCTAGTGATTTTGATTTGTATTTTCCTAGTGACTAATGATTTTAAGAGATTTTTGTTTAAGCTCTTATATTTTAGTTGTTGACCCACTTGAGTTATTTTTTGTATATGGTATGAGGTCCAAATTTATTATTCTGTGTGTAGGTATTCAGTTGTTCAAGCACCATTCTTCCTTTTGTTTACTTTTCTTTTTGCTGATCAAATTATCTTGGTAACCTTACTGAAAAGCAGATAGTCATGCATGTATGGGCTTATTTCTGGACTCTCAGATTTGTTCCATTAGTGTGTATGTCTAGCCTAGCATAACCTAGTATGTCTAGCCTAACATAGTGTGTATATTAATAGTAACATGCTGTTTTGATTACTATAGCTTAGTATTAAGTTTTAAAAATGTAAAGTGTAAATCCTCTGATGTCGTTATTCTTTCACAAGATTGTTTTAGAAGTTTGGGGCTTCTTGCAATTTTATATAAATTTGCAGATGAGCTTTTTAATTTTTCCAAAGAAGTCCATTTAGATTTTGAGTGATGGCATTAAATGTCTACATTGCTTTGCATAGTATTGACATCTTGAAAATATTAAGTCTTCCAATTAATGAAGAAATGATGAACTGCAATGAAAAATACAACTGATTTTTGCATGATGAATTTGTATCCTGCAAATATGCAAACATTATTATTTGCATTAGTAGCAGTTTTCTGCAAATGACTTTGAATTTTCTAAATGTAGTATCATGCCATCTATTAGTAGAAATAATTGTACATCTTCTTTTCCAATGTGGGTGCCTTCAATTTATTCTTCATGCCTAATTTCTCTAGTTAGAAATTCCAGTACAATGATAAATATTGGTTGTCAAAGCAAGCATCCTTGTCTTGATCCGATTCTTTGAGGGAAATATTTCAGTCTTTCACCAGTGAGTACGATGTCAGCTGTGAGTTTTTCATAAACGCACTTGATTGTGTTGGTAATGTTTCTTTCTAGCCTTAGTTTCTTTAGTAGGGTTTCATTAGGAAAGAGTGTTGGGTTTCATCAAAGGTTATTTCTGTATATATTGAGATAATTGTGTTTTATTTTTCCTTTGTTTAATCATGTAGCATATTACATTAGTTGATTTTCTTGTACTGGACCACCTTTATATACCCTGTATATATTAATATTTCACTTGTTCTAAGTATACAATTATTTTACGATGTTATTGTATTCTGTTTGCTACTATTGAGGATTTGTATCTATGTTTGTATCTGCATTATATTTTCTTGTGATGTCTTTATCTGTGTTTTATAGCAGGGTAACACTAACTTGATAGAATAAGTTAAAAAGTATTTCCTATTCTACTTTTTGGAGAATTTTGATAAGGTTTAGTGTTGATTATTCATTTAATATTTAATGGAATTCATCAGTGAAGACATTTGCCCTGGGCATTTCTTTTCTGAGAGGAATTTTTCTTGTGCTATTATTATCTTATTTCATTTTTGATTCAGTCTTTTTACTTTTTATAAGTATGTTTCATTTTTTTTACTGTATTGCCTTATCTTTTAAAAAATCGTATTCATTTACCTTTTAAATTTTACTTTAAGTTCTGGGATACATGTGCAGAATATGCAGGTTTGTTACATAGGTATACATGTGCCATGGTGGTTTGCTGCACCCATCAACCCATCATCTAGGCTTTAAGCCTTGCATGCATTAGGTATTTGTCCTAATGTTATCCTTCCCCTTGCCCCCAACACCCCAACAGGCCCTGGTGTGTGATGTTCCTCTCCCTGTGTCAACATGTTCTCATTATTCAACTCCCACTTATGAGTGAGAACATACAGTATTTTGTTTTCTGTTCCTGTGTTAGTTTGCTGAGGATGATGGCTTCCAGCTTCATCCATATCCCTGCAAAGGACATGAACTCATTCTTTTTTATGGCTGCATAATATTCCATGGTGTATATGTGCCACATTTTCTTTATCCAGTCTATCATTGATGGGCATTTGGGTTGGTTCCAAGTATTTGTTATTGTAAATAGTGCTGTGATAATCATACATGTGCATATGTCTTTAGAGTAGAATGATTTATAATCCTTTGGGTATATATCCAGTAATGGAATTGCTGGGTTAAGTGGTATTTCTAGTTCTAGATCCTTGAGGAATCACCACACTGTCTTCTACAATGGTTAAACTGATTTACACTCCCACCAACAGTGTAAAAGCGGTCCTATTTCTCCACAACTTCGCCAACATTTGTTGTTTCCTGACTTTTTAATAATAGCCATTCTAACTCGTGTGAGATGGTATCTCAAAATTGTTTTGATTTGTATTTCTCTAATAACCAGTGATGATGAGCTTTTCTTCATATGTTGGTTGGCCGCATAAATGTCTTCTTTTGAGAAGTTTCTGTTGATATCCTTTGCTCACTTTTTGATGGGGTTGCTTTTTTTTTTTTTTTTTTGAGACGGATTCTGTCTCTGTTGCCGAGGCTGGAGTGCAGTGGTGCGATCTCCACTCACTGCAACCTCCACTTCCCGGGTTCAAGCAATTTCCAAGCCTCAGCCTCCCGAGTAGCTGGGATTACAGGCATGTGCCACCACACCCAGCTAGCTTTTGTATTTTTAGTAGAGACTGGGTTTCACCATGTTGGTCAGGCTGATCTTGAACTCCTGGCCTCATGATCCGCCTGCCTTGACCTCCCAAAATGCAGGGACTTAAAGGTGTGAACCAACACGCCCGGCCAGTTGTTTGTTTTTTTCTTGTAAATTTATTTAAGTTTCTTGTAGATTCTGGATATTAGACCTTTGTCAGATGCGTAGATTGCAAAATTTTTCTCCCATTATTTAGGTTGCCTGTTCACTCTGATGCTAGTTTCTTTTGCTGTGCAGAAGCATCTTAGTTTAATTTGATCCCATTTGTCAATTTTGGCTTTTGTTGCAATTGCTTTTGGTGTTTCAGTCATAAATTCTTTGCCCATGCCTATGTCCTGAATGGTATTGCCTAGGTTTTCTTCTAAGGTTCTTATGGTTTTGGGTTTTACATTTTCTCCATCTTGAGTTGATTTTTGTATAAGGTGTATAGAAGGGGTCCAGTTTCTCTTTTCTGCATATGGTTAGCCAGTTTTCCCAGCACCATTTATTAAATAGGGAATCCTTTCCCAATTTCTTGTTTTTGTCAGGTTTGTTGAAGATCAGATGGTTGTAGATTTGTGGTGTTATTTCTGAGGCCTCTGTTCTGTTCCATTGGCCTATACATCTGTTTTGGTACCAGTACCATGCGGTTTTGTTACCATAACCTTGTAGTATAGTTTGATATCAGGTAACATGATGCCTCCAACTTTGTTCTTTTTGCTTAGAATTGTCTTGGCTATATGGGCTCATTTTTTTGTTCCATATGAAATTTAAAGTAGTTTTTTCTAATTCTGCGAAGAAAGTCAAAGGTAGCTTGATGGGAATAGCATTTAATCTATAAATGACTTTGGCAGTATGTTTCAGCTTTCTATGACTTCTTTAGTTTTTATAAGTTTTGTGTTTCTAAAAATTGTTCTATTCCTGAAAGGTTATCTAATTTGTTGGCATTTAATTTTTCATAGCATTTTCAATAATCTATCTTTCTTTATGTAAAGTCAACAGTAATGTCCTTACTTTTGTTTCTAATTTTATTTATTGTTATCATTTCTATTTTTTTCTATGAGTTCTAACTGAAGATTTGTCAATTTTGTTGATCTTTTCAAAGAATCAACTTTTGATTTTATTAATTCATCTGTATTGATTATCTAATCTCTACTTCATTTATTTCCATTCTAATCCCTATTTTTCTCTTTCTTTTGCTAGCTTTGGAATTAATTTGCTTTTCTTTTCATACTTCCTTGAGGTTTAAAGTTGCATTATTGATTTGAAATCTTTACTTTAAAAAAATGTACATTGTTGCTGCTATAAATTTTCCTCTGAGCACTGCCTTCACTGTGTCTTTCCATTTTCATTTATCTCTAAGTATAATATTTTCTATGTTATCTTTTGTTTTCTTCTTTGATCTCTTGGGTGATTGAAAGTGTGTTGTTTAAATTCCACATATTTGTACATTTTCCAGTTTTCCTTTTGTCATTTACATCTAGGTTTATTTCATTGCAGTTGGAAAAGATGTTCTGTATGATTTTTAAAAATTTGTTAAACCTGGTTCGTGGCCTAGTAATTGGTCCATCATAGAGAATGTTCCTTGTTCACTTAATTATGATGTGGATTCTTCTCTTATTAGGTGAATTGTTTTGTTGGTAGGGTCTAGTTTATAGTATTTTTATAGGTTTATTGTTTTTATATAGTAGTATTTATAGTTTTATAGTATTATTTAAGTCCTCTCTTAAAAAAATTGATCCTATTTCAAGATATATTACTCATTATTAAAAGCAGAGATAGACAGGGCGAGGGGAAATGTAAATGCAACGAAGATATTCCAATGTTTTAAAATTGCCTTTTCTTGATTCAGTGTTTGGTTGCTGTGAAATTTTGCCCATTTTTTAGAGTTCTGAAAAAGTTGATTCTGTTCACTTTGCTTATTTATTATTACTGTTATTATTTTTGCTTTTTTCTGTGGAAGGATGGGCATTGGGAGCTGCCTACAACATCATTCTGTTGATGCTACTCTCTCTAAGCTATTTTTTAAAGCCTTCTGTTTTTTTTTTTTTTAATTCTTTTGGAGCAAGTGGCTTGATATGCTCATGTAGACAGTAAAAATTATCATTATCTCTGCCTTCATTGTTTTATGAATATGGTTATATAGGTGTGTATATACATATACATATATATACACATATATGATTTTTAAAGATATTTTATGTCAAAAGCAGAAGCCACCAAATTTGAATCAATCAAATTCACCATGATGATTTTTAATGCTCACTGCATCTGTGTATTTTCATAGCAAAAGCAGTTTGCTTTATGTGAGAACAGATGTATCTGTGATTATTTGCCCTGCAATACCCAAACATTGGAGTAAAGCAGAAATTTACTATTGCTGCTTGAGACTTCTGTTAAGTACACAATTATTGAACAATGAAGAACTCATTACCTCCTATATCTTTACAGTCAAGGAAATGAACAATTAAAATTGGTGGTGTGAAAACACATACAAATAAAATCACATACACATAAACACACATCACACTATTTTTAATTTTCTGAAACTAGAAAACATCTGCTCTCTTATTCGCTACTCTCCTGTAGATGAAAAATTTTATCCAAAACATGTTATTTTTGTGATACCTCTTAACTTTTTGACATTTGTTTCAATTATTAATTTTAATGTTTTATATTAAAAAGAGAAAAAACAATAATGAAGGAACATAAGCCATAAGGAAAAAGCTAGGTTCCTTCATGACTAGGTAAATCTTTGTCAGATTAATCTCTGTTTTGTTATCACCTCCTTGGTGATAATAAGACAATTTTTCATTAACAACTCCTCCATACAGGGCATTGATTTTTCATTAGCTGTATCCATTTTTTCGTAAATGGAGGATCCGCATGTTTACCATACTCTTCTCCAAATAATTTATTTTACTTTTTTGTTTTATTTTCTCTTTACTGAGGAACAGAATTTTGTTCTGTCACCCAGACTAGAGTGCAGTGGTGCAATCATAGCTCACTGTATCCTTGAACTCCTGTGCTCCAGGGTTCCTCCTGCCTCAGCCTCCCTAGTACCGAGGACTAAAGGTGCTAACCACCATGTTCGGGTAACTTCTAACATTTTTTGTAAAGAAGGGGTCTCACTGCATTCCTCAGGCTAGCCTCAAACTCTTGGCCTCAAGCAATCCTCTCAATCCCATCCTTTCAAAGCACTGGGATTACAGGCATAAACCATCGTGCCTGGCCTTATTTTACTTTTAGTATATGAACTAAAATAAGAAGTGAGCCTTTTGATGCTCTGCAGAAATTCTACTGCTCTCTCTATAGTCATCAAAATCATATTCTTTTAGAAGAGTCTTTAGTTCCTTCTCCTCCTTTATCAAACCTTTATTTACTTCTGTTCATTTTTAGGTGAAGACCTTCCTCTTCCACTAAGACACTATAAACCATCATAAAAGAATGTCTACCTTGCCCACCCTTCACTTGCTAACTGATATTATTCAATTTGTTCTTGTTTCTGTATAGGAACCCTTCCTCAACCTAACCAAGGGTGGCCTCTTCATTTGTGCACTAGGTTCCTTTTCAGAAGGTCTTCTAATATTATCCCTCTAGTGAACCTCCCCTATTTCTTTTTTCTCTCTCCTTTTTTTCATTCAAAAAACCACAAACTTTCTACTTTGAGAAAGATTCAGAGAATGAAGGGAAGTGTCTTTATAATACTTCTAAAACTCCGAAGGTTTCATATGCTTGAGTTTTCCCTGAAATCTGGTTAGATATGATTATAATGAGTTCCTTTGTTTAAAATTACTTTACTGAGGTATGTTTAACATACTAAAAGCTATACATATTTAATATCTAAATCTTGATGAGTTTGTATATAAGTGTATACCCCTGAAACTATCATCACAATCTATGCCATAAACATATCCATCACCTCCAAAAGTTTCCTCTAATCTGCTTTACTTATTATTTTGTCTACCCTCTTAGCAAAATTTTAATTATATAATACTGTATTTTTAACTCTGATCACTATGCTCTACTTTCTTTTATGTATTATCAATCGTATATTTTTTAATTTTTATTTTGCAGAGATGGGGTCTCACTATGTTGCCCAGGCTGGTCTCAAACTCCTGGTCTCAAGTGACCCTGCCACCTCAGCCTCCCAAAATGCTGGGATTACAGGTGTGAGCAACCATATCCAGACTGTACTTTCTTTTAAATGAAAGTTGTTTTTATTTTAATTTTCTCTACTAAGTCATATTCCTTCACTTATCTGCATTATTTGACAAGCCAATTGCTCTTTTTTTTTAAACTTTATTTTAAGTTCAGGGGTACAAATGCAGGTTTGTTTTATAGGTAATCTTGTGTCATGGCGGTGTGTTGTACAGATTATTTTATCACCTAGGTATTAAGCCTAGTCTCCATTGTTTACTTTACCTGATCCTTCCCCTTCTCCCTCCCTCTAGGCCCCAGTGTGTGTTGTTCCCCATTATGCATTCATTTGTTCTCATCATTTAGCTCCTACTTACAAGTGAGAACATGTGGAATTCCGTTTCCTGGTCTTGTGTTAGTTTGCTAAGGATAATGTCCTTCAGCTTCATCCATGTCCCCGAAAAGGATATGATCTCATTTTTTATGGCTGCATAGTATTCCATGGTGAATATGTACTACATGGTGGATATGTACTACATTTTTTTAATCTAGCATATTATTGATTTAGGTCAATTCCACATCTCTGTTATTGTTAATTGTGCTGCAATAAACATACTCATGAATGTGTCTTTATAATAGAATGATCTATATTCCTTTGGGTATATACCCAGCAATGAGATTGCTGGGTTTAATGGCATGTCTTTTTCTTTCTTTTTTTTTTGAGAAAGACTCTCACTCTGTCACCCATCTTGGAGTGCAGTGGCATGATCTTTGCTCACTGCAACCTCTGCCTAGCAGGTTTAAGCAATTCTCAGGCCTCAGCCTCCTGAGTAGCCAGAAATACAGGTGCCCACCACCATGCCCAGCTAATTTTTGTATTTTTTGTAGGGACACGGTTTCACCATGTTCCCCAGGCTGGTCTCAAACTCTTGGTCTCAAGTGATCTGCCCACCTCAGCCCCCCAAAGTGCTAGGATTATAGGCATGAGCCACCATGCCTGCCTTCAAATGGTATTTCTTTCTTTAGGTTTTTGGGGAATTGCCACACTATCTTCCACAATGTCTGAAGTAATTTACACTCCCACAAACAGTGTATAAACATTCCTTTCTCTCCACACCTCATTAGCATCTGTTATTTTTTGACTTTTTATTAATAGCCATTCTATGTGAGATGGTATCTCATTGTGATCGTGATTGTTGGCCGCATGTATGTCTTCTTTCGAAAAGTGTCTGTTCATGTCCTTTGCCCACTGTTTTATGGGGTTGTTTAGTTTTTTCTTGTAAATAGATGCTGGATATTAGCAGCCCTTTGTCAGACGCATAGTGTGCAAAAATTTGTCTCCCATTCTGTAGGTTGTCTGTTACTCTGTTGATAGTTTCTTTTGCTGTGCAGAACCTCTTTAGTTTAATTAGATCCTGTTTGTCAATTTTTGCCTTTGTTGCAATTGCTTTTGACATCTTTATGCGTGTATCCTGAATGGCATTGTCTAGGCTGCCTTCCAGAGTTTTTATAGCATTGGGTTTTATATTTAAGTCTTTAATCCATCTTGAGTTAATTTTTTACTTGATGTAAGGAAAGTGTCCAGTTTTAATCTTCTGCATATGGCTAGCCAGTTATCCCAGCAACAATTGCTGAATAGGGAATCCTTTCTAATTGCTTTTTTTTTGTCAGGTTTGTTGAAGAGTAGATAGTTGTAGGAATGTAGTCTTATTTCTGGGTTCTCTATTCTGTTTCATTGGTCTATGTGTCTGTTTTTGTACCAGTACCATGCTGTTTTGGTTACTGTATCCCTGTTGCATAGTTTGAAGTCAGGTAGAGTGATGCCTCCAGCTTTTATTGTTTGTTTTGTTTTGTTTTCTGCTTAGTATTGCCTTGGCTATTCAGTCTCTTTCTTTTGGATCTGTATGAATTTTAAAATAGTTTTCTCTAGATCTGTGAAGAATCTCAAAGATAGTTTAATAGGAATAGCATTGAATCTATACATTGCTTTGGGGAGTAAGGCCATTTTAATGATACTGATTCTTCCTCTCCATGAACATGGAATGTTTTCTATTAAACAAGTGTCATCTCTCATTTCTTTAAGCAGTGGTTTGTAGTTCTCCTTGTAGAGATGTTCCATATCCCTAGTTAGCTATATTTCCTAGGTATTTTATTCTTTTTGTGGCTGCTCTGAATGGGAGTTCTTTGCTGATTTGGCTGTCAGCCTGATTTTTGTCAATGTACAGGAATGCTAGTAATTTTTTATTTTAATTTTTATTATTAGTTTTGGGGTACATGTGCAAGATGTCCAGGTTTGTTACATAGGTAAATGTGTGCCATGGTGGTTTGGTGCACCTGTCAACCCATCACCTAGGTATTAAGTCAGCATGCATTCACTATTTTTCCTAATGCTCTCCCTCGCACTATCCAACCCCCAACAGGCTCCAGTGTGTGCTGTTTCCCTTCCTGAATTCGTGTGTTCTTATTGTTCAGCTCCCACTTATAAGTGAGAACAGGAGGTGTTTGGTTTTCTATTCCTGCATTACTTTGCTAAAGCTTCCAGCTTAATCCATGTCCCTGCAAAGGACATAATCTCATTCCTTTTTATTGCTACATAGTATTCCATGGTGTATATGTATCACATTTTCTTTATCCAGTCTATCATTGATGGACATTTGGGTGGATTGTATGTTTTTTCTATTGTGAATAGTGGTGCAATAAACATATGCATGCAAGTATCTTTGTAATAGAATGATTTATATTCCTTTGGGTATATACCCAGTAATGGGATCACTGGGTCAAATGGTAGTTCTAGTTCTAGATCTTTGAGGAATCACTGTCTTCCACAATAGTTGAACTAAATTTCATTCCCACCAACAGTGTATTTCTCCACAACCTCACCAGCCTCTGTTGTTTCTTGACTTTTTAATAATCACCATTCTGACTGGTATGAGATGGTATCTCATTGTGGTTTTGATTTGAATTTCTCTAATGATCAGTGATGTTGAGCTTTTTTCCATATGTTTGTTGGCTGCATGAATGTCTACTTTTGAGAAGTCTCTGTTCATGTCCTTTGCTCATTTTTAATGTTTTTTTCTTGTAAAGTTGTTTGAGTTCCTGGTAGATTCTGGATATTAGACCTTCGTCAGAGAGATTGCAAAACTTTTCTCCCACTCTGTAGGTTATCTGTTTGCTCTGATGATAGTTTCTTTTGCTATGCAGAAGCTCTTTAGTTTAATTAAGTCCCATTTGTCAAGTTTTGCTTTTGTTGCAATTTCTTTTGGTGATTTTATAATTATGTTGTAAATGGTATTGCCTAGATTTTCTTCTAGGATTTTTATAGTTGTGGGTTTTACATTTAAATCTTTAATCTATGTTGAGTTAATTTTTGCATAAGGTGTGAGGAAGGGTTCCAGTTTCAATTTTCTGCATACTGATATCCTGTTCTCCCAGCACCATTGATGAAACAGGGAATCCTTTCCCCATTGCTTGTTTTTGTCAGGTTTGTCAAAGATCAGATGGTTGTCAATGTGCAGTCTTGTTTCTGAGTTCTCTATTCTCTTCCATTGGTGTATGTGTCTCTTTTTGCACCGGTACAATGCTGCTTTGGTTATTGTAGCCTTATAGTATAGCTTGAAGTCTGGTAGCATGATGCCTCCATCTTTGTTCTTTTTGCTAAGTATTGTTTTGGCTATATGAGCTCTTTTTTGGTTACATATGAATTTTAAAATAGTTTTTTTTCTAATTTTGTGAAAAATCTCAATGGTAGTTTAATGGGAATAATTTTTGCACGGTGACTTTTTATTCTGAGACTTTGCTAAAGTTTATGTCAACTTAAGAAGCTTTGGGGCTGAGACAATGGGGTTTTCTAGATATAAGATTACATCATCTTCAAACAGGGACAGTTTGACTTTCTGTCTTCCTGTTTGGATGCCCTTTATTTCTTTCTCTTGACTGATTGCCCTGACCAGGACTTCCAATACTATGTTGAATAGGAGTGGTGAGAGAGGGCATCCTTGTCTTGTGCTGGTTTTCAAGGGGAATGCCTCCAGCTTTCAGCCACTCATTATGATGTTTAGCTTGGCTTTTGGACTCTACCAACTCACCCATCCTCTTATCAATCTGATGACCTTTTGTCGTACTAACTGATAAGCAATGACTGATGTTCCTAAATTTTAACATTGTGGTGCACAAGATTTGTCTTTACGCCCTGCTTCTTAACTATCTATATATCATTTTGGGGATTTCATACAGTCTTCATATCTCATATACAGCTCCTTGTTTTAAATCCGTTGCAGACCTTCTCTAAAACTCTAGAACCATACACACAACTGGCTATTTATCTCTCCACTTGAAAGTTTATTAATTACCTCAAAAATAATGTTAAATTTTTATTTGATTAAAAGGTAAATAGCTAAATGTATATAAAATACAATTGTATAGTTCAATAAATTTCTAAAAGCACAATTGTTTATTAGCATCACAGTGACCCACCATTTGTTCTTTGCTAATAAGTACCACCCCACAAGTTATCAATCCAGTAAATCTTATATAAATGAAATCATACAGTATATATTCTTTTGTGTCTGTTTTGTCATAATATTATTTGTGCAATGCATTCATAATGTTGTAAATGGTCACATTGCTGTATAATATTTTATTGCACAAATATAATTTATTACTGATTATTATTTAGTCTGCTTCTAGGTTTTTGGTGTTATAAATAGTGCTGCTGTGAAATTTCTTGTACATGTTTTTAGAGAAATTTATATACCCCCTCTTTGGCAAAGATCTCAGAGTAGAATTCTTGGGTATGTGTATATGTTATTTTATTGTAGTAGATTCAGCTAGACAGTTTTTCAATGTGGCAACAATTTATACTCTCATCATAAATTTATGAGAGTAAATCTCAAATGTAATATATTCCAAGCCAAACTTCTTTTGTCTCCCACAAACCAGTTTCTTATTAAATCATCTGCCATTTAAGTAGGTGGCAAATTATCTTCCTATTTTGATCATGCCTAAAAACAATCTTAACAAAACCTTTAACTCCTCATTTTCTTTGCTACTATATTTGTAATCCATCAGTAAGTTCTTAAGACTTCTTTTTAAAAATAGTATGTATATACATAAATATTTACATGTTATATTACCATATTGATGTTTATATGAATATGTATATGTATATGTGTATAAATTATGTTTATATTATAGACAGTGTCTCTTTGTCTAGGCTGTCTTTATCTTACTTGCATATTAATTGCCTTCATATTTGTATTCCATCCCATCCCTTACAGTTGATTTGCCACTGAACAGCCAATTATCTGGAACAGTGGCTGGTATAGAGCAGGTGCTGAGTATGCGGTACAATTGTTGAATAAATAAGTGGACTTGCCCATTAATAAATAATTTTCAAAGTATAGTAATAGCCCAACATATATTTAAGAATTGAAAAGTACATAAAACATTATTTGGTCCCGATTCTCTTGTTCAAACTGAAATTCACAAGGGAGCTATTTAAAGATGTTAAGCAGTATAGATATATTCATCTGTGTAGAATAACCAAAAGATTTTGTAGAGGCCTAAAACATTTGTGTTTCTAAAAGTTAATTATTTATATAAACCAATTAAAAAGTAATAATATAAATTTTCTGATTAACTACATTAAATATGTTTAACATAATTCTATATGTTCAAATATTCCTTAATTAGGGTTGGCATTAGACATAAGAATGATTGCTCTAAACTATGACAATGTGAATTCTAAAACATTTTACTTAGTCTGGTTCAATACCAGGTTATAGGTGACCAGAGATTTCTGAAATAATATGGATGTAGCAATTACATATTCTTTAGACCTTCTTGATGTGGCACATTAGTATACATGAGCTTTTAAATATTCAGTTTAGTTGTGGTATCAATTAGCCAAATCTTTAGAGATTAAAATGTTATTTTTGTTGGGTTGTTGCTAAGAAATATCCATGCTAAAGACTCACTCAATACAAGTGAGAAATAAAGTTCTTTAAAAAAAGCAAGAAAACTTTTCCTTTAAAATTCCTCCTTCATTGATTGTCTAATGCAGAAAAATGCTTAATTAGCAATGAATTTATTTACTTCTTATCAAATACACATTAAAACATGATGATGTTAAATTCTATTCTGGGCTCCAGTTTCAATCAGAGATATATGACAGAATCCTGGTCTATGGTTTTAAGAAAAGAACACTGAGAGTAAACTTAGGATATCATGGGGCCAAGAATATTTCGAAGAAGAGAGAGACAGATGGCTCAGAAGTCCAGCTTTTATACCTTCCCTGTAGGTAGTGTGATGCCATATAATTCAGAGTGCTCATTGGATATGCGGAAATGACTCATACCTAACCTTGCCTTCATCATTTCCTAACACTTTGACTTTGAGCAAGTTACATCATCTCTGTAGACTCAAATTCTTTATCTGTAGACTAGGGATAATGATCATTATTTTTTGCTAGGATTAAATAGGTAATGTATTAAAGCTTTTGGTTACACTGGTTATGCTGAATAGATATTAGCTTTTCTGCCTTTCCCCAACCGTTGTCCTTGGAAACAAGTCCCTTGGCATGCTTCTGAGATTTTTTTGTAGGTGGTGGTGGTTGTTCCAAACTCAGGATATTCTGTGTCAAGTAACACAGCTTCACTATGTTATTTCTCCTCTCTCCTGACATTTCAAAAAAAATACTGAAAGACACTGGAGTGATGCTTAACATGAAAGTTACTTTGGACTCTGAAGATGAAAGATCTGGTTGAGATTCCAGGTACAGCTCACCAGTTGGGTGCAAGTGGACAGATCTGAATGTATTAACCAACTGCTGCTGAATTTCAAAACATCCACAATCCATTGAACCTTCAAGCACCTTTGCAAATGTATTTTCACTTAACTTTTTAACATTATAGGTAATTTAAAGAAAAAATTAGTTAAGTAGTTTGAGTTTATGTTATATTATCAAATGACAGTTTTCTAAGCACTTTAAGCCATTTTGAGTTCTTCCAATATGTTTAAAAGCTTTAAAGAAAAAAAATGTATGTTTTATATTTACAGAAAAGGGGAGGACATATGTTAATAAAAGAGAATTACCCTCAGACACTCAGTTCTTAAAATACATCTGCAATGGTTCCTTTACAGTGGATCAAATGTAAAATTTGACCCTGCTGCAAAGTTAAATGCATACCTATTTTTCCAGGATGCAAAACAGAAAATATTGTATTCTTTAAAAAAAATTATTATAAGCACAAAAAGAAAATTTGAACTAGGAAAGTGAGGAGATTCCTTTAGGTAAGGAGTTTAGAAAAGGGCAAAATCTATATAAATTTAAAAACATTGAATGTAGTGGTGGGAAGATTAACAACATTCACTGTCTACTGAGTGTTTCCATGAGCCAGTCACAAGTGCTGAAGGCCTGAGCCCTTGCCCTCAGACTCCAAAACCCCTTCGTGACTCAGATGCAGAAAAAAGTAGTCCTAGCCCTATCTTTTTCTTCTTTTTTCTTTCTTCCTTTATTACTTGCTTTTTACTTTGAGATTATTTTTTCTTCAGTTCATAAATTGGAACAAATGCATTAAGGAAAGCAAACACTGAGCATTTTAGTATAAGATGCATTCATGTTTCATGGAACCTGTTACTCTGATGGTGATTATGTTGGCTCCTCTTGAAATGGGGGCCCAGGGATGAGAGGGCCATAGTCCCCCATCATCCCCCACAGCCCCTTCCAAAGTCATTCCCAAAGCCCATCCAGTCGAAATTAAAATAACATGTTTTTAATAAAACAGTTTCAAGACAAATCTTGTAGCCCTTCTGTCAACAAGACTGTTGCCATTAAGTCATTCTAAACTAAAACCTGTAGCACCAGCACTAGGGGGGCCAGTGTGTCACATCACAGGCATCAGGTAAATTTTGACATGAGAAAGTTAAATAGATGAGGTGAGTTTAACTGCAGCCAGTCGCTGGCAGCTGAGCACATTTGAGAGAATCACAGCTGCCCAGAGGCTAGTCTTTCACTCAGCTACATCCTGGTCTTTATTTTTCCAAAGAGACATCACTGTAGAGATATATTACACATTATATATCTATAATTAGAGCTGTATTATACATTATGTATTTTAGATATGCAATTCTAACAAGTCTAGCTGGGGTTGTCTGTGTACTTAATCTTAACTCCTGCTTAGGACTGGAAAACTTGATCCATTAGATGCAGGATGCTCTCATAAATACAGCATCTTAGGCAATGAAGCTCTTCTATGCTCCAGTGAAAATTTGGGCTTAGAGCTCTTAAACTGATGGCTCTGAATCAATTTTCACTTAGGCAGAGGTTTCATTATAATGGCTGATTTTAAGTATACTCTGATGTAATTAAATGTTGAACACCTCTAAATACTTGTGTACTTAGGCAGAATATGTTGTTAGTTGTCTTTTTGCAAAGGGATATATTTCTGTATTTCTTTCTGTGTATATGAATATACATATATGTGAAACTATATATTATATATATTATTTGTTTTTTGTTTGTTTGTTTGGCAGATTTTGGCTTATTAGAAATTTGAGATTTGTTGTAGGAAGAATGATGTCTCCTCAAAAATGGCTATATCCTTATCCCTGGAAATGGTGAGTATATTATGTTATTTGGGGTTGGAGGGATGAAAGTTGCAGATAAAGTTATGATTGCTAATCTGCTGATCTTAAAATAAAGAGAATAGCCTAGATTATCTAGGTGGGCCCAATGTAATCACAAAGGTATTTTAAAGGTATATAAACTGTTCTATTTTAAAGACACATGCACACATATGTTTGCTGAAGCGCTATTCACAATAACAAAGACATGAAATCAACCTAAATGCTCATCAATGATAGACTGAATAAATAAAATGTGGTACATATACACCATGGAATACTGTGCAGCTATAAAAAGAATGGGATCATACCCTTTAGAGCTAGAGGCCATTATCCTTAGCAAACTAGCACAGGAGCAGAAAACCAAATACTGTATATTTTCACTTGTAAGTGGGAGCTAAATGATGAGAACACATGGACACATAACTTGGAACAATACACCCTGGGGCCTATCAGAGGGTGGAGGGTGGCAGGAGGGAGAGGATCGGGAAAAATAACTAATGGGTACTATGTTTCATAACTGAGTCATGAAATAATCAGCACAACAAAGCCCCATGACACACTTTTACCTATGTAACAAACCCACACATGTACACCTGAATTCAAAATAAAAGTTTTCTTTAAAAAAAGACAGAAAAGGGAGAAGGAACAATCTGTGTCCAAGCAATGCTGTGTGTGTGGGGGAAAAAAAACCCTCTTCCATCCCTTGCTGGCCCTGAGATGGGAGCGGCACAGGCAAGGAATGTGGGCAGCCTCCAGGAGCTGGAAGAAACCAGTTTCAGTTCTTTCCTAGAGCTTCCAGGAAGAAATGACATCCTGCTGACAAAGTTGATTTCAGCCCAGTATGATCCATTTTAGACATTTGGTCTCCAGTACTGTAAGATAATATACTGTGTTGCTTGAAGGCACTACATTTGTAGTAATTTGTTACGGCAGCTCTAAAAAACTAACAGAAGTTTCATTTAATTAAATATGTTCACATTCTGCTATGTATACAACTAAGTACATTTGTAAAAAAAAAATAGGAAATAATTAGCAATATTTCAGGGGAAGAAAGAAATCAGGCCAGGTGCGGTGGCTCACATGTAATCCCAGCATTTTGGGAGACCAAGACAGGCAAGATCATTTGAGGTCAGGAGTTTGAGACCAGCCTGATCAACATGGTGAAACCCTGGCTCTACTAAAAATACAAAAAATTTAGCAGGATATGGTGGTGCGCACCTGTAGTCCCAGCTACTCAGTAGACTGAGGCAGGAGAATTGCTTGAGCCTGGGAGGCGGAGGTTGTAGTGAGCTAAGATTGCACCAGCCAGCCTGGGTGACAGAGCTAGACTGTCTCAAAAAAAAAAAAAAAAAAAAGACTAAGTCATTCTTGTCAAGGGTTGGTTAGAGCCAGGAGGTTCACATGGTGCTACCTAAGCCAAGCTGGGGTAGGGGCATTCCAGGAAGAGGAGACAGCATCTGCCAAGTTCTTGAGACCACCGGTGAGCTCCCCACTCACCTTCAATACAAATGGCATTGGGGTTTTAGGTTGTCTTGGTTTTTTTAATGCTTGGCTGTATTATTAAATGCTGTTTCTCTTCAATTTTGTGAATATCATGGCCAAAATTTTGCCTTAGTTTCTGAACTTTTGATAAGCCTCTCAGGACCTGCTCTATCTCAGGAACAGACTCTGAGAGTTCTTTGTCTTTCTTATTCTAACATGGTTGTCTTTATATGGATGGACTTGGCATGAGCCACAGCACATGACAAACTTAATACCAATTACCAAGAACCTGGATTACTAACCAGGAACATTTACTTTGTGCCTTACAGAAGCTTCAATCTCCCTTGGTCCAAAGGTGACATCATTATCTGTCTCCAAATGCTGGTTTCCTTGACCTTTTGCTTTTCCTAGTTCTACTGACCTTGTTCACTTCCTGCACACTCACTCTCACTTTGTACCCAGAGCCACACTTTGATCTCCTTCTCTGTGTCCAGGCCTTTGTCTTCTTGCCTAGGATCCTGTCTCTGCATTCTCTCTGCTTTCCTCTCACTGCCACCTTCATCCATTGCAGAACTTCACCGTCGGGTGATTTATTTGGCCACTTCAAGAATCAACATGTCATATTCATTCTTACTCTTCAGGGGCACGTCCAAAGCCGGCAGATTCAGACAACTTTTTAACAGGATCGCCTTGATCCCCTAAAAAGGAATTGGGCTGCAAGTCACAAAAACTTCTGCTGAGAGTTCCTAAAATAAGTTTCATCAGATTTGCTCCCTTGATATGAAATCTTTTCTCTTGCAAATCTCTCATTAGAAGGTTAATATCCTACAGAGGTTGGGTAGCAAAACAGCCAAATTAATCTATATGATCATTATCATATACATGATATATATTACACACATACAATATATATTATATACATAAACACACAGACACACACACATTGATGAGTTAGGGTTTGTAGTGAGTTTATTTTGATGAGAAATGTGGACAGGGAAGCCTGAAATACATGTTTATTTCCAAAATGTGAAGCATCTCATGAGAGGATGGTAAAGGTAATTAATTCACTAATTGTTTAACGTTGGAAAATATATTAATCAGTGGGAGGAGAGATGCCAAATACTCAGGTAGAAGGACCTCAAACAAAACTTGGATCTTCTTAAAACTTTGCCTCAAATAAGCCCTGTGAAATATGTATCGATTACTAATTGAAGCCAGTAAGTATTAAAAGCATCTTAGTATTTCCTATCCAAAGCAGCAAACCTTTGTTTCTTCCTGTATCACTGTCTTAAACAATAATGTAAACCGATTGCACAAAAATAAATAACTATGCTTTGGATAATTTAGATTACATTTTGATTCTGTCATCCTCAGCTTTGCTTGTGATTGCTTTTTTGAGTGTGACTCCAGCAAATCCATCTTTTCAGTATTTTATTTCTTTCCATTTAAAGCATTTTAGCAAGTACTTTTGAGGCAGATCTTCCCTGTGTAGTACCTCTACTCAGGTCATTGTGTTCCATATGGAAGAAATTTGAAAAGTTAAAAAAGAAAAAAATTTAGCCCAAACCTGAAGAGTGGTAGTCAATGTAGTTAATGTGGGCCTTTGCAAATGTACCAGAAAAATTAAATATGTTGTCCTCAAATTAGCAATAACTTACTTAATATTTGTACATTCAAAGAAGATTGAAACATCTCCATACTTTATGACTAACACCCAACAAAAACGAAATTTAAACAACCTCTATTACACGAGGCAATTGTCTTGAATGCTTTCACTTTCATTTGTACATTTTCCCCTAATGTCCTATGTCCCATCTTCTTCTGAACTTTAGGTGTGTTTGATTGTTGTTGTTCTCAATAGTGTAATCAATTATTGGAACTGATAATAGTGTGGATTATCTGTCTTATATAGCTTTCTCCCTGAGGATTATGGACCTATAAATATTAATTAAAAACAGCCAAATTATGCTACAATTTATAGATTAAAAAATCAGAAAATGCCCCATTGTTTCTCCAGTTTAGGGATGATACTTGAAAACATATGGCTGAATATTTAATCTCCCTATAATAGATAACTTTCAAGTCTATAAATCATGATTCCCTTTATGTTCTATAGCCTTTCTGCCACTCCAAAATCCATTATAACCCTTCTACTGAAGGAAAAGAACAGATCAAAGAGAACAGATGAATTTGTCACTATGTTTTCAGTGCCTTTTGTTGTTAGTTGTTTGTTACTGTTCATGAAGATGTTGTCATTGGAAGACTCATAGACATACTGGAATAAGCTTAGTCACAGCTTCAATGTTTACATCTCCATCCAAAAAGCCGCATCCAAATTCTCTTAGTTCCAACTCCAAATTCTCGTATGAACTTATGAGCTCATGAATTCATAAACTCATATGAACTCTCAATGGTCCAGTGCCCATTGCCAGTCTAGGCATCTATGCCCAGAGAGTGGGGAAATCCAAAACACCAGCAAGGCTGATAAAGCTCCCTTTTGAAATCTCTTGAATGAACTCACAGTGTCCTCATAAAAGTTTGGTAGGTGCATTCAATGTTTTGTTGAAATGATTTTATCAAGGTCACATTTCTAAATTGTAGCTCTGGAACCACAGAATTTTTTTTTTTTCGATTTTGTTTTTTTGACTAGCTGTTTCCAGGAATCCATCTTAATGTAGACGTTTCTTCCCTTTACTTGTAGACTCTCACACATGTTCATTCTCCTCTATGATTACTTTCAATGCTTTTTCTTCTTTCCTCCCTATGTCTAGCCCTGGAGCTAAAACTCCTGGCAAAACAAAGACACATTTTCCCATTCCTTGACAATTTCTTCTTTCACTCTTGCATGTAGCCTCTCATACCTCTGCCAGGGACTGCTTCCCTGGAAGCTCAGCCAAAGCCATGAACATCCTGAAGCAGAGTATCAAGAAGTCACCTAAAAGCAATTCAGTCATTGATAATGTGATTCCTCAGTTGTGTCCAGATATAACTCAAATATGCTAGAACCTATATCAGTCTATGCAAATGAAAATCATTAGGTTTCAGTTAGTTCTCTCAAAACAGGGTAGTTATCTCAAAACTGAGTATCAAAATGTACAAAGCATCAGCAGTCAGATTGCTAAAAACATGCCACAGTACTTTTATACTACAGGATTTGCCATAATATGCAAAGTTGCTGGCTGGCTGGAATTTCTTTTAAATTCCAATCTGAACAGTGAACATATATATACAGAAAATAATTTACTTCCTGGGATTAAAAGCTTTGGAGGGGTGTGGAAGGGTCATCTTCCCTACTGGTTCTAATGTCAAGAAAATATCAGAAGAACTCCAAGTGGGAAATTCTTTTAAATAAAAATGTCTTGTATCTATCAAAAATGTCAATATCCTGGATATCCTGGATATTTCACATGCAGTATATAGTAGGAGCCAGAGAATCTTCAGATAACAGGAAGACAGAATTATGAAAGATGCATCATAATCTACAAATGTTGTTTTGCTTCTATCTGTTTTTAGATTGTCTTTTCACAAATGTTCACATTTAAAGAAAAGTTCCAAGACTAATAGAAAGAATTATCATATATCCTTTACCCAAATTCACCAAATGTTAAAGTTAACATATTTCTATATTTGCTATATCATGGTCCCCCCTTCCAGATAGTTAGATCGATATGTGAATATATAGGTAGATATGTCTATATTAATCTATATTATCTATCTACTACCTTCTATCATCTATTTGTCTATCTATCCATCTATCTATCTAATCATCTATCTATCTCTCTCTTTTGCTTATGAGACTAAGTTGCAAATATAATTCCATTTTACTCCTAAATACTTAGGAGTGTATTTCCTAAAATTAGGGCATTCATCCTCTTACATAAAAATAGAACACTATTAAAATCCAGAAGTAAGCACTGACAGAAGAGCATTATCTAACCTGCAGACTTTATTTGAATTTCATCAACTGTCCCAATATTGTGTGTTATAAGCCAAGGTGATCCCAATTACTGTGTTGCACTTAATTGTCATGTCTCTTTAGCATCTTTCAATCTGGACAATTACTCAGTCTGTTTTTGACTATTTTGACATTGACTTTTTTAAATTGTGTTTTATTTTGTTTTAAGTTCTGGGATACATGTTCAGGATGTGCAGGTTTGTTACACAGGTAAACGTGTGCCATGGTGGTTTGCTGCACCTATCAACCCATCACCTAGGTATTAAGCTCCGCATGCATTAGCTATTTATCCTAATGCTCTCCCTTTCTCTGACCCCCCCAACAGGACCCAGTGTGTGTTGTTCTCCTCCCTGTGTCCATGTGTTCTCATAGTTCAGCTCCCACTATAAGTGAGAAAATGCGGTGTTTGGTTTTCTGTTCCTGTGTTAGTTTGCTGAGGATAATAGCTTCCAGCTCCATCCATGTCCTTGCAAAGGACATGATCTTGTTCCTTTGTATAGCTGCATGATATTCCATGGTGTATGTGTACTATATTTTATTTATCCAGGATATTGACATTTTTGATAGATAAAAGACATTTTTATTTAAAAGAATTTCCCACTTGGAGTTCTTCTGATATGTTCTTGACATTATACTATGGGTATGAATTTTGGCAGGACTATCACAGACTTGCTCTTGGTTCTTCTCATTGCATTTCATGAGGAGGCACATTGCAGTGTTGACTTAACCAATAGTGGTGATCTCAACTTTGATCACCTTGGTAAGATGGCTTCTGTCTGGTTTAACTTCTGTAATGTTTCTATTTCTCCCTTTGCAATTAGTAAGTAATTTGTAAGATGACACTGTGAGACTAGGCAAATATTGTTTTTAAATTTTTACCCCCTAGCTTTTTTTAAAAAAATTATTCATCCAATTTATTTATTTGTTAAGTAGCTATTAGGTACATCAGAAATTATAAACTTAGATAGATAGCTAGACAGACAGATAGATGACAGAAGCTAGGTAGAGAGATAACATAGATTAATCTAGACATTTCTACCTATACCTTCCTGTGTGTGAAGTGTAGGAAGCCGTTAACTAATGGAAGTCTTAGATTTTCCTTTCAAATGTTCTTACATTTTTTTAAAAAATTACTGGCCAAACCAGATTCCCTTTGGAATACATCTGGCCCACTGCTTTCTACCAATGCATGCCAATGTCCTTTTTGAGGTAGCAGATGAAGTCTCTTTCTTTTGAATTCCAATCTGACCAATGAACATATATATACAGAAATTAATTTACTCATTCAGTCACCCGTTCATTCAATAACCTTTAGAGTGACAACTATATTTCCAAGTGCTTGTATGAAGGAGAACACCAGAGCAGTAAGATTCAGAGGTTACCCTCATATATGCTGAAATATGAACCCTTCTCTCATCTTTCCACCTACCCAATCAGAATTAGTTTTCTCTTTATCGGAATTCTCACATAGTTTTCTGTCTTGCATATATTTCTGATTAATTTTTAAAATTGTGGTAAGATACAAATAATGTAAGCTGTGTCATCTTGACCATTTTTAAATGTGCAGTTCAGAAGTATTAAATAGATTCATAATGTTGTGAAATCATCATTGCCATGTATCTCCATAACCCTTTTCATCTTGTAAAACTGAAACTCTTTGTCATTAAACAAGAGCTCCCCATTCTCTGACTCCTATCCCCTAGCAACTACCCTTCTACTTACTAGGAATTTGACTACTCTAAGTACCCCTGTGTCCCAACAATTGTAGTAAGTACCAGGGATACAACAGCGAATAAATAAAATATTTGACAATTTTTTGAGAGCAGTTAAGCAATATTCACTATCATAAATAGGTATAACCTTCAACACAACAATTTGAACAGAAGAATTTAACCAAAACATCTCAAGTTAATTATAGAAAATTACCTGGTACAGTAATATTTTTAATAGAAAAAATAAAATAAAATAAGCTTAACATGTACCCACAGTAGAGAATAATTTAACTACCTTATGCTAAAAATACAATGACAGAATATTCTATAGATGGCAATAAGAATTAGCTAGATTTTATTAAAGAACCAAAAAACAGAAGCGTTCACTGGACTACTATTATATAATACAAATGTGCATGTGTGTATCTGCCATGTATTTATTACTTTTATCAAGAGTTTATAATATGAAACTATTAACTGTAATTCAGGAAATTAGATGCATGAATCTAGTTGGCAACGTGTCTTACTATAACTTTTACAATATTTAAAGTTTTAAACATTTCGATGCATTTTTATTATTTAAAAGACTAAGAAATGAAAACATAAAGATTAATATTTTCTAACTAAAATGCTGTGCATGATTTTACCTTATGCTCTCCTTATTAGGAGCTGTGTGATCTATTCCTTATAGAGTTTGATATAAGATAAAACAAGGGAAGAAATCTATGCAAATCTGTCTTCCATTTTAAATCTGTTAAAAGTATCCAATCTATGTGAGAGAGAAACCATTCTACCACTATTGGAAACAAAGAGGGGCTTGATAAAGACGTGTATAGAGGCATGGAATGAGAGTAGAGAAAGGGCAATTAGAAGGTCACTTCCCTAACAGCCACCATTCGCCAAACTCAGGTGAGACTTCCCAGGGGTTTTTCTTAGCTCTGCCTCCATTCACACAGTTTCCTTATTTCCCTTTTCATTAACATGTTCTGAATTAGATTAGACTCTACAAAGAAAGATAAGCAAAACATACCAGAAGGAAGAAATTCTAAAATTTAACTCTATGAAACTTTTTAAAAATTTTTTATCTGGATACCGAAATTTAAATTCAAATATATAATTAAACCGTTAGCAGACTAAATCTAGGATTTATATCTTTCAATAGAATAAGGAGGTGAGGGTAAGACATGATTGATAAAACTAGAAGTAAAGAAAAAAGTGCAAGGAAAAAAACATAATCAACAGAGAATATAGAAAAGGACAGAAAAAAACAACCCTTACGTATGAGTATTTCATAATACTACGAGGAAACTGATGTGTGTGTGTGTGTGTGTGTGTGTGTGTATGAAAGGATCTTGTAAAAATCTAGCTCAATCACTTTTATAAATATAGATGTAAAAACATGAAATAAAATATTACCATATCTAATCCAGCAAGTCATGATCAATTACAGTGTCATAAGGGAATGCAATTTCTTCTAAAAGCATGAAATTTATTAATGTAGTTCATAATGTTAATGTATTAAAGTAGAAAAAGAAACATAAACTGGATCAGTATTTCTCAACAGGGACACTGATTGCAGTTGAACATGATATTGCTATGCATGGAAGTACCATTGATATTTCTGCTACTTTCCAGTAAATTCCTGTAATAGTCAACAGTTACCGGAACAATCAAAAACACCGCTTCCCTCTTTCACACCACATTCAAATGCTTTCTATGAGAGACTAATACTACCTCTGGTTGAACATTATAAGTCCAGCCAGATAGAAGCTGAAAAGCTTTTGTAAGATCTAATATCTATACTTTTTTTCAAGTATTGATAAACCAGGAACAGTTCAGTTTGTCTGTGGGAGAACAATAGCAAGTATCATTTTACAAGATGAAATGGTGAAAATGTGCGGCATTGAAGTCAGAAAGAAGAAAAATAAGCCTGATTTGACAACTAATATTCAACATTGTTGGAAATTGATGTCTATGTGAGTATAAGTATTGGGAAAAAAGTAAAACAAACATGAATGATAGTGGATGTGATTGTCTCCCTGGCAAATCAAAGAGACATATACGAATTAAAAATAAATAATTATGTGTGTGTGTGCAAGCGTGTGTGCATGATCTAAGCAGTGAAGGAAGCCAATAGAATACATAGATAAATACATAAGTTTGTCTACACATCAGCAGTGAATAATTTAAAATGGAATAAAAAGGAAAGCCCCAAAAAAAGTAGCAAGATACGAATATATTTAATATGAAAAAGCAAACAATAATTTGGAAGACCTGTATGAAGGAAATACTAAACTTTACTCATGGACATAAAGAAAATTGAATTAAATTGAGAAACATTCTGTGTTCTTGGATTCTCTCCCAAATTAATCCACAATTTTAAGCAGAACTATCAGAGATAGGAACATAGTGTGTGGTAAAACTGGCATTTCAATTCATTGGTGATAGGATATATAATTAAATGAAAATTTTTAAGTCAAATTCTTAGTGGATTTTCATGATTTACTTTATAGTTTGACAAAATAATTCTAAACTTTACAAGGAAGTACAGTCTCTGGAGAATAGACACAATATTTTTAAAAGAAAACAAATAATCCGTATTTGCCTTAGAAAATGTTAAGTTTCATTACAAATGTATGTTAAATATACCAGTGTGGTATTAATATAGAGGAAAGAACAGATTATAAAATTCAGAAACATTAAACTAAAAGGAAACACTTAAAATATAATAAACATGTCATTTCAAATTACTGGAGGAAAGATATGTTGCTTAAAAATAAGAAAGGAAATCAGTATATCAAAGAGATATCTGCACTCCCATGTTTCGTGAAACATTATTTGGAATAGCCAAGATTTGGAAGCAACCTAAAGTATCCTCCAATAGACAAATGGATAAAGAAAATGTACACAATGGAGTACTATTTAGCCATAAAAAATATGAGATTCTGTGATTTGCAACAACATGGATGTAAATGGAGTTTATTATGTTGTAAAATAAGCCAGAAACAGAAAGATAAACTTCCCGTGTTCTCATTTGTTTGTGGTATCTAAAAGTTAAAACAATTGAACTCGTGGAGATATAGAGGAGAATGATGGTTACCAGAGGCTGGGAAGGGGAGGACAGGACAGAGAAAGAAATAGGAATGGTAATGGGTACAACAATATAATCAGATAGAATGAATATGATCTAGTATTTGATAGCACAACAGGGGCACTATGATCAACAATAGTTTATTGCACATTTTAAGGTAGTTAGGAAAGCATAACTGGAATGTAACAACACAAAAAAGGGTAAAATGCTTGAGTTGATGGATACCCCATTTATCATGATGTGACCATTATGCATTGTACGCTTACATCAAAATATCTCATATACACCATAAGTATATACACCTACTATGTACCCACAGAAATTAAAAATAAAAAAGTAAAAATAGATTTAGGTCAATATTTTAAAATTTTGATTCATTTGTTTTGATCTATAGATACTTTATAATTTTCACCAAAATAACTTGTGGGATGCTTATATTTGAAAGTATAAATAATGTTCCAAATCTGCTGGAGTAAAATTTAGAAAGGAAATACACACAGATACACATGCATGTATGCACATATATATTCATAGTATTGGAGAAGTTTTAAGATTCACAGTTAAGTAAAATGTGCAAAGGGAAAGACTGACAGACCTAGCTACTTAAGAATGTAATGTTTCTTAATGGTAACTACAGACAACAAATTAAAGACCAAAAACTGAACTAACAAAAGTAATGAATGATTCAGATAAGATAGCAAAGGATTAATACTGCTAATATTTAGGACCTTTTAAAAGATCAATAAGGAAATAAAACGACATTTTTAGAAAAATGGGCTAACATATTAATGGACAAAAGTTTAATGTATAAAAAAGACACGTGAAAAGATATTCATCCTCACCAGCAAAGAAATGCAAGTAAATGCCAAAATGCCTTGCTCTGCCTAGGAGAGTAGGAAATATAAATAAGTATATACACACATGCACAGGTACATACTTGTACTAACCGGCATTGATAAAAGTAATAAAAACAAACTTTCATTTGCTTCTTTTTTTTTTTATTAATGAAGAGTTCTATTGTAAGCCTTTGTCCAGAAATGTGATCTCTGTTAGGGGATTCTAAGGAAACACTAGGAGAAATAGAGAGGATATAAACAAGAATGCTTATTGCAGCACTGTCTTAAAAAGAGAAAAATAAGGGAAACGAAATTCTGTGTCTCTGTCTGTGAAAACACATATACACATAAGATTGTTTAATCACTTAATATTCATACAAAAATGTTATACCATCATTAAAATAACTGAATACTTTATTTCCTGACATTATGCAATGCCCATGACATACTGTTATAAGCAAAAGCTGTAATATGAATATAATTGCATCCAATTTTTATAAAAATGTATGCATAGTAACAATTTTGAAAACCACTGCACATGCCCACATTAATGTTTAGTATCCCTGGACTCTGAGATTATGGGTATTTTTATTTTCTTTTTAATAATATTCTATAAGTCTTTGAAATGTAAATACATTACTTTTATAATTATTAAATAATAAATTATCAACAATTCTAATTGTTTTTCTAATTAGAAGAAACAATAAAGCTATTTCCCTAAGCTTCTACAATTATGTAATGTGCCTAGTTTGAAGATTTTTTCATTTTTTTTACATTTATATAATGAGTTCTGTTTTTCTCTTTTTGTTCAGGCTGGCTAGAAGCTCAGAAGCTATTGTCATTTTCTAGTAAAAAGATTATTTTAGTCCTCATATTTTTATTTCTTCTCTTTTCTAATGTAGTATCTTTTTACACTTCAAAACTTCAATTTTCATCATTATTCCAATTACTTTCTTTTTAATATTTTCATTATAAGTCAACTCAAATTCTACTTGAAAGTAGTCAGAATATCAGGACATAGATAAGGAATATAATAAAAAATGATGTCCTATTTCATGTCTATTGTTTCATGATCTATTGTTTTTATTTCACCTTCTTTCTACCCCCTGCTATCCCCCCAAAAAAGGAAGTAGGGTTGTGTTAGACCGGAAGCTAAGAGAGAAAGCTTTTTTGTCTGATCACAGACAAGTTTAAGTATTTACTAGCAGTGCACTCATGCGTCAGAGATTAAGTTCCCAAAAAGTGATAACATACAAAGAAATCAATAATAAAATATTCTGTGAGGGAATGTAAATTCTTAAAATTTCAAAACAGTGATATTCTCTCTCCAAGTATTCCTCTTACCCCTTTTTGATAAAGTCTATTTTCCTCAACCTAATCATACTATACACTTTGTATTTAAAATGTTTTGACTTAGTTTTTTTAACATACTAAAAATTCCTACAAGGTAGGCATTATTATATCTATTTTTCATGCTAAGAAAGAGAGACTAAGGCAGGTCAAGTGACTTGCCCAAGATCAAATAGCGAGTAAAAATAGCAGAACTTGGTTTTGATCTCAGTTTTCTTAAAAATTTTGACTATAGTCCTACTTGTCATCTATCAAGATGCATCAGCTGCTTTGTCAGTGAGAAAGATTTAAGGATTCTAAAGTTGCTCACGCTGCATGGTTTCAGCTAAATTTCCAGTTCCTAAAGGGATTACAATGTATGTAGCGTTAGTTCATCTTTGTAATCTAAGCTGATTTAAAATTTTAAATGGCTCGATGTAGTGCTGTACTCAAAAGAAAAGTGCTTCTTTTAGCCTGCCTTCTGATATTTATATATCAGAATAAATTTCTGTTAGAAATTTATTTTATCTTTATTCATTGGAATTTGTTAAGATTAGTTAACAAGAAATTCATTGCTACTAAACTTCTTGGTGACATTTGCAATATGTTGAGTCATTTACGAGGTCTACTTGTTTTGAATATACTGATGAGGAGGTTCTCTCCAAAAATTTATTTAGGTGGAATATGGACTTTGAAGTCATGGATAACTGGGCTAATATTATATTTCAAACAATTACTAGCTTTGTTACTGTGGACGAATTCCATGTTCTTTTCAAACCTCAGTTTCCTCAGCTATGAAATGGAGCAATTCCCACCTCTCAAGGCTGTTGTATGGAACTAATGACACAATTGAAAGGAAGCATGTAATCTAGTATTTGTCACACAGTGTGTACAGAACAAATATTAGTCTAAAAATTGAAGTAAGCTGTATAAGCATAATAGTAATATTTTTATCTGCATTAATTATATCTGTTCTAATTATTTATCATAGACACTGTCTCTGCTATGGAATATGATGAGAAAGATGATGATCCTATAGGTCAGGGTCCCACCTGGAAACAAATGTCTCACTTAATATCAGCATTCAAAGAGAGTTTCATAAAGGGACTATTTACAAAACTGTGCACAGCAGTAAGAAAAGCACATAATGGATGGTGAAGTATCTCTTGATTGCACACAGTCACTACTGTCCTAAGGTCTGAAGGGATAATAACTGCAGCTGGAAGAAACAGCTCTCCAACAGAAGCTGTGGCCCTGGTGGATCACTGAAAAATTGGTCTAACATGGAGGAAAGCAAGGATGATCACTTTCTTCATTTGTCCTGTGATCTGAATGAACCCAATTGGATGTAACATGGCAAGACAGCTAGGTTCTATATGTCCGTAGAAGGCAACTTCATGGACACTGAACAAGAGTGAGAAATGAGTCTTAGGAGTCAAGACTTAATAACACTTAAGCAAAAATGATATCATATATTAGAATTTGAAAGAAGAAAAAAAAGTTGCTCACATGTCCTTCTCTGTGCAGTATTACCTGTGGAAGCCTTTGAGTCAAATGAGCAAAAGATTATAAGTTAAACATTAAATCAAATGAAAACACATGTTATTTGAAAATTTAAAGATGAATAATAATAGTGATGAGAATGAAGAAGAAAAGAGGATGGGGAGAATAGAGAATTAGAAATGGTCAGTGAATGGGCCAAAGAAGAAAGAGAAAAAGAAAGATCATGGCCATGGTCTCTAGAAGAAATAAAAAGAGATAGATTTGGGGTGGAGTTTTTACTTGGAAAAAAGTTGGGGTTACTACCAACATAATTTTTGGTCTACCTCTTTGAAGTGTGTCTTTCACTCAACAACCCTATATCTAACTCCCCTCTTTCAATCTTTGAACAGTGGCTTAATTGTTTGTAACCCAATGACCTCTATGCTGACTTTTTTTTTTTTTTTTGAAACAGAATCTCACTCTGTCACCCAGGCTGGAGTGCAGTTGTGCAATCTCGGCTTACTGCAGCCTCCTCCTCCGGGGTTCAAGCAATTCTCATGCCTCAGCTTCCCAAGTAGGTGGGACAACAGGTGCACACCACCATGCACAGCTAATTTTTGTATTTTTGGTTGAGATGATGTTTCACTATTTTGGCCAGGCTGGTCTTGAACTCCTGAGCTCAGGTGATCCACACTCCTCAGCCTCCCAAAATGCTGGAATTACAGGAGTGAATCCCTGCTCCTGGCCTGATCATTCTGTTTCACATTGCACTCCTGATCTCAATACCCTGTTCATTTTTTCTTCTTTGTAATATAGATGTATATTACACACCATATTATTTGCTTGTTTGTAATAGATATTATGAACTCTCTATCAACCCATGTAAAACTAAGCTCTAAGGGGCCAAAAAATGTGTTTGTTTTATTCATCCAGGTATCTTAAAAGTCTAATACAGTGCTGGGCGTAGATTAGCTGTGTTTCTACATAGCAGCACAACTCTGGCAAGTTCTCTTCAACATATCTAGTCCTTTTGCAAACTGATTAGTTTATCTTCCCTGCATCAGAGTCTCCATAAGAAAGAATGATGCCCCTTCCTTGTACAGGCTTGGCTTATTGTGAACTATGTGACCAGATATAAATGGATTCTTATGCTGCTTAGACATTTATGACTTAGGGTAAGACATGCAGCATCTTTAGCCATTTGAAAAGTGTTAAGTATTAATTCTTTATTTCTCAGCCTGAGAAAGCCACCAAGTACAATGTAGGTACCGAATAAGTCATTCCAATTATTTTTTTAATTGCCTTCTACTTACGTCTATGCTCTTGCTTCCAAATGGATCACAGATCCAAAGAACCATGAAATATTTTGTGCCTTAATGGAGCAAACATCAGTACCATCCCTGGAGGCAACCTGTAACTGGGAAATTTTTCTCTCAGCATTGCAACTCTGGTGTTTGAAAACTTTGGCAAAGGATCAGACATGCAGCCATGGGCTTAGATACTTATCCAAAATTACCTCCTGAACATTCTGAAATTTTCTAATTGCTAATTGCCAATCAAGGGCTGTTTTGTAAGGCTTGATTCCTACCTTACTCCCTCGAATGTTAGCAGACTTTTAATTTAAACCTAGAAATGAAAACTAGTCTCAATTTTGATATGAGATCAGACTTTAAAAGTTTCCACTTCATTACTTTAATGCACGTGTACACACAAACACACACACGTATGAGAAACCAATTTGGGCAAGGGTCATAGCACCCATTTTATTAATATTAATTCCTTAGCAGATGCCAATCTTTAAATTCATGTTGGTTTTATAATATTCTTCATGTAAAATAAATAAAAAGAAATAAAATTAACGTTTTTTGAAGTTATAAGTCAGAAGAAATTGAAGTTTCTGGGTCCAAGTATAAGAAGATTAACAACCACACTATATATCAACCCAATATAAAAAAAACACAGCATTGACTTTAAATAAACCATCCAAGAGATGGTGAACTTCCTTAAATGGCAAGAGATATATAGTTTCTCATTTCTATTCTAGACTAAAATCTTTAAATATTTTTTAAATAGCTGCTGTCTGTAGGAAAAGAGCAGTTAAACCAAGGTTTTAGACTTCCTTCAACAATCATAAATATATTTAACTAAAAGACTTGTTGTTATTATATCAAATGTGTCTTGGAATGGGTAACATTTACCTTTTCTGTATCACTACCTCAATTATTTCTATCTCCGATCAGTTACACAATGTATCTATGTTTGTTCCTGTGTTTGTGTGTGTGTGTGTGTGTGTGTGTGTGTGTGTATGCGCACAGAAGCAGTTTTGTGCAATATAATGTATAATGTAACTACTTTTCTTAGTGTTTTTAAGTGCCACACATCACTCAGCTCTTCCCAGGCTCAGGGTAGTATGGAATGTTCCAGCCTCGACTACTTGGTTTCTTACCTGTGGTGGAACTAGAAAAAGACAAACAAGTCAACGTATTCAGTTTGGATTGATTAAGTTTATTTATGTCAATGAAAAGATGTGGCAGACAAACCAAGGAAATTGCTAAAAAGAGAAGGATTGGAATAACTAATAGCTGCCCATAGGGATGACTAATCCGGCTGCCTCAGAGATAGCATCCCTTATCACAGGCACTGAGAGTGAGGCTAGTCTTCAGTGCACAAGTCTAGTACAGTACAAATAAGTGAGTTAAATGGTTCCTTTACTAACACAGACTCCATCTCCACCTGCTCCCTGGTCACCTCTCTTTCTGGTCATTAGCAGATGGAAAAATGTTAGATTCTGGGCCTGTTTATCTAACCTTTTGGTTTGGAGGCCAGGAAATCAACAAAGATCAGAGAAGACAATGTCATTTAGGGCAGTTTTCATGTCTAGTCTTCTTTCCTGCTGAAAGATTTAGATAAGCTGGGGATTAAATATAACTCATGCCCTTTAGATGGTGGCACTTTCATCTACAAGAGCATTTGAAAATTTAATGCTAACAAAGGCTAAAAACAGGCATTTCCATTCACAGCATGACAGGAATAGTTTATTGGGGAAAGGGAACCTTTTGGTAGATAAAAGAGAAGGGTTCTCCTAACCTCTTCCTACAATGTTGTTAGGTGTTATTTTAGTTTATATATTGTAATAACAGCTATAGTCTGGTTAAAATTTCTGTTTTCAAGATATAAAATCAAAGATGTTTTACAAAAGTTTAAGAGTGGCATTTATTGAAAGGATCGTAGGTTATCTTATGGAACCTGAAGATACAATATGATGCCAGGGTTGTTCCAGAACTCTTCATGGCTCTTTGTTTCTCATGGTCCAGACACTGTACAATTTTTGTCAGTGGACCTTCCCTGAAAACTGTTGTGGAATTAATACATAAAGAGGTCCTCAGCCAGGTGTGGTGGCTCACACCTGTAATCCCAAAAGTTTGGGAGGCCTAGGTGGGCAGATCACTTGAGGTCAGGAGTTCAAGACCAGCCTGACCAACATGGAGAAACCCTGTCTCTACTAAAAATACAAAATTAGCCGGGTGTGGTGGCACATGCCTGTAAACCCAGCTACTCGGGAGGCTGAGGCAGGAGAATCGCTTGAACCTGGGAGGCCAAGCTTGCAGTGAGCTGAGATTGCACCATTACACTCCAGTCTGGGTAGCAAGAGTGAAACTCCATCTCAGAAAAAAAAAAAAAAAAAAAAAAAAGATGTCCTCCCCTGCACATATCCCCACCCAGTTGTCTATCATGCCATCTATGTTGTTTTCTACATGGTACTTATTAATATCAGTGCATGCTTGCTTACCATCCTCTGTCTCAGTGGCTCCTAAGATAACAAAAATCTTACAAGCAAAAGGGCTCTTTTTTGCTCAAAACTGTTTCTGTAGCAGCCAAAAATGTGTCTTGTTCATAATGCATACTCAGTAAATATCTGTTGAGTGATTAACTTAATAACTGAAAATAAAATTGAAAAAAATTGAATGTTAGCAACTATCTCTTAGTTTACCTTCAGAGTTGCTCTTTATTGTACTCTTGTATCTTCCTTACTCTCTTAATGTTTTCTCACTTTCACTTTGGCAGCTAATCTTTAGCATTCTTCTTTTCCCTTTGACCTCATTCACATGATCTCTTGTCTGTTTTTTTATTTTTTTTAACATGTCGACAGTATTTATTGCTCTTTGCAAATAAGTTTTCTCTACTTTATCCATGTAGTGGTAGAAAACAGCTTTCCTCATAGAATCCTAGTTGATAACTTCTCCAGAAAGAATGTAGACTAAATTGGGCTCTATATGTCTCTATTATAAATTTCTGAAAGAGAAATTTTGGTAGACCCAGCTCGATATTCCACATTTGATCAAATCTCATGTGTTCAGAAATGCTGTATAAGATACAACAGAAGCTGCTGTGCATTTCCAATGCTGAGAGGTGAAGAATCTCACAAAGAAGCTACCATGAGTTCAAGAGGCAATTCAAAACAGTGCCTGGTACACGAATGGATTTCATTCTAATTTTGCAGAAGAAAAAACTAAGACTTAAAAGCTAGCTAAAGACTAAGCAAGTTGCAGAAACCATTAGTCATCAAGCGCCAGAGACAATTTCTAAAGTCAGGATGTTTGATTCAAGACATCTATACTTAATCATCTTGGTCTAATTATGCTATTAAACTATCCACAGGAAATTGAAAACCTTGTGAATATGATAAGCTGCCCTTCTCTTGGTTAGTTATGTTATGTGACAAAGGTGAAAGGATTTTACAAATGCAATTAAAATTCTTAATCATTTGACTTTGAAGTAATCAAAGAAAGATATCCTGGGTGGGCCTGACCTGGACCTAATCAGAGAAACACTGAAATAAGGTCCTAGAAGCCTAAGAAAATTTCCAGCCGTCTTGAAAGAAACTAGTCCCTGTGATTTTGACAGTCATGAGGAATCGAATTTGCCAAAAATGATGTGATCTTAGAAATGCGCCCTACACTTCAGATGAGACCACAGCCCAGGCTGATAGCTTGAGGTGAGACCCTGAGTAGAGGATTTGGATAAACTATGTCCAGATTCCTGAGACACAGAAACTGAGATAATGAACATTTGTAGTCTTAAACTACTAATCTGTTATACAGTAATAAACAATGAATAAATATTAAGTAAAGATAATGCAATCATTGGGAAAATTATACAGATGCGAAGTTCTTTTTTTTCTCTTTCTTTCTTTCTTCCTTCCTTTCTTTCTTTCTATTTTATTTTATTGTGGTAAGAACACCACATGAAATCTACCTTCTGATATATTTATTTTAACTATGGCATTTTGAGCATGTCTTTTCTACCCTGTGAGCTTAATTTTTCTTACCTACAAAAATGAAAGACTTGGGCTTAATTTGTTTTTGTTTCTTTTTCCAGCTATCTGCTTGCAACATGATATATCTGATAAGAGAACCTTCAAATATTGAATATTGGGGAAAGATGGAACTGTAAAAAGCATTTTTTTCCAATATCCTAAAACTCACAAGGATATGCCTTTTCTCCTCCTCAGAGCTGCCCATTGATGCCTTGCTTTGCTGCTTCTGTTTATATGCCCCACCTTAAAACAAATCTCCATAAATACGTTAGAGTAAATGGTTAATGCTAGGTTGGAAGGCCCCATGATGAGGCTTTACAACTAGGCCAGAGATGCAGTACTTCCCTTTGGGTAAGGTAACTGTTTCTATTAATAACTTAAAAGAGCCCATTATAGAAGCCAAACTAGAATCAATTAAAATGAATAATATACTCAAAACACCTGGGGAGAATGATCCTAATTCCAAGAACAGTAAACTTGAGAATAAAATATCATGAGAACTCATTTTCAATTAAATTATATTGAATGGGGTTCAAACACAGAATGTTTGTATAATTACTAACTAACTTACTATTATCTTAATGTTGAGATTAAATATTCTCCCCTCACCTTTGATTTCCCTCTTTTCCTGGATTCTGGTGCGTACTGAATCACCAACTGCTAACAAGTGCATTTGGTAGTAAGACTTACATCAGAAAAAGAGGATGTTACTCTCTTAACATGATTATACCATAAGGAAATAAATACTGAAGTGCAAAAGCTCTGATTTACTAGTGGAAACCACACCTACAGTAAAGCAACATATTCCTATTTAAATTTTAGTGATATTATTCTGATTGTAATGTAAAGATTAACAATGAGCAGTGGAAAGGCCAAAAGGGAGATCAGTTAAGCGAATTTTAAAAAGGCCTTAATGAAGATGATGGTGAAATAAACTGAATTAAAACAATAGCATTGGGGGTGGAGAAAAGCATATAAATCAAAAGGCGCTAGAGAGATCAAAATGACAGGATTTGTGATTGATTAGCAAAGGGGGATAATAGAGAGGAAAAAAAAATCAAGGTGATACTTAGATTTCTGTCTTGAAAAAAGAAAACAAAGACAAAACACCTCAGGAAGGGAGGTGGATAGATGACCTGTATTTTTTAATTTATTTTGGAATTTGATCGTTTGTGGAACTTCTTAAATTTAGCTACTAAAGAATTAAAGTCTGCATCTAAAACTCAGGAGGTAGGTCTGAGTGGAAGGATATTTGAGAAGCATCAGCACTATCGCAAGGACAAAAAAGCAAACACCTCATGTTCTCACTCATAGGTGGGAATTGAACAATGAGAACACATGGACACAGGAAGGGGAACATCACACACTGGGGCCTGTTGTGGGGTGGGGGGAGAGGGGAGGGATAGCATTAGGAGATATACCTAATGTTAAATGACCAGTTGATGGGTGCAGCTCACCAACATGGCACATGTATACATATGTAACTAACCTGCACGTTGTGCACATGTACCCTACAATTTAAGTATAATTTAAAAACAAAAGAAATTAAGGAAGTTGATTCAGTTCCCCAGTGAGAATGGGTTATTAGAACAGTGCCTTTTCAAGAGAAGGGAGAGATTCAAGGAGAAAGAAAATGTTGAAAGTTTCAAGTACCGCTGAGCTATTTAGAAGAGTGAGAACATTGTTGCACTTGGCATTAGGTTTATGTTCAGGTTTCACTGTTATGTTGCTATAATAAATAAACATTATTTTCCATCACTGCCTCTTAAATTTACATGGCAGATCTGTCTACTTCTGATCAAAGTTGTTGTCTCTTCTTTGTGGTTATAACTAGATAACATTCTCAAGTGTCCCTTCCAGTTGGCTGAAGTTATGTGACTGAGTTGTGACAAAAATAAAACAAAGTTTTAGTCAAAATTTGCAAAAACTGTTTATTTATGACGTTGTGGTGTAAAGGAATCCCTCTGCCATCACATTCATTTCAACAGAGGTTCAAAGATGATTGAAAGGAAAGTGAGGTTGATATTTAACTCAGGTCACCATAGCAAACACCATACACTGCATAACTTAAAGAAAAGACATTTATTTCTCAAAGTCTGGAGACTGGAAAAGCCAAGATCAAGGATGCAAAAGATCTGGTACCTGATGAGGGCTCTCTTCTGGATTCCCACATAGCTGTTGTTGCCTGGGTGCTCACATGGCCTTGCCCATGAGCAGGCACATGGACAGAGAAAAGGCAGCAAGCTCTCAGGTGTTCCCATCATGAGCACTGTACCCTTATGACTTAATTACCTCCCAAAGACTCCAGCTCATCTAACAAATCACAGTGGAGTTAGGGTTTTAACATATGAATTTTGGGAGGACACAAATACTTCATAATGTAGAGTAAAAAGAATAAAACACTGAGGCAACTTCTGAATGGCAAGCATGCTATTAGTGTGGAACTCGGAAGCCAGCTGGCACCTGTTCTCAGACTCCCAGCCTTCACAAGGTAAGAAATAAGTTTCTGTTATTATGAGCCATGCAGTTTAGGGTACTTTGTTATAGAAGGAGAACAAGGTGGTAAGGTGGTATAGAGATTCCGATGTTACCTCACGGTTTTCCATACCACCTTCTTCTCTTTCAGTCTACACAACTTATTTTTGAGGAAGTTCATTCACCTGTATACTATTAATTGTTGTGTGTATAGCAGCCTCCCCTTTTCCTTGACGAATACATTCCAAAACCCCAGCAGATGCCTGAAACCACAAATAATACGAAATTTAATTAGGCTAAATTGGAAAATGTTTCTGTTTATTTTTTCCACTCACAAATTTAGTGCCTTTTTCATCTTAATTAAGCACTCATCACACAGTGAGGCTACGGCTTCTGCAGTTTGAGGGGAAATGGCAACACAAGCAAGAATTTCATTTTCCTTTTTCACAACTTCACAGATAGAAGATTTGTTCTCACCTTGGATCTTAGCAACCTTTGTATGTGTTCTTTGTTTCTAACTAGATGGAGAACTTTCACTTTTACACTTACAAGAAGCACTTTATGGCTTTTCTTTGGCATATCCACATTGCCAGCACCACCACCATTGAACTTTGAGGCTGTTGTTAAGTAAAATAAGGGTGACTGGGTCACAAAGACTGCACAACAGTGGATCTGATAACCAAGAGAGCTACTAAGTCACTAATGGGCAGATAGTGTCTATAGCACGGATACACTGGACAAAGGGACAATTTACATCTTGGGCACAAGATTTCATCACCGTTCTCGAACTCATTGTTTCTGAAATTTTCCATTTAATATTTTTGGACTGAGGTTGACTCCAAGTAACTGAAACCTTACAAAGTGAAATCTTGGATATGGTGGAACTACTGTACAATGATAGAATCTAAATCTAAACTCACATTGCCCTACTGAACTTCAGATAAATGTATGGAAATGCTTACTGCACATCACTATTTAGAACTTCCTGAGATATATCAAAAATATGCTACAAAAACCTATAACCCTTCACTACTATCATCATCACACACACGTAACCACACTACTGTTCTTTCTACTGTGTATTCTCCAAAGAAACCACATCACTATTTCTTATTGAAGGCAAAACAATTATAACTTTGGCATTACTTTTATTTAATCCCTTGAAACAGAACAGCTATTCCATTCCATGTCATGCTAATATTTTTATCTAAATATTTTTCATACACACCCACCACCCACTCTCTCTACCCCTATTCTGACCTCAGATTTATTATTCTGTGGTCTATAGAGCTGTGACTCAAGGCTATCAGTGGATCTAATTTTTATTCAGACAGTGCTAAGTTCACTGTGGTCCGCTGGAAGTCTGTGGTGGTCTCTGACAATATCTCAGAGCCTGGCCATACTACTCGAATTGCAGTCAGATTTGATGAGGCTCTCATATAAGCAAAGTGGGCTGAAGGACAGAGGCCAATTGGAGCTGATAAATGCCCTTAGGAACCTGGTGCCAAGAGATTCTTAATGAAGTGTTTTGGGATGAGCAAATGTTCGATAACCATAACATCATAATTAGTGATCTCAAAATGGAAGAAAACAATGAATATAAAAATTTGCTGATGACAATAAATAAATGGAGAAGTGTTGGACATGCTATTATGAGTCTAATATGTATAAAAGATTTATATGATTAGGCAAAATTTTAGAAAGTGATTTAACTCTCCAATTTGCAATGGAATACATTTCTGAGAGGCAGGCTAGACAGTAACAGGATGTAATGCAAATCTCTGAGGCAAGACATTTAAAAAAATAAATGAATTATTTAGTTTGATATTTTCCCACTAATTGTCACACTATTTATTTTTATTTTTTTCAGAACAATTGATGAAAATAATGGTGGCTCAAAAAGTTGAATTAAAATCATAGTTACTTTATGGTAAAAATAATACTATGTTTTGATAGCTTAATTAGTGCTCTAGTATTATCTCAAATAATAACTAATCTGGAGAAGCCAATGCAGAAAAACCAAAAGCACAATATTTATCATCATTTTCCTCGTATTTGTATTGCCTGTTATGTAGAGCACTATACTTCATACGGTACGTTTTGTGTTTCAGAGATAAAGTCCATTTTCCTGGACTTCTCAGGTAAAATGAATTCTCTGGTTATCAGGAGAGAAATATAGGAATGTAATAGACAGAATAATGTTTTCCCCTCACCAAAGATGACCATGTCTTAATCCTCAGAACCTGTGAACATGTTAAGTCACATAGAAAATGGGACTTTGCAGATTTGAGTAAGGTTACAGACCTTGAAACAGTAAGATTATCCTGGATGCTCCAAGTGGGCCCATTAAAATCACATGGGCCCATGAAAGAAGACATATTCCTCAGGTTGGAGACACAGCAGAAGGAGAGTGGGAGAAGAATTTAGCTCACCTTTCCTGGGGGCCACAAACCAAAAAATTGTGGGTGGCCTCTAGAAACATAGTACAACCATGAGGTGATAGCCAGCTCTAAAAGGAAGTTAAATTCTGCCAACAACCTGAAAAAAACCTGGAAGCATATTCTCCTCCAGTCTGCAGTAAGGAAGGCAGCTCTGTGTATGCCTTCATTTCAGCCTGGGGAGGAGGAAGATGAGCCAAGCTGTGTGTGCACTGCTGATCCACAGAAATGTGAGATAATAAATAGGTTCTACATTTGATCACTAAGTCGTGGCAATTTGTTATAACAATGATATGCAACTAATACATTCAAACAACTAAAGGTGCTGATTAATGGAAATTTGTATTAGTCTGTTTTCATGCTGCTAACAAAGACATACCAGAGACTGGGTAATTTATACAGGAAAAAGGCTTAATGGACTTACAGTTCCACATGGTTGAGGAGGCCTCACAATCATGGCAGAAGGCAAAGAAGAGCAAGTCTCATCTTTTATGGATGGCAGCAGGCTAAAAAAGAGCTTGTGCAGGGAAACTCCCCCTTATCAAACCTTCAGATCTCATGAGATTTATTCACTATCATGAGAACAGGATGGAAAAGACCTGCCCCTATAATTCAATTACCTCCCACTGGGTTCCTCCCACAACAGGTGGAAATTTAAGATGAGATTTGGGTGGGGACAGAGCCAAACCACATCATTCCACCCTGACCCCTCCCAAATTTCATGTCATCAGATTTCAAAACAAATCATGCCATCCTGATAGTCCCACCAAGTCTTAACTCATTCCAGCATTAACTTAGAAGTCCAACTCCAAAGTCTCATCTGAGACAAGGCAAGTCACTTCTTATGAGCCTATAAAATCAAAAGCAAGTTAGTTACTTCCTAGATACAATGGGGGTACAGACATTGGGTAAATACAGCCATTTCAAGTTAGAAAAATTGGCCAAAACAAAGGGGCTACAGACCCCATGCAAGTCCAAAATCTAACAGAGCAGTCAAATCTTAAAGCTCCAAAATGATCTCCTTTGACTCCAGTTCTCACATCCAGGTCACACTGATGCAAGAAGTGGGTTCTTGGGCAGCTCTGCCCCTATGGCTTTGCAGGGTACAGCCTCCCTCCTGTCTCCTTTCATGGGCTGATGGTGAGTGTCTGCGGCTTTTCTAGATGCACATTGCAAGCTGTCAGTGGATCTATTATTCTGGGGTCTGGATCTATTATTCTGGGGTCTGGACGACAGTGCCCTTCTTCTCACAGCTCTGCTTGGTGGTGCCCCAGTAGGGACTCTGTATGGGGGCTCTGGCCCCACATTTCCCTTTCACATTGTCCTGGCAGAGGTTTTCCATGAGAGCCCCACCCTTGAAGCGAACTTCTGCCTGGACATCGAGGCATTTCCATACATTCTCTGAAATCTAGGCTGAGGTTCCCAAACTCCAGTTCTTGACTCCTGCGCACTGGCAGGCTCAACACCATGTGGAAGCTGCCAAGGTTTGAGGCTTGCATCCCCTGAAGGCATGACCCAGGATCTACACTGGCCCCTTTCAGCCATGGCTGGAGCAGCTGGGACATAGGGCATCAAGTCCCTAGGCTGCACACAGCACAGGGAGTCTTGGCCCAGCCCTCAAAACCAATTTTTCCTCCTAGGCATCCAGGCCTGTGATGAGAGGGGCTGCCATGAAGACCTCTGACATGCCCTGGAGACATTTTCACCATTGTCTTGGGAATTAATATTCAGCTCCTTGTTACTTATGCAAATTGCTACAGCCAGCTTGAATTTCTCCCCAGAAAATGGGATTTTCTTTTCTATTGCTTTGTCAGCCTGCAAATTTTCCAAACGTTTATGCTCTGCTTCCCTTGTAAAACTGATTGCCTTTAACAGCACCCAAGTTACATCTTGAATGCTTTGCTGCTTCGAAATTTCTTCCACCAGATACCCTAAATCACATCTCTCAAGTTCAAATTTTGCAGATCGATAGGGAAGGAGCAAAATGCTGCCAGTTTCTTTGCTAAATCATAACTAGAGTCACCTTTGATTCAATTCCCAACAAGTTTCTTCTTTCTATCTGAGACCACCATGGCCAGGACTTTATTATCCATATTGCTACCAGCATTTTGGGCAAAGCCATTCAACAAGTCTCTAGGGAGTTTCAAACTTGCCCACATTTTCCTGTCTTCTTCTGAGCCCTCCAAACTGTTCCAACTTCTGCCTGTTATCCAGTTCCAAAGTTGCTTCCACATTTTCGCGTATCTTTTCAGCAGCACCCCGGTACCAATTTACTGTATTAGTCTGGTTTCACAATGCTAATAAAGACATACCAGAGACTGGGTAATGTATACAGGAAAAAGGTTTAATGGACTTACAGTTCCACATGGCTGGGGAGGCCTCACAATCATAGTGGAAGGCAAGAGGAGCAAGTCACATCTTACATGGATGGCAGCAGGCAAAAAAAAAAAAAAAAAAAAAGACCTCATGCAGGGAAACTCCCCCTTATAAAATGGTCAGATCTCATAAGATGTATTCACTGTCATGAGAACAGCATGGGAAAGACCTGCCCCCATGATTTGATTACCTCCCACCAAGTTCTTCCCACAACAGGTGGGAATTTAAGATGAGGTTTTGGTGGGGACACAGCCAAACCATATCAAAACTTAAATATACAAATCCCACTTATTCATTTAGTTATAGGCTAGAACCCTATAGAGGCTAAAAAGAATGTAGAACCATTGGTTGAGATATTGCTCAAAGTTGTTCCTGTGCAATTTTCTGTTCTATCATTTATAAATGTTGATCAAATACTTTTTTAAAAAGTAGGTAATTTTAATAACAAAAGTAGTATGTGCCTTGAAAAAGATGCAATAATAAGTTTGCAAATTTAAAGTCAAAGTTGTTCCATCATCTGTACTTCTAATATATAGAGTAAGTAGTGATAATTTATCTCAGATATGCTTCTGTATATTTATCTTCCTAGTTTTTTTATTCATTTTTAGTAGATAACACATCATGATAGTTAAATATTCAGACAAATATATGAGAAAATCTTTTCCATGTCTGTCCCTATGAAACCAGGTCTTCCCCACCCAAAATGGATAATCATATTTTTTAATTTCTGTATTCATCTAAAGATTTTAATGTATCTACAAATACTAATATATATTTCTTTTTTATACTTTTTACTTATTTTTAAGATGCTATGCACCTCATTCTCTACTTTGCTTTTTTATAACCTAAAAACATATTTTGAAAATTTTTCGTATCATTACATAAAGCTCCTAATTCAAGCAACATGATTGTATAATGACTACATTAAGAAGAAATTCTGGGCACAGGGCAAATTACAAATGTACATAAACATACTCCCTTTCACTAATAACTATTTCATCTAGCAAATGGGTAGAGGAAGTAGGAAAGAAATATCATGTAAAACAGTTCCAATAAAGCCCACAAGAGTAATGTAGGCACTAAACAGTGTAGAAAATATTGGTAGAAGGTCACTTTCAAATAGGAAGTTTTTATGTGTGTTCGCAATAGAAACAAGTAATTTATCCTGGCTAAGAAAACAGGAAAAAACATTCTAGGGAGATGGCAAGGGCCGGACCAACCTCATGGTCAGAAAGTGTAGCATTATGGGGGAAAAAAGCAAATACAAAAATGGCCACATAAGGTAATAAAGATTGGCATATGAAGGTGTTTGAAGGTATTGGCTCCTTCATGATTGCCCTATGAAGGGAACTGAAGTGAAAACAGACCCAGTGTCAAATTCTGGCTCCCACCTGTGGCCTTATTACTGGGTCACCTAGGAGAGGAAGGAGTTTATGTTTGAAATAACCAGCGAAAGCCTTTCTGGAAAGATGCCTAAGTAGGGAATTAAATGGAGTGTGATGATGTAAGTTATGCAAGTCCCATGTGCTATGGACTGAATGTTTGCATCTCCACAAAATTCATATGTTGAAGCCCTAACTCCCAATGCGATGGTGTTTGGAGGTGGAGCCTTTGGGAGGTGATTACGTTTAGATGAAGTCTTGAGGGGAGGACCATCATGATAGGATTAGCGCCACTCTAAGATGAGACAGGAAGACCAGAGCTCTCATTCTGCCTGTACCATGTGAAGGCACAGTGAGAAGAGTAGCATCTGCAAGCCAGAGAGTGAGCCCTTACCAGGGATCAAATCAGCCAGCATCCTCCCATTGGATGGCCCAGCCTCCAGAACTGTGAGAAATAAATGTCTGTTATTTAAGCCACTCCGTCTGTGGCATTTTGTTATAGCAGCCTACACTGCAAATGTGATGACATGGAATAAAAAGGTAGGTATGGCTGGGGTATAGGGAGCAGGAAGTAGAGTGAAATGAGGTGAGACTAGGGAGGAGAAGAGCCACAACTCATGTGGATTGTGTTCACCAAGATAAGGGGTGTGTATTTAAGAATACAGGACATGTGGCCGGGTGCGGTGGCTCACGCCTGTAATCCCAGCACTTTGAGAGCACGTCTCTACTAAAGATACAAAAATTGGCCAGGCATGGTGGTGCGCATCTGTAATCCCAGCTACTTGGGAGGCTGAGGCAGGAGAATTGCTTGAACTCAGGAGGCGGAGGTTGCAGTGAGCAGAGATCACGCCATTGCACTCCAGCCTGGGCAACAGGGTGAGACTCCGTCTCAAAGAAAAGAATACAGGACATGGAAATCTATTAGAATGTCTTAGACTAAACATACTGTGTATAAAGAAATTAGTACTGTTTCTGCCCCATGGTTAGTGTCAAAATGATGACTATTATTCTTATTTATCCTAGATAGTAAGGTTGGCATAGGCATCTTTTCAATAAATTATTTCCACAGGACCTTGATAAATTAGGATAGATTATAAGCTATGTCATGGTACATGGGACCAAAATTAATACCGGATTAATATACAACCCTACTAATAGAGAATCAGAAGTATCTTTATGTACATAGAAAAGAAGAGGATGGGTTCCGAGTGTGAAATGTTAGGAGCTGCGGTCGGCAACAAGACAGGGGCTAAATCAGGCAGAGTCATGTAGGCCTTGGTAAAGGGTTTAAGCTTTTACTTTGAATGAGATGAAAATCCATTTGAGGCTTTGAGTAGAGGAGTGAAATGATGTGGCTTTAAAAGTTTACGCTGACTTCTGTGTGGTTGGAGGAGAGAAAGAATGGAGATCAGTTAAGAAGACGCTAAAATCACCAAGAACAAAGACAATAATAACATGGACCAGGGTGGTAGTTACGAAGTGCTGTTAATTGGTTAGATTTTGGATATATGCCAGTGGAAATCAAAATAAGTTTGCTACTTGATTGACTGTGCTCTGTGAGACGAAAAGAAGACACAAGACTATAATGCAATAAAATTGTACTTTATGTCTGTGTCTGCCTCCCTAAAACCCATCACCCCAGTCTAATAAAGGGAAAAGCAAATTCTAACAGAGGGACATCCTACAAAATACCTGACCATTACCCCTCAAAATTCGCAGGAACATCAAAAACAAGGCAAGTCTGAGAAACAGGCACAGCCAAGAAGAGTCCAAGCAGATACGATTGTTAAATTGCCTTCGTCAGTTCAAGATTCAATGATAAAAATACAGTAGACTGGCTGGCTTAAACAAAAAACATCTTTCCTCATGATTCTGGAGGCCAGTTAGTCCAAGATCAAGGCATCAGCAGATTTGGTGTCTGCTGAGGGTCCTCCTCTTGGTTCCTAGACAGCATCTTCTGATCTCTTAGATCAGAAGACATCTCTTGATCTCCTTATCAGGTCACCAACCCCATTGTGGGGCTCCCCTGTCATGACCTCATCCAAGTCCAATTACCTTCAAAAGATCTCACCTTCAAACCCCATCACATTGTGACCTCAAAATTTTAATTTGGGGGAAACACAAACATTCAGTCCATAGCATAAATGTAATGTCATATCTTGGATGGGATACTATATTTTTTTAAAAAGTCCATTAGTAAATACTAAGGCAAATTGAATGAAGTATGGACCTAATTAATTAAATGTGTCAAAATGTATTAATAGTTACAAATTTTCTATACTAATGTAAAACGTTAACAATAGTGGAAACTGGCTAATAGCTAGATCTTCACTTTTTTTGTAAATCTGTAAAGGAAAGCCTATATATAAGAAAAAAAGTAGAGTCCAGAATGACTGAAATTTTATGTCCTGAGCAACAAGACAAGTGCAGTTGTCATTTAGTAAAATGGAAAGAGTTGGGGGAGGAGACCTGGTGTTCTACAAAGTGGTATGACTTGCTTCTCCCTTCTTCCCAGACATTTACCTACTCCATCCTCAAGACACAGAGACAGAGGACTTATTGCCACATGAGTACCCAAGGCTACAACAGTCAGGTTTAAGAAAGTTTCAGTTTCTCAGGATGACTTCTTGGAAGAAGTGGTGACTGAGGAATGCATTGAAGATGGGAAGTATTTGTTTACATAGAGAGGATAAAACACTTCATTGCAAGGAACTTCATTCCTACCTTTGTAATCCCACATTTTTATTCTGCATATTTCCTTGCCTCTTTAGTTGATATGTATTCCCATTTAGTAGAGTTGTTTTGATTAACTTTTGCCCTTTATTCACGTTCATTTACTCTCTTTTTCTCAAAGCATGTTTATTATTAAGTAGTAGATAGCCCTTTGGGGACACATTAATTTTCTTAGGAATCCTTTCCCATGCTACATTGGTGTCCTTTATCTTCTTGTTCCATTTGGTTGCAGTCAGCACTTTTTCCTGTCTTGTGAAATGTCTCTGATGAATTGCATTGCTCTCACTGCTATTATTACAAATAGGTGATGCAACTCCCCACCATCTGTAATAACTGTGCTTACAGAGACACATTAGCTGCATTTAAAATTATAACTCCTTCATAATATTCTAAATAATTCTTCTGAAGCACAGGAATAGAAATAAACTGTGAGGTTGCTGATTCCCAGCTATGTTTACTTCAGGCAGCACTGAACTAAATCTACTACAAATATGGAGGCTTGCACATATGTAACAAATATACTTATCAATTTTTACCACTTTTAGGGATTAGTCATAGTGTCTCTCATGGCATCCCTTTTCCTTTTGGAATAACTGGAAAAGTCTATTTTTTAAATTTCCATGTTTTACTACCCTATTGCCAATGGGAATCAGAAATGAATCAATTATCTTTGCCAATTTCATATATCATTAACAAATTTCTCCTTTCTCTTTTTCCAATTTAAAACCCAGTAGGTAGAACTATTTAGCAAATGGCAAACTATAGTTTGCTAACATAGGTGATCAAGTGTGAGAAAAAATGATTCAGGGAGTAAAAATGATCGTGGTAAAGTCTAGTTGCTGTTTACCCTTAACTAGATTTTGTCTACATTTCTAAAATGATTTGACTGCTCATCTAAGTATCAAGTAAGGATTGTAAGGGCCAGAGGATACACTCAAGTTACAGATCAGCTCAGGGTATTACATTTTGGTTATGCCTAAAAATCGAGAACTGGCAAAATTTAATAAGCAAGAGTTTTTACAGCTGCCTCCTGACATATCCAGGCTGAAATAGAGAAAACATTGCTTCCAGCTAAAGGGTTTTCCCACAGCCTCATCCAATGTGTTGTGGCTGACACCTGCTAATGGAGGGGATAAAATGGAATTGCTGCCACAACCTATGGGTGTAATGGCCCCGGCCATTCTTATCTGCTCAGAGGCCATGTTTCTGTCTGTGGGTCATAAGCATTGCCGAAGTGGCAAGACTGCAGAGCTTGGCCCTGCTGTACCATTGGCATAGACGGGAACTGGAACAACATGTGTTGTAGAGAGCTGAGCGGGTGTGTTTGTGATCTTTACCAGTAGAGCTCAGGTGGCTGCAGATGTTATTTCACCACCCACTTCAGTCAAGGTACTTAACTGCAATCTCAAAGCTGCATCATCCCAGCATAATCATGTAACCCATATAAAAGAAGCCATATTACATGATGAGTTTGTATACTTAAAGTGACCTATCGTGGCTAGAAGATTAATGATAGCCACAGGCTCACTTCTCACTCAAACATCTCATGGGGCCTGCACTGTGTGTCACTTAGCAATGTGATGTAATGTGGTCTGGGGAATTCCCACCCTTGCCCAGGGATTACCTGATCTTTATAATAATGAGACCTAAAAACGCTGGTTCCCCCAGGGACAAGGCCACTTTAGCACAGATGCAAAATGAACATTAAACAAAGCTTATCCTTACAAGAATTGCTTAAACTTCCTTCATGAAAGAAATACCTGGTAACTGACCTGAACTGTACACAGATAAAGAAAAGGGGTAAGAATCCCCTGAACTCTGAGAACAGTCTCTGGATGGAGAATCTCGCAAGTAGGGGGGTCATCTGACCCCTCCCTGTATCTGGCCTATGCCACTAGCCATAGGCATAATGCATATGCTCCTGCTATCCATCTTGTACGAACATTAGCCATAGGCATCTAGCATATGCTCCTGCTATCTATCCTGTAAGAACACTGCCAGAATAAACTGTACAAGCATCACATGGTGTCTAAGACTCATCATAGGTGGTAATTGGAGGAAGGGGGAAAGGTGCCCCTAGGGAAGCTGGTTAAGTAGGACCACTCTGGGGAAAGATAGGCTCGAGAGCATCTTTCAGTGGTTTTTCTCCCATTGTACTATCAACCGATCAATAGAAATGAATCCAACAATAAAATCACTAAATAAGTATATCTTTTGGTTATACAACTGGCTTGTTTGTAACACAAAGGATAATTGCTTGAGGGATGGATAACTGAGTCTTCATGGCGTATTACACATTGCATGCCTGTATCACAACATCTCATCTACCTCATAAATATATACACTTACTATGTACCCAGAAAAATTAAAAATTAAAAAAAAATATTCTAAAAAGGAAATGCAATAGGTGATTCTAGGGACAGCACGGAAGTCCAGTATTAGCTGTTAAGTGAAACACATTCGAAGGACTCCCAGGGTATGTTTTATAAAAAATGTGAAGAAAGATATTCTAAGTAAAAGAGGTGGAGGAATATGTATGTGATACAGATTCAAATGCTACCTATCTTACGGAAGTTATAGAGCAATTTTAACCAGAGCTTTCTCTAAGTAATTCAGCACATCTTTGGAATCGTTTTCTGTGGCCAATATCCAAGTACCTACAAGATAGGACTGCATAATAAATAATACCAAAGGTAGCTAACATGCCTGTGTGAAAAAGTGAGAGCCTTTGCTACTTCATAATCCAAAAGGGAGGGAGGAAATATTCCTCTCTTGAAAAAAGGCAACAGAGCTCATCCGAGTACAAAATAGGAGCTGTTAAGAGATAAGAATCCATGCAAGGAGCCAAAACAGCCACAGAAAGTTAGTGCTGAACAATATACCTAAATATCTGTTGAAGCAAGAAACTTCACGACAGAAACCCAAAGTCATTTCTGGAAATAGCAGAGAAGAGAATTTGTTGGTTCTCAGAAATACTTGTGACCCAACTGAGGCATTCACAGTATTGGAATATGAGGCTGGCTTTGCACTCTACCATTTCATAACTGAGAGCCAAACTGGAGCAATTATAGTTGGTTTCCACTCTTTCAGTTTGATTTTACACCACAGGTTGATGTGAGTAGAAGAAGTATGGTCTATCTAAACAATTGAGGAGTTACTAAGTGGTCATCCTTGGGCTCGTCGCTGATGAAGAATAAAAATGAAGCCCAAAGCTTTGTCACTTCATTATTCTTTATGTTCTTATTTTTAGGTTGTTGAATCATGAAGTGTTTGTGAGTAACTGAACCTAGTTTTAAATTCTGCCTTACTCGCTTTTTAGCTCAGTGGCCTAGTCAAACCCACCAAACCTTACAAATTTCACTTCTCTAATCTGTGAAGTGGGGATAATATTTTATGACATATGTATTGATATGGACTAAGTTTATCCCCTTAAAATTAATATGTTAAAATCCTAACCTAGTGGGAAATGGCAGTAGGAGGTAGAGCCTTTGGGAGGAGATTAGGTAATGTGGTCAGGGCCCTCATGATTGGCATTAGTGCCCTTACAAAAGAGACCCCAAGAAGTTCCCTTGCATCTTCCACTGTGTAAGGTTACACTAAAAAGATATGTCTACATACCGGGAAATGAGGCCTTCACAAGACATAGAATCTGCTGGTGCCTTGATCTTGGACTTCCCAGGATCCTGACGATTCTGTTCTTTATAAGCTACCCAGTCTACAATGTTTTGTTATAGCAGCTTGAATGGATCAATAACATTCAAATATGAAGGTCAATGATTTATTTAGTCCTTTATAGAATCTGATGATCAAGGTTAGTGTTTTCCTTAGTGAGGAGGATGAAGCAGCAATGACCCCACAGGCACAATTTTAGATTGACAGCCTCCTATGTCTTCACAGCTCCCTGTGATTTCTCCTATCATGCTACATCTTCAGTATAGCATCTGCCTTCATGGATGCCTCCCCACTAGACTGTGAACTCCTAGAGAAAATAAATGGTGTCCTAGTCACCTTCGTATGTCTATTATCTGGCAGAGATCTTGGAAAATATAAGGACTAGGAAAATATGACACAAATAAGTAAATGAGGTCATATACCATGACACTTTCAGTTAGGATAATGTCAAATAGTAGCATATAAAAATTAACATATTGTTTATATCCTAAATCTGAAATAACACAGATAGCCTCAAATAAAATTTCATCAAGAATAGCATTCATTCAAGGTAAGATTTGAAAGTATATTCAGTACAGCCAGTTTAGCTGCTGTTTGAAAATATGCACCCTGTGGGACTCTCAACTGAAGCTTACGTTGTTCACAAAGGCCAGTCTTCCCTAGAAGAACTTGAATTACAATTCGCATCCCCTCCTGTCTCCTACCCCCAGTATCACCCAAATCTCTGGCCAGCTTATCAGCCACCAGTTTCCGTCTGGCTTTCAGCCACTATGCCAGTTATGACAAATGAGCTTGTTCTTAAAGAGATCTTTTGCCAAAATTTGAACTCACTTCTTTACACTTCCATTCTCTCAGGTATTCTGACCCTTTTGTGGCTTTCTCAGTTGCTTCAAACTCTAATTCTTGTCCCCAAAGCACTCTAATTTCTACCAGCTTTGCTCAGCTTCTCAGTTTCTTTGAAGCTGCTTTCTTTCAGTTTTTCATCCTCTGGAACCCACTTATAACTTATGCATCTGCAAATGCCCTGAGGGGGGAAAATAGTGGAGCAGATTGGAAAACATATTATTGGGTATTTTTCTTTTTGCCAGCATCTTTGTTTTGAAATCCCTGGTAACTTTGATAGCTTTTCAATACCTAAAATCAGAGATTTTTAAAAACATACATGTTCTTCATTTTTCTGATTGTCAAAGACTAAATCTAGGCGTATTTTTCAGCAACGTATTTTCTGCTGTTATCTAATAAGCGTCTAATCTATGGGTTCAAGTCCCTGTTTGGGGCTAATAAATCACCTGCAAATTTCAGTCCCACTTCTCACATGGGCTTTATCCTTTGCTTCCTCCTCACCTGCTCACTCAGTTCTCAGACTCTCAACTAAATGATGCGAAGTGGAAGGTTGAATAGGAAAGGCCTACGCTAGTTCTCCTCAGTTGTCTTATTGTTTAATCCAAATATTTAACACATTTTCAAGCCTCTAAGATCAGTTTTTCACAATTTATTCACCGGACCATGAAGTAAATTCAATGTATATGAGGATTTGTTTTTTGATAACACTCTATTTCCATTGCCAATTGCTGTAGTATTCATGGAACATTACAGAAGCAGCTACAACAGATAGATCCTGAATTTTCAATTGATTAATATTATAAAGGCTAAATTCTTGCTCACATCACATTCAAATGGGACTGGGAAGCTCCTCAGGGCTGCTCTCCATGCAGTGACTCAGGGATCAAGGCCACTTCCAACCTTGGTCACACCATCTAGAACCGAGGGTCTACCATATCCTGGCGGGAAAAGTGAAATCTCGAGGATCTTATGAGTTATTTAAAAAACTATCCCTGAAAGTGACTTATGCTACTTCCCTCTATAAACTTTTGGCCAGAATTAGTCACAGGACTTTAACTAGATGCACGAGGCCTGGGAAATGAGGACAAACATTCTCCACTACAGGTTGTGCACTAAAATAGTCAATGACCACCAAGCCTGAAAAGAACATTGACTTTATATGGAGAAGTTCATTTAAACAAATAGATGGCTTAAAAATATTTTCTAACTTTACAATTTTACCTTTTCACTCACCTTTCTATTCTAGTTATCATGCAATTTTACTGAAAGCCAGTAAAACAATTGATAATTTTAGGAATAATCTAAATTTACAGTTATTCATAGATTATTAAACTATTTTTATGTATCGTGTATATTAATGCAAAGCATTTAATTATGTCTAATGCATTCCTTATAATTTCTTCTTATTTTTAATATTACAGCCCTAGTATGAATAATTGTCAGAAACATAAAGCAGAAAACTCTTAAAAAGTCTGTTTATTTGATCAATATGTTCAAGGATTTATAAATGAGAATAGAATCATTTCATTCTATAACATGATTAGTAAGAGTTGAAAAAATTGGCATGATTAACATACATTTTTGAGCAAATAGTTAATTATTTAAACCAAATTATCAGAGACCAATTTGCTATCAATGCAATTGCAGAGATCAAATTGGTTTCAGAGCACAGAGCTTTCAGCCTCTAAATCGAGAGTGTGACCTTCATGCTTCCTGTGTTGCATCGACTCTGAAATACCAAAACCCAGTTTGCATGTGATTTTAAAGTTATACCACATTTATAATTATAGAGCATAATTGTGAGATTAACTTGATGTTTTATCTGGTACGCATTCACTCTCTTTTCCTCCCCCTCATGTAGTGTTTCTTCTGCTTGTTCAACCTGAAATTGTCAATTTAGTTCCTCACTGCTTTGTCTTTGGGGTGCATCTGTGTTGTACTTTCCTATTTGTGAGTTTCTGTCTAGGTCCCTCAATGGGAACATTCACGTTAAATCCTGTTCATAGTTCTTCAGCCTCAAGAGCACATCCATATGACTTAATCTGTGCATGTATTGTGTATGTATATATATATTTACATATGCATCCAGGTAAACATATTCAAGAAATATGATGTAAATTGAAGATGAAGAGATTAATAAGTATTTTTATTCTTATGTGTTTTTGCTTTTATATTTATTAGGGATGCTAATATTTTATGGCCACAGATGATGGATAGTGGCAGGATTGTGAGAGGAGGCAAAAATAATTTGGACATAGAATGAGTGATGTATCATATAAGTGGCAGAAACTGATATCCTTGGCTACCTTATTAAGATTAGATTGAGGGAAATGGTTGATAGGGATCAGAACTTAATTTAAATGCAGAAAAGCAAGAAGAAATTTACATAAAAGCTAAACCCTCCAACAGTGAATCTAAAAATGTATAAAACTGAAGAGACCCACGTTTCTCATTTGGGTGCTCATTGCTTTCATATTTTGCAGAGAAAGGGGGAAGCAAAAAGTTGAGAAAGAAGCATTTCACTTAGCTATTTTTTCCACCTAATCAACTTCTGTTGTCAAGCTATATCTTAATTATTTGGTGGCCTGAACCATCTCTAATTTCTCCTCACTAAAGTCAACAAGAATGAATTATAGTTTTGATGTAATTACTAAAATTCATGCAATTTTATCCTGTACCTTTATATGACCTAAATTACATAACGTCAAAAGGGATTTGATAAAAATTTCACTTCATGGTAAGTGTGTATTTACTATTATATCTATGTCATACATTCGAACAAATACATTAGAATGGGACATTTGGAACAGGCTAAATTTCAGGAAGTCAGATTGAATGATGTTAAGAGAGAATATAAATCAGCTGGATATCACAGCACCTGAACACATGATCCTGTGTTTGAAAGGTAGCCTTTTTCTAAGGTCCCATTTTTATTGATCCTGATAGCTTTTGTGTTATATCCATTAATTCCATCAAATGAAGGAGGAAGATTAGGGTCATAAAAAAGGAAGTAGTACCCAGTCCATTTGTCTAGGTTGGCAGTAGAGCCAAAAAGGAGAAACAAGCCAGAGAAAAGTTGAACTGAGTCTAAGCTTTGTATGAGCAAACCCTTAAGTGCTCTTTCTCTATACACAGAAGAGGCTACACCTGCTTCCTAAAACAACAACAACAAATAATACCCATAAATAACATACAGTTCCTAGGATCATTGTTTAGGTATCAAAGAGTGACCTCCAAGTTTTATATGCTACCCACGTTAAATAAATATTCCTTAGCAGACTTAGCAAGATGGTAAACACCTTTAATCAAGTGACTTTTATTAGTTACCGTGAATGACCCACCATTAAAGGAAGAAAAAAAAGAAACGAGACCCTAAAACAGAGTAATTTAAATAAGCTTATTCCTCTAACATGGTAGTCTAGTTCATTAAAGATGACTGGTCACTTTTTCTTCATAAAGTTTACAAAGTCCCAAGTTCTTTCCACCTTGCTGCTGCAACAGTCTCTAGATCGTTGTATTCCACAGTGTGGCAAAAATTGACTGATTGCTGCATCTGCATTTTAGATCATGGGAAGGGGCAAAAATGTTAAGGTCCAAGAACAGAGGCTTTTAAGTTGGAAATGGCTGAAAGGATGCTCATGTCCTAACTTATGCACCTTTATTGTTCCAAATCTAGTTGCATTGTCCTAAGTAGATGCAAGGTAAGCGGGAAAATATAGTTACGTGTATTAGAAAACTGAGAACACAGCTTCTTAGGGATACTAGCCTGCTGCCACAGGACTGCATCAGGATGTGACTTCCCTAATCGAACCTCTTCCATCTTTTCTAAATGCCTATCCCTTTATGAGACAAGCATTCCGCGCTAATGGCCTTGCTTTAATGGATTAACTCACAACTAACTATGGGTCAAATAGTTCCTATCTGCCCATGTGTGTCCACTACCTGGAAGTCAGTAAGAGCTTTGATTTCTCTTTTCTTATCAAATCCAATAAATCTACAAAATAACTGCATAAGCTTGTAGCCGCAAACTGACCACATTCCTCATAAAGTAAGAGTTTGCCTTGCTATCCAACAATGGGCATGTAATAATATCAGGACCAAGGAGGATGTGGGTTTGAAAGTTGATTACAAATTTCCAGACTTTAGACACTGAGCTGTATTTCAAAATTCACAGTGTAATTGACTTAAAATCAGAACTCTTCAGTAAAATAATAAACTAAGTGTTTAAAAAGATTAATGACAAATAAAAACCCTAAAACTACTCATGCAGCAAGTCGAACAGCTCAATCAGTAGGAAAATCTTGTCAGACACTTTGATGTGATCATTTTTACCAAAAATATCTCTGTAAATTGCCATGTGATTAAACCAGAATCATTTATTTACAAATTCTAATTTTTAAGACATCAAGCATATGTTTTCCAGTCTATTTAATTTTCCTAAGTACTCTCTTGGACATTTTGATATTAACAAGACTTTCTTTCATCATATCTTACAGCCTTGAATAATTTGGCCATAGTAAAAATGATTAATGAGCCCAAATGGAGATTGTGTGCATGTGTTGTATATGAGTACTACCTATACAGGAGCTGTTCTTTACCCAGGATAAAGGTTTCCCCAAAGAACAGAGAGATTTTCTGCAGAGGTTACTTGAAAAGTCAAAGCAGCATTAGTGACCCTCTATCAAATTCTGCACAAGGATATACAGTTTATTAAGTATTGTATGAAAAATACCTCCACCAGTCCCTCAATACTCACATATGTCTTCTCAGCTGTCAGAAAAGTCTCTTGATTGCTTACCAGTCTTTTTCTTATAGTCCCGGGGTAACCACAACAAAAAAATGATAAAATACTTGTGTCAGATACCTAAGCCAGCTCTGTCTTACAGCCTTGCATCCAAGTCAAGCCTATAAATCCTCTCTCCATAAACATCTCTAATTTGGCTTCTTCTTCCATGGGCCCACTCTCTCACCCAGCTGATGAGTCAGTCAACAATGCCAGGGAAATTATAGCTTTGAAACAGATAAGGAAGGGCAGCACTGTCATTTATCCCCCATAGAGTCTCACCTGTCCAAGTGCTTTCTGATTGCTGGCTGGTCCAGAGGAAACTCAAGGTAGAAGTAGGGAAATATCATGTGGGAGGAAAGACATAGTCAGGGCAGAGAAACAGGCAGGTCACTATAGGCATGACACCACTGATTCTTCTTTACTTGATTTGCTTGTCAAGGTTGCTTTAGGTTTAGAGTTGGGTTAATAACATAACCACAGAAATTTAGTTGGGACAAACAGTAGGCAGCTTGACAGTAAAAAAGTTTCCTTTAATAAGTCATATTCTGTTATTTATTTTGGCCAATAATGTCTATCTATAAGATATGGACAGATAGACAAGAGTATCTTTAATGCTGTCATGCCAAGTATTTCAATTATTTTCTCCTTTTAGCCACATGGTACAATTGCACTCCTTTTGAAGTTAGTAAGCCAAACTTGACTTGCTTTGAGTGATGAGACAAAAGAAGCCAAGGTATAGACTGTTCTGGTACCCACAGTTTAAAAGAACCACTGTCCATGCTCCCCAGAAGGCTTTATTCCTTCCCCATTCAGTTTCCATAAACAAAGGGGAAACTGAACCCTTTCCTCATAAATCCCTAGTAGAGACATGCACCAGCCTGAATGATTTCCTTATTTATTCCCAATGCCAACCCGTGCTCCTCCCCTCATCTCTGGGGTATTACATAATCAGTGACTCAAAGAACAATTCAGTTGGATTTAAAACAAGCTGTCTTGATAAAAGTGAAAGGTGTTGACCTAAGCCAAAGTTGTTTTTTGTTTGTTTGTTTTCGTTTTTGAGATGGAGTCTGTCTCTGTCACACAGGCTGGGGTGCAGTGGTGCAATCTCAGCTCACTGCACCCTCCACCTCCCAGGTTCCAGCAACTCTCCTGCTTCAGCCTCCCGAGTAGGTGGGATTACAAGCACACACCATCATGCTCAACTAATGTTCGTATTTTTAGTGGACACGGGGTTTCACCATGTTGGCCAGGCTGGTCTTGAACTCCTAACCTCAAGTGATCCACCTGCCTTGGTCTCCCAAAGTGCTGGGAGTACAGGCATGAGCCACTGTGCCTGGCCTAAGCCAAAGTTTCAAATGGTGCACATTCCCTAATAATGGTGCCCTGTGAATTAGTGTGTGATTATATGCAAACAGATGATCATGAAATAATTATAGATAGTAGGCAATAAATGGCACAAACAGACAATATTGTAAGAAATCAGGAATCAAGGGGGATTTAAGTGCTCACAGAAATGGCCTATGAACAAATAGTCTGTGAGTTTTTGAATGTGACTGCCATTGTAAAGAATTGCAAAATGTCTTTTAGCATGCCTCTAACGTGGTAACCATGTTGTTTATTTTATTTTATTTTATTTTATTTTTTTATCCTTATTTTATTTATTTATATAAGAAAGAGCTGGCGGGGCATGGTGGATCACACCTGTAATCCCAGCACTTTGGGAGGCTGAGACAGGTAGATCACCTGAGGTCAGGAGTGCAAGACCAGCCTGGCCAACACAATGAAATCCTGTCTCTACTAAAAATGCAAAAATTAACTGGGCATGGTGGTGAGCCCCTGTAATCCCAGCTCCTTGGAGGCTGAGACGGGAGAATTGTTTGAACCTGCAAGGCGGAGGCTGCAATGAGCCGAGTTTGCGCTACTGCAATCCAGCCTGGACATTAGAGTGAGACCTTGTCTTAAAAAAAAAGAAAAAAGAAAAAAAAAGCTGACAAGATGTTTACTAGGTTTTCTAACCCTGAGATCAACTATAGCTAATTAGGCTGGAGAGATCAAGAATATCTTCAGAGATGAAGGGCATCTACTTGCTTCTTGAATGATAGAAAGGCTGATTCGGGCAATCCTGTTGCAGAATAAGTAAAATTGTAGAAGTTGGGAAGCACAAAAAAAATTAGCGATGAAATTGATGATAGGTAGCACTGATTGAGTGCTTACTGCTTGTAAACAATAAAGGGACAGTTTTACATGGATAAAATCACTTAAGTTTCTCAATCTGGTGACGTAGGTTCTTTACCCTCATTTTATAGCTGTGAAAACTGAGACAAAATGAGGTTAAGTAACTTGTCCAAAGTTGAAGGTGTAACTGAAATTTCCCGCTTACCTACTCTGCTCTATTTCCTTTGACAAACTGAACTGAAGGGAAGGTCATTATAAGGGACACTGTAGAAGTAAGAATGGAAAGCTAGAGCGAGGCCAGCTGCTGGGGGAGCCACACATGCCAGGCTAAGCAGTTCGCGCAAAATCGAAAGATATTAAATCTGCTTTCAGGATTCTTATATTTTTGTTGAGAGAGGTAAACATTAGCAAAGACTAAAATGACAGTGTGTAGCAAGAGATATATTGCACACAAGCATAGCTAAACACCTAGCACAGACAATGCAAGTGCAGGTCATTTAACTTGAGCTTGAATTAAAAATAAAGGGACATCTTAACCTAGCCTTAGAAGATCTTACATTTTGAAATTTTGAATACATTATTCTATACAATAAATTGATTACAAAGGTGTGGGGAAGCTTCTTTAAATTTCTCTGTTTAAAGAAGCTATAGAATCTTCACTTTAGCAGCATTTAGATGTTATTGTGTCAGTATCCACTGGTATAAAGCTGGTTTAGCTAGGATGTATTAAATTGGAGTTTCACCCCTACCTAACTGGATTATCCCATTTCTGATCTTAAATGTTTCAGTCTATTTATTGGAAGAACTGTGTTTTATATCTAGCTGAAGAAAAACATAATTACACGCTATAGCAAATATGCAACCCTGTTTCCTGGTTGTTCAAATTTTCTGACCTTAAATACAAGAAAACTCTGTGGATTACCGAACAGAATATTCTTCTCGGCATTAGTAGTAGCATTCCATATAACCTACTAAAGATAACCTTTTATTGCATTTCTCATAAGGAGATTAGAGGGGATGGTGAACCATCTTCCTATAGCTTTTCTCTCTACTCTAAAAGCATACATTGCATCCCTGTGGAGATAGAAGAAAGGAAGACCCTCCAACCTTTGTTCCCTTTTGGTCATTTTGTTTTAGGGCAATCTCCTCTCACATCTGCATGCAACTGATCATGTGTGACTTATTCTTGCTGGAAGTTTGTGACTAGTTCTCATATTGAGCTGCAAATGGCTCCTCTCTGCAGGACTACTCACTGACAGCCCTCTTGTGATAGGGAATGAGATTGTTTTTCCCCTCTGTGGGTTTTTGTTGTACTTGTTATCGTTGGCTTTTTTCCCCCCAGTGGCATCTTGAACAAAAAAATAAAAAAACAACATTCAACCTCTAACTTATTGAATTTTGGAAACTCAAAATAGTATGGTGAGAAGATTTGTAATTATACCTATCTCTCAGGGCATAATGACTTAATTAATATACCCTTCATGAGATTTTGCTCTGTGGGAAGCACACAGCTGCACTGGCTGATGGAAATTAAGGTATCGTGAAGTGCAGAACTTGAGTGTTTTGATTGTTTGTGAGTTTTAAATGTTTAATAGAGATTTTTTCTTCCTTTTGGTTTAATTTGTGCACAGAAATCAGCTCCTCCCCTTCATCAGACTGTAGATGATAAATGGTGAGGAGGACAAATGTATGGAAAGTTGAAGCTGTTCAAGTTGCTAATGACAAAATCAATCATAGCTAGATATCCATGGCTCAAGGCTATTTCAAAACATTTATGCTATTTGTTTTATTTTGCACAATTATTCAACCTAAGAGTCTTCCCAAGATGGTTTGGAATTAGATTTTTATTTTCACTCTCACCACCTGCCTGGATTCTTTAGAGATCTCATATTTCTCTGTTTTTTCAGTTTTTGAGAACTCATGTAAGTTTATGCCTTCTTCCTTTTAAAAATAAAAGTGACTTGGCCAGGAGCTGGGGCTCACGCCTGTAATCCCAGCACTTTGGGAGGCCGAGGCAGGAGGATCATGAGGTCAAGCGATCAAGACCATCCTGTCGAACATGGTGAAACCTCGTCTCTACTAGAAGTACAAAAAAAAAAAAAATTATCTGGGTGTGGTCAAGCGCGCCTGTAGTCCCAGCTACTCGGGAGGCTGAGGCAGGAGAATCACTTGAACCTGGGAGGTGGAGGTTGCAGTGAGCCCAGATCATGCTGCTGCACACCATCCTGATGACAGAGTCAGTCTCCGTCAAAAAAAAAAAAAAAGTGATTTTATCATATTATACTTGAAAGTTCTTTTTGCTTATGAGAAGCGATAACTGCCCTCTTTGATCCCTTTGCACTCCCTCCCAGGAAAGCTCAAAAGTCAATGATAATTTCGAGATCCTCAAGCACTTCCAATGGAGGGAAACTGTGTTGAAGCAGTCCTGCCTCGGCTAAGGCAGCATGGGCATGTTCCATATTCTAGAACTCTTTCTCTCTTTTTCTGTCTTTCTCATGCTTGTGCTCTCTTTCTCTCCCTTTTTCATACAAACTTTTAGAAAGAATAAACTGATATATGTATGAGTGATTTTGACTATTAGGTAAAATTCATGTGTTGTGAACCTGGGTAACAAGAAACCAGGAAAAGCCCAATCTAGTAAAACAAAAAGAAGACTGATGAAATCAAAGGCCATTTAAACCAAAGGTCAGGTCAAGAGAAGTTAACAAACACAGTAAAGAAGAGGCTAAAAACAGAATTTTGTTGGCTTCTTGATGGTTGTTGTCATGGTGGATTTTTATAAGCCAAAGAAGGTCAAAAAATTCTGTTATTTCACTTTTATTATTTTGTCAACCAAGTGAATGACTGTGAACCTGTAGAACAAAATGGGCAAAAATGAAATCTAACCCAGCTTCATAAGGACCAGGAAGAGACACTTTCAGTGATTTAAATCTTAGGGTTCAGAAAACAATACCCCAAAATGGAGGCCTTAGAAGCAGTCTCAGAAGCAAAAGTTTTTCCCTGACCTTCTCCTGTCCAGTCGCCCAGTCCCATTCTCCCCCTAGACTAGCCATAAAAATTAGAATCTTTCTTTCCCAAGACAAGCCGTAGAAATCATTACCCCTTTCCCGAAAGCCAGCCATAAGACCTAGAAATATTCCTCTAATTTTATCTCCATCTTTCTGAATAAAAACTCACTGAGAAGAAATTATTTGACATACCTTGTTTGACTGTAGATCATAAGACCCTTATTCCCCCTATTCCAGAGAGGGCCCTGACCCACACCAAGAGAAAGGAATGCATGCTCAGACAGGCTAAAAAGAATCTAGACAGACAGGCCTTACTGGGTTTCCCCACTCAGTCCACTAGCATTAAATCATACCCATTTTGTTGAATCATGTTTCTACATAGCTGTACATGTTTTGTTGAACCTAAGCACAAAAAAGACAATTTCCTCTGTATCTTTGTGTTTTCATTCTAAAGGCCCCCATGTACACACAGTAAATAAATTTTTATGCCTTGTTTCCAATTAATCTTCATTTTGCATGTTGCTTTTTCAGTGAATCTTCAGAGGAAAAAGAGGAACTCAGCCCTTGGCACTACATAAACAATGTAATGTCAAAAATCTGTAGGAATCATATACAAAAGTCCAAAACAAAAACTACAGATACACCTAAGATTTTTCTGAAACATCTTTGGCCACTAGAGAGGCTCCAAGCATCTGAATATTCATCCACTGAGTCATAAAGTTTACAAAAGAATAAATGTAAAGTCTGAGAATTAGCAAGTAATAAGTTTGACATTGAGATGAAGCATACACTTAGGACCCAGAAGGCTGGTGCTGGATTCCCAACTCTTACCAGCCGTGTGAATGGGGACACAGTGAACTGTGAACTCTCTGGTGGCACAGAGGACTTGCCTAAATGCTGTGCTAAGAGGACTGACCAAACTTTACCCTGGCATCCCCCTACAATATGTCATGTTCCTAAAGGTATGCACAGCCCCCAGACTGAGTCTTTCTTCAATAAAATGCAATGCTGGCCACTGAAAAATATATTTTGTCCAAACCATTTGCCAAATGTCTTCCAGTAGTTTTTGACTGATGCCCTCTCCTATAAGTTTCCATTTCCCCTAGCCTTCTTCTTGTTCTCTTTAGCTCTCAAACTCCAATTTGTTTGTTTTTTTATCACTTCCCCATAGCCTCTTTATGGTCCCTCCTTGTTATTTCTTTAAAAATTTAAATAATCTTTCTCTTAGTTGGAGTTAAGCTTAGTTTATACTGAAGTCTCTCTCTCTATTGCAGTAGTCTGAATAAAATCTATCTTGTCACCTTTACCAAGTGTTCATTGCTTTTTTTCTTGGACAGCTTTCTTTTATGCCTCAGTTTTTTGGTCTCTAAAATGGGGGTACTTACAATACCTTCTCTCAGGTTTGTCATGAAAATTAAATGGATAAATATTTGTAATGTACCATATGTGTTTATTGAATAAATACAGCACATTTATTGAATAAACACATATGACACATTAATTTTAAAATTTAATTTAAAAAATTAATTTAAAACAATTTCAGCAAATTTATAGTAACCCTAACAATATAGACATTTAAGCTTTACAATGATTTTTCTGTAAAGATGTCCCCACTCCAGGTCCTAGACAACATTTCTGGACACACACTGGGCCAAAAGAGAACCCACTGCCTTGAAGGGAATGACCCAGTCCTGGCAAGATTCATCAGCTGCTGACTAAATGGCACTCGGGCCCTGGATAACCAGCAATGAAACCCACGGAGTGTGCTATGGGCCTTGGGCTTCGAGACACACTAGCTTCAGGTGTGACTGAACATTGGTTTGTAGTGATCTTCTGGCTCCAGTCTACTACCCCACTGTCACAACTCAAGGTCAAGTGTATTAACCATTCCTTTCAAATGCCCACTCTGATTTCCACCTGTGGTGTTCATTTCTGCTCCTCTGTGACATGACAGAATCATGTGCAGTTTTTGTGGTCTTGCTTATGTATCTTTCTCTGTAAAATCTTGCATTCCTTTTCTCTACGGGACCAAACACTTTGATTATACCTCTGCCATAAAACTCAGTACAGTGTCCATGTACCTTTCCTCTTTGATGTCCTTGTATTTCAAGAGCATTTAAATTTTTGCTGTCCAGTTTATAAAGTGTGTGTATACACATGATATTATTCAATTCTTACAATTCCATGACATATTTTTGTTTTATTTCCAATTTAATATATACAGAAACAAAGTCTTGAATAGTAAATAATTGAATAAGTTCAATTTACTTGACAATGGTGAGAGCAAGACTTGTTCCCAGTTATTCTGTTCAATAGAAATCTAGCTTTACTACTTTTTAGATGAGGCCTTATGGGCCAACTAATGAATTGTTTGGAGCCTATGTAAAATGGGATTGGCCAGGCACGGTGGCTCATGCCTGTAATCCCAGCACTTTGGGAGGCTGAGGCAGGTGGAACACCTGAGGTCAGGAGTTTAACACCAGCCTGGCCAACATGGTGAAACCCCATCTCTACTAAAAATACACACACACACACACACAAATTAGCTGGGCATAGTGGTGGGCGTCTGTAATCCTAGCTACTCATGAGGCTGAGGCAGGAGAATCGCTTGAACCTGGAAGGCTGAGTTTACAGTGAGCTGAGACCGTGCCATTGCACTCCAGCCTAGGCAACAAGAGTGAAATTCTGCCTCAAAAAAAATGGGATTATGATATGCACTTCAGAAGGCTATTGTGACACCCCCAAACCATGGCATATATTAAATATATTAAAGAGATTTTGCTTCATAGAAGACTATTAACAAGTGCTTTCACCCTTCTTTTGGTCAGCAAAACTGATAGTGTCTTAAAGTCTCTACTAAAATAGCCTTTCAGAAGCAGCACGAAATTCAAGTTAGAGGAAACAAAAAGAGGTTGCTAATTTCAATTAGAAATTGCCAATGTAGATACTGTATAACACATAGATTGGACATGCTTTCTTTAACCAAAGCATGGAGTTTTGTGATGCACTGAGTCATACAGTCATGAGATCCTTGAGTTTTCTCCTTTTCACTTTTTAAGAAAGAAAAAGTCCAGGCCTGAATGAGACTGCCTAACTATTTTACTAAATAATCAGAAAGGCTTGGAATTATTCAGAGGGTGGTGCAAGATGACAGATTAGAGGCCTACACTGTTTGTTCCCCCACTGGAACACCAAATTTTAACAACTATCTGTACAGAGAAAAGCGCCATCACAAAAAAGAAAAAATCAGGTGAGCAATCAAAGTACCTGATTTTCAACTTAATATTATGAAAAGAGGCATTGAGGAGGGCAAGAAAGACAGTCTTGAACTACTGATGTCACCCTTACCCATTTCCCTGTAGCAGCCATGCAGCAGGAGAACCTGTGTACTTTGGGGAGGGACAGCACAACAACTGGGAGACTTTACATTGAACTCAGTGCTGCCTTGTCAGAGCAGAGAAAAAAATGCTGTGCTGGGATCAGTCAGAGACCTTGAACTTGGAGGAAGTGTTTGGACTAGCCCTATAATGACAGGAATTGCCCCTCCCAGAATTCAGAGCTTGAATTTTTTGGTAAAACTTGCCACTGCAGGCCAAAGTGCTCTGGGGTCCTATTAGGTAAACTTGAAAGGCAGTCTGGGACACAAAGACTGGAATTCCTAGCCAACTCCTAGTGCTAGGCTAGGCTTAGAGCCAGTGAACTAGGGTGGCATATGGTGTAAGGAGATACTAGCTGGCATGGCAAAGAGAGGACTAGTGCCATCTCTCCCCCAAACTCAGGCAGTGAAGCTTTTAGCAATGAAAGTGACTCCTCACTTCTGCTTAAGAAGAGGAGAGCAAAGAGTAAAGAAGACTTTGTCTTGCATCTTGGGTATCAACTCAGCCACAATAGGACAGGGCACTGAGAAGAGCCATAAGGCCCCCATTCCAGGCCCTAGACAACATTTCTGGACACACACTGGGCCAAAAGAGAACCCATTGCCTTGAAGGGAAGGACCCAGTCCTGGCAAGATTCATCAGCTGCTGACTAAATGGCACTCAGGCCCTGGATAACCAGGAGTGATACCCAGGGAGTGTGCTATGGGCCTTGGGCTTTGAGACACACTAGCTTCAGGTGTGACTGCACATTCCCAGCTGCAGTGGCTATGGTGAAAGACTTTTTCCTGTTTGAGAAAAGCAGAGGGAAAAGTCAAATGGACTTTGTTTTCTACCCTAGGTACCAGTTCGATCATGGTGGGTTAGAGCAACAAGTAGGCCCTTGAGGTCCTCAAGCAAGTACAGACCTAGGTCCTTGGATAGCATTTCTGGACCTGCCCTTGGCCAGAGTAGAGCACATTGCCCTGAAGGGTGAGTCCCAGGCCTGGCAGCGTTCACCACAAACTGACAGAAGAGCTTTTGGTCTTTAAACAAACATCAGCAGTGGCCTGGCAGAACCCTCTGTGGATTGGTGGTGATGGTGGCCACTAGCAGAGAGGCTCCTCTGCCTGTGCAAAGGGGAATGAAAGTGGGAAGGACTTTGTATTCAGATAGGAGTGCCAGTTTAGCCATAGTGGAACAGAATATCAGGTATATTGCTAAGATTTTTTACTCCAATCTCTGCAACTCAAACAGTATCTCTGGATATGCTTGGATCCTGGGGGAACTTGCCATCTTAAAGAAAAGGATCTTGGGCAAGACCCAGTGTTGTGCTGGTTTCAGGTCTCACACAGCACAGTCCCAGTTGTGATTGCCACAGTGGTGCTTACATCATCACATTTCCAGTTCCAGATGGCCCAGTAAAGAGAAAGCCTCCATATGGTTAGGAGAAAGTAAGGGAAAAGAACAAAAATTTCTGCCTGGTAATACAGAGAAATCTTCCCAATCTTATCTAAGACCAGCAAGCTGGCAAATCTATGAGTCTGCAGAAATTGCAGCATTATTGATTTTGGGGTCCAAGTTCCCTCAAACACTTGGAAAGTCTTCCCAAGAAGAAAAGGCATAAACAAAGCAAAACTGTGAAGTCTAAAATAAATAACCAACTCTTCAATGAGCAGACACTGAGGAACATCTATCAGCATCAACATCTTCCAGGGAAACATGGACTTACCAAATAAACTAAATAAGGCACCAGAAACTAATCCTGGAGAAACAGAGATATATGGATTTTCAGAGAGAGAATTCAAAATAGTTGTTTCAATGAAACGCAGAGAAATTGAAGATAACACAGAGAAGGAATTCAGAATTCTATTAGACAAATTTAACAAAAATATTGAAATAATTAAAAAGAATCAAGCAGAAATTCTAGATCTGAAAAATGCAACTGATGTGCTAAAGAATGCATCACAGTCTCTTGATAGCATAATTGATCACACAGAAGAAAATTAGTGGTTGTGAAGATAGGCAATTTGAAAAACCACAGTTGGAAGAGACAAAAGAAAAAAAGAATAAAAACAATGTGAGAGGCCGAGGTGGGCAGATCATGAGGTCAGGAGTTTGAGACCAGCCTGGCCAAATTCTCTACTAATAATACAAATATTAGCTGGGCGTGGTGGCTGGCACCTGTAATCCCAGCTACTCGGGAGGCTGAGGCAGGAGAATTGTTTGAACCTAGGAGGTGGAATTTGCAGTGAGCCAAGATTGCGCCATTGCACTCCATCCTGGGAGACAGGGCAAGATTCCATCTCAAAACAAACAAACAGAAAACAAAAACAATGAAGCACTACCTAGAGATCTAGAAAACAGCCTTAAATGCGCAAGTCTAAGAGTTATTGGTCTTAAAGAGGAGGTAGAGAGATAGGAGTAGAAAATGTATTCAAAAAGATAATATCAGATAACTTCCTAAACCTAAAGAATGATATCAACATTCAAGTAAAAGGAGGTAGGACACCAAGATTTAATCCAAGGAAGACTACCTCAAGATATTTAATAATCAGAATTCAAAAGGTGAAGGATAAAGAAAGAATCCTAGAAGTAGAAAGAGAAAAGAAACAAATAACACACAATGGCATTCCAATATATCTGGCAAAAGACTTTTCAATGGAAACATTACAGGCAAGAAGCGAGTGGCATGACCTATTTAAAGTGCTTAAATAAGAGATTAAAAAACCTCTTATCTTAGCATAGTATATCTGATGAAAATAGCCTTCAAACATGATGTAAAAATAAAGACTTTTTCAGACAAAGAAAAGCTGAGGGATTTAATCAACACCAGACCTGTCCTTTTGACTTTTCAGACAAAGAAATGCTAAAGGGAGTCATTCAATCTAAATGAAAAAGACATTAATGAGCAAGAAGAAATCAACTGGATGTACAAAACTCATTGATAATAGTAAACACACTGAATAACACAGAATACTATAACACTGTGATTGTGGTGTGTAAGCTTCCCTTGACTTAGATAAAAAGACTAAATAATAAACCAATAAAAAATAATAACCACAACTCTTCTAGACACAAGCAGTACAATAAAACATAAAAAGAAACAACAAAAAGTTAAAAAATGGGAGGATGAAATTAGTGGGTAGGGTTTTTATTAGTTATTTTTTAATGTTTATTATGCAATCAGTGTTAAGTTTTCATCAGTTTAAAGTAATGGGCTATAAGATAGTGTTTGCACACCTCATGGTAACTTCAAATCAAAAAACGTTGAACAGATAAAGAAAACTAATACAAAAGAAATTAAACCATACCACCAGAGAAAATCATCTTCACTAAACAGAAGTTAAGAAGGAAGGAAAGAAGGAAGAGAAAATCACAAGACAACCAGAAAGCAAATAACAAAAGGGCAGGAGTCAGTCCTTACTTATCAGTAATAACATTAAATGTAAATGGACTAAACCCTTCAATCAAAAGTCATAGAGTGGCTGAACGAATGAAAAAACAAGACCCAATGATTCATCGCCTGGAAGAAACATACTTCACCTATAAAGATACACATAAACTGAAAATGAAAAGGTAGAAAAAGATATTTCATGCCAATAGAGACTTAAAAAGAGCAACAGTAGCTATAATTACATCAGAGTAAATAGATTTCAACACAAAATCTATAAGAAGAGACAAAAAGGTTATTATATAATGATAAAAGGGTCATTTTAGCCATATGATATAATAATTGTAAATATATGCACCCAAACCTGGAACACTCAGGTATATAGAGCAAATATTATTAGACTTAAAGAAAGAGATAGACCAAATACAATAATAGTTGGAGACTATTTATTACATTCAGCATTGGACATATTTCCCAGACAGAAAATCAACAAAGAAACATCAGACTTAATCTACACTCTAGAACAATTATCAGGGAAACCAGCCCCCAATATTTCAATGTAGATTCTTTCTATTTTCCCTAAGTGTCAGCCAGTCTGATAAATAAAGAGAAAGAGTACAAAGAGAGAAATTTTACAGCTGGGCCTCTGGGGGTGTCATCACATATTGGTAGGACCACGAAGACAACCCCAAGCCACAAAACCAGCAAGTTTTTATTAGGGATTTTAAAACTGGAGGGGTTGTACAAACAGGGAGTAGGTCACAAGGATCACATGCTTCAAAGGGCGATAAAGATTACAAGGCAAGGCAAAATTAGAATTACTGATGAGGGTCTATGTCCTGCTGTGCATGCATTGTCTTGATAAACATCTTAACAGGAAACAGCGTTCGAGAGCAGACAACTGGTCTGACTAGAATTTACCAGGTTGGAATTTCCCAATCCTAGTAAGCCTGAGGGTACTGCAGAAGACCAGGGCATATTTCAGTCCTTATCTCAACCGCATAAGACAGACACTCCCAGAGTGGCCATAGACAGACCTACCCCCAGGAATGCATTCCTTCCCCAGGGTTACTCCTTGCTGGGAAAAGAATTCAGCGATATTTCTCCTACTCGCACGTCCATCTATAGGCTTTCTGCAGGAAGAAATATATGGCTCTATTTTGCCCGACCCCGCAGGCAGTCAGACCTTGTGGTTATCTTCCTTTGTTCCCTGAAAATCACTGTTATTCTGTTCTTTTTCAGGGTGCATTGATTTCATATTGTTCAAACACATGTTTTACAATCCATTTGTACAATAGTGGTCCTGAGGTGACGTACATTTTCAGCTTAAGAAGATAATGTGATTAAGAGAATAAAGTAAAGACAGGCATAAGAAATTACAAGAGTATTGATTGGGGAAGTGATAAATATCCATGAAATCTTCACAATTTATGTTTGGAGACTGCAGTAAAGACAGGTGTAAAAAATTATAAAAGTATTAATTTTGGGAACTGATAAATGTCCATGAAATCTTCACAATTTATGTTCTTCTGTCTTGGCTCCAGCTGGTCCCTCCGTTCGGGGTCCCTGACTTCCCGCAACAAACAATGGACCTAATATATATTTACAGAGCATTTCATTGAAAAGCTACAAAATATACATTTTTCTCCCCAGCACATGGATCATTTTCAAGAAGAAGCCATTTATTAGGTCACAAAACAAGTCTTACAACATTTTAAAAGTTGAAATATCAAGCATTTTCTCTGACCTTATGGAATAAAACTAAAAATCAATGATGAGGAATTTTGGAAAGGATATAAACATGTGGAAATTAAATAATATGCTCTTGAATGACCAGTGAGTCAATAAAAATATTAATAAGAAAATTGAAAAATTTCCTGTAATAAATGAATAATGGAAACACAACATCCCAAAACCTATGGGATCCAGTGATTGCAGTACTAAATGGGAAAGTTAAAGCTACAAGTGACTATGTCATAAATGAAAAACTTCAAATAAACAATCTAATGATGCATCTTAAAGAGCTAGAAAATCAAGAGTAAATTGATCTAAGACCTATTACCAAAAAATTAAAGATTAGAGCAGAAATGAATAAATTTGAAAAGGAGAAAAAATACAAAAGATCAATGAAGGAAAAATTTAGTTTTTTAAAAAGCTAAACAAAATTGGCAAACCTTTATCCAGTCTAAGAAAAAAAAGAGAGAATACCAAAACAAATAGAATCAAAGATAAAAAATGAGACATTAAAACTGCAGAAATCATACTGCAGAAATTGAAAGGATCATTAGTGTATGGTATGAGCAACTATATTCCAATAAGTTGGAAAAATCTAAAATAAATGGATAAATTCCTAGGCACATAAAACCTACCAAGATTAAACCATGAAGAAATTCAAAACCTGAAGAGATAAATAAAAGGTAACAATATAGAAACCACAATAAAAAGTCTTCCAGTAAGAAAAAGGCTGGAACCTGATGACTTTACTGCTGATTCTACCAAACATGTAAAGAATAAATACCAATCTTACTCAAACTCTTCCAAAAAATAGAAGAGGGAATACTACCAAACCCATTTTATGAGGCCAGTATTACCCTGATACCAAAAACAGACAAGGACACATCAAAAAAAGAAAAATACAGGTCAATATCTCTGATGAATATTGATGCAAAAATTCTCAACAAAATACTAACAAACCAAATTCAATGAGAAAGAGATAATTCCTCGTGACCAAGTGGGATTTATTCCGGGGATGCAAGGATGGTTGAACATAACCAAATCAATCAATGTGATATATCATATCAACAAAATGAAGGACAAAAACCATATGATAATTTCAATTAATGCTGAAAAAGCATTTGATAAAGCTCAACATCCCTTCATCATGAAAGCCCTCAAAAAACTGGTTATACAAAAAGCATACCTCAACATAAAAAAGCCATATAATGCAAACCCACAGCGAGTATTTTACTGAATGGGGAAGAAAATGAAAGTTTTTCCTCTTAGATTTGAAACAGAACAAGGTGGCTCACTTTCACTACTATTGTTACATTGTCATATTTCAACATAATACTGAAAATCTTAGCTACAGCAATTGGACAAGCGAAAGAAATAAAGGGCATCCAAATTGGAAATGAAGAAGTCAAATTATCCTTGTTTGAAAATGATAACTTGTATTTGTAACAACCTAAAGAAACTATCAAAAAACTACTAGACTGATAAATTCAGTAAAGTTGCAAGTTCAAAATTAACACAGAAAAACATTCAAATTGGGTTTGGTGTATACTTCCTGGGTGTTGGGTGCACCAAAACCTCACAAATCACCACCAAAGAACTTACTAATGTAACCAAATGCCACCTGTTCCCCAAAAACTTATGAAAATTTAAAAAAATAAAAAACAACATAAAAAATCAGTAGCATTTCTATATGCCAATAGTGAACAATCTGAAAAAGAAATAAAAAAGTAATCCCATTTACAAGTCACAAATAAAATACCTAGGAATTAACCAAAGAAGTGAAAGGTCTCCACAAAGAAAACTATAAAACACTGCTGAAAGAAACTGAAGAGGACACAGAAATGAAACAATATTCCATGTTCATGGATTGAAAGAATCGGTATCATTAAAATGTCTATACTGTCCGAAGCAATCTACACATTCAGTGAAATTGCTATCAAAATACCAATGACATTCTTTAAAAAAATAGAAAAAAGCAATCCTGAAATATATATGGAATCACAGAAGACCAAGACTATTAGAAGATATCCTGAAAAAAGAGAACAAAACTGGCGGATCAACATTACCTGACTTCAAATAATGCTATACAGATATAGTAACCAAAACATCATGGTACTGGCAGAAAAACAGACACATTGGGCCAATGAAATAGAATAGAAAACTCAGAAATAAATCCATACATCTAAGGTGAACTCATTCTCAACAAAATGCCAAGAATATGCATTGGGGAAAACACAGTCTCTTCAATAAATGGCCCTGGGAAAACTGGATATCCATGTACAGAAGTATGAAACTTGATCCCTATCTTGCCTTATACAAAAATCGAATCAAAATACATTAAAAATTTAAATCTAGGGCCTCAAACTATGAAACTACTACAAAAAATAATTGGAGAAACTCTCCAGGACATTGGTCTGGATAAAAATTTATTGAGTAATGCCCTGCAAGCACAGGCAACTAAAGCAAAAGGACAAATAGAATCCCATCAACTTTAAAGCTTCTGTACAGGAAAAGAAACAATTAACAAATTGAAGAGACAACCCATAGAATGAGAGAAATTATTTGCAAAATACCCATCTGATAAGGGATTAATTATCAGAATATATAAGGAGCTCAAACAACTGTGTGGGTAAAAACCTAGTAATCCTATTAAAAATGGACAAGGGATTTGAATAGACATTCCTCGAAAGACATACAAATGGAAAACAGGCATATTAAAAAGTACTCACTATCGTTGATCAGTAGAGAAATGCAAACCAAAACTGCAATGAGATGCCAAAATGACTTATATCCAAAAAGTATGCAACAACAAATCCTGGCGAGGATGTGAAGAAAAGGGAACTCTTGTTCATTATTGGTAAGACTGTAAATTAGTACAGCCCCTATGGAGAACAGTTTGGAGGTTCCTGTGAAAACTAAAGCTAATGCTACTGTATGATCCAGCAATCCCACTGCTGGTTATATATCCAAAAGAAAGGAAATGAATATATATCTGCACTTCCATGTGTGTTGCAGCACTGTTCACCATAGCCAAGATGTGGAAGCAACTAAGTGTCCATCAGCAGGTGAATGAATAAAGAAAATGTGGTACTTATACACAATGGAATATTATTCAGTCATAAAAAATAATGAGATTCTGTCATTTGCAACAACATGGATAGAATCAGAAGACTTCATGTTAAGTGAAATGAGCCAGGTACAGAAAGACAAACATTGTATGTCCTCACATATTTGAGAGACGTAAAACTGAAAACAATTGAACTAATTGACATAGAGAATAGCAGGCTGGTTACTAGAGGCTGAAAAGAGTAGTGCAGGTTCAGAGGGGAGATGGGAATGATTAATGGTTACAAATAATAACAATAATAATAATAAGTGGCTAGAAAGAACTAATAAGAACTAGTATTTAATAGTACAACAGGATGGCTACAGTCAATAATAGCTTAATTGTACATTTAAAAATAACAAAAAGAATATTATTGAATTGCTTGTAACACAAATAATAATGCTAAAGGGGATGAATACCCAATTTTCCATGATGTGATTATTAAGCCTGCATCAAAATATCTCACGTACCTCATAAATATATACACCTACTTATTTACCCACAAACTTTTTAAAAAAAATTGGTAGTGAATTCAGCAATGAGAACCAATTTTTAGAAAATAAACGTAAGGAGAAAGGATTTTAATTTAGTCCAACATATGATAATAATAGTAATTCTACCAACATTTATTTTAATGTAAAATATATTAGAGTTTATGCTATAGTTTTTTATATTTGCAAATATATTTCATCATCACAATAATGTATATAGGTAGTTACCAACCATTTTCCCCACGATAAAGTTTGTGCAACTTCCCCAATGCTAGCTAGCCAATAAGTGGCAGAATCTGAACATGGACCTAAGACTGTGCATCCAAAGAGCTTACTCTCAATGCTCTCTATAGGGAAAAACATTTTAGTACTTATGTAGAAGTTCTGTAAGAGACAGAAGATTAAAGAATTAAAACCAAAAATCATCTAGGTATTAGAGTAGGGATGCATGTAAAAATTTCTAATTTTAATCTAGATATTGCCTATACACGTCAAAAAATAAATTTAAAAGTTAAAAGAATTCAATTGATACTTTTGTAACCTCAGACACATCCAAGCCAGCCCCAGCCTACCTAGTGAACCAAGTTACAGAACCACAACAAATAAGTGAACTGTAAAACTGGTTTCTGAAATTTTGGAATCTCAATGCTCACAGAAGAGAATATATTACTAGACATCACTTGATAATTCATGTATTTTGCAAAAAATAAAAAATCAATTTTCTTCTTCTTTTCAACTCCAACTTTCTGTATTTTGCAAACATCATACATTTCTCTGCAATTTCTGTTCAAAAATATTTCAAATAATCTGGAAACCTAAACAAAGAGAATTTTGCCCATTATAGTACAATTTTGATGGGTGGTCACATATAATGGAAAATAAATTTTCTTAATATTGACCCTAGATACACTGATGAACTTGGTATTTTTGCAACCAATAAATACATATCAAATTAAAGTTAGAATAAGTGTAGAGTGAACCGTGTTTTTTATTTGTTGGATCAAAGAGGCAGAAGAGTGCAGTAGTTTCAAGCATAGCCTTTACAGTTACACAGACCTTAATCAGAAGGCTCCTCGAAGAACTCTGAAAATGAACTTGAGCATATCATTATGTCTTTGCTTCAGCAGCATCTTCATCTGTATATTTAAGGTGCTGATGGACCAATTGCAGGACCTTTCTCAAGACTGAAACAGATAACATAGTTACTATCTTTGACACTTACTACATTATAAATATATTATTATATTATGACCTGAGCATAAAATATAAAATACAAATATTCAAATTATAAGCACTAATTGATAAATGACAGCATCCTAGTTTATAGCACAAGCCACAGTCTTTCATAAAGAAGTTCATATTTGAAATGAGGAGACATATACTTCACCTCTTTTAGTTTTAAAATTTATATAAGCAATAAAGGTCAATTCATCACATGTACATAACAATTGCTCTTGTGGTACAGCACAGGTATATTGAGGAAGAAATGTAATAAAATAGGTTTTTGAACTTTAGGAATAAAGGCAAAAACTTATTTGCTATTAAAATGACCCAGTGTGGAGTTCAAGAAACTCTGGAGAATTGAGCCAACTCTGCAGATTAAATGACAAACCAGGATTCTGTTTTCTAACAGGGGATATGCCCTTGGTTTCAGTAGACTATGAATGAGTGTCCAAATGTCTGTGAGAGAAGGAATTTATAAATTGAAATAAGATATCTTGGCACAAGGCTTTGCAGATACATATTGACGAAAAAAGGATAGATGCTGGTTGGGTACCAAGACACCCTGTGAGATGGCAGTTCCCATGGTGATATCTACAATCTGCTGGACTGCAGCCCTCCAGGCTCTGGAACTTAGATTTGTCAACACCCCTGTTTGATGGGATTTTTAGATGCCAGTTCATGCTAACAAATTTCATGAGACCAATGTTTAAGACTAACATGTCAACCAAAAAATTCACAATAAACAGAAACAGAACTGCAAAACATGCCGGCATGTTGCATAAAAGACACCAAAACATTCGCTCTCTAGTGGAAGATTACATTTACAGGAAGATGAATGGTATTTGGTACTTCAATATCCGTTTAACACATTTCTTTATGTATTCAAAACCCTAAATTCCAGCTATACACATGACCATCCAGATAACAACTTTTGTGCAGCTTGACCGTATATTAAATAAACATATTATGTACAGTTGGCCATATTGTGCAGTTGGCCACATATTAAAAATCTTACCAATATTTCTATGGAAGAACTTTATAAGTAACATCTGAGGAAAGAGTTATACAATGCAATATTAGGTGGGCTAAACATGGAGTGATAGGAGAGAGAACATTCACATTCCTCTAGAGGATTTTAGTCACATAGTGAGACTGTCAAAAAAATAAATTTGAAGAATTCTGTAATCCTACCACAAGGAGCTTCAATATTAGCCCTATGCTGTTTAGTCTTGGCTGATTCGATAAAGAGAGAAATAAGCTTCTATCCTTTTAAGTTATTGATGCTTTGCCCTTTGCTACAAATAGCCAAATAAATTTCCTAACTAATAACCATATTGGCATAATTTCAAGTTCTTGAGGTGATGAACCTCTGTCCAATTCATGTAATATCTGGACCAGTTGTAAGTGCAATGGAAGTAGAGAGAAGTTTGCAGTCAATGAGTTTTTGAGGAATTAGGGAGGTATGTATAGGAAAGGTTGACAAGAGGGAGCCATGCTGAGCAAAGGACAAAGAGGAAATGAGCTTGGTATATAGTGAGAATAGTGTGGAGCCTATTACGCCTGAAGCAATAAGGCTCATTTAGCAGACACTGTCATATAAATGAGGCTGGAACACTCTAATTATTAGCTAGAACATTTTATTTACTAAAGTATTTTGCTTTTTTTCATAATTCTGAAATACTTCCAGAAAGCATGTGCAATGAAGAAATTGAGAAATTGATTACAGATACAATGAAGAAATTGAGAAATTAATTACAGATCCTTATGACCTATTTCACTTATCTGTTTCCTTATTTACTTTGCCATACATTCCTGTAGGCCCATAGAGAAATCCAGTACTGTAAAGTAAATGGAAGCTTGCATTCAGAATGGTTCATCATTAGCAGTTTCTTTTTTCAGTGAATGGAAGAGTTCAACATAAAAATAATTTTGTAAGCACACATTCAGAAGAAGTTATTTGAAGAAGCTTCTTTCTGCCATATGCACCTATACATCCAAAGAGATATCCAGCCCTGAATGGAATTTGTCTACAAAATAAATCCAGAGAGGGCATTTGGAGGCACAAAGGACAGTGACAGGAACATAGAATATAACTGCTCAGCTCCTTTAAGCTCTTAAGAGGAAAACTGTTACATAAATCCCATCAAATAAAGCATGTATATGTGAGCTTCACACTAGAAGTTTGGAAATGATTCATAATTTCAGATAGCTTCATCCTGCCAATTGTCTGAAATAAAACTCTGTTTTCCCACTGATGATTAATCATATTCAAAAATAGGAGAGCTTAAAGCAATGGGTAAAAATAGGAAGAGAAAATGAAGAACACAAGGGTCATAGATAAAAATGTAATTTTTGTAGAAAGATTAGGTAACTTTCCCTCTTGTTTTTTTTTAAGCTATTCTCTAAATCAAAGTCATCTGGGTTAGAGGGACTTTGTTTTTCTCTGTCTGTGCCTTTTTCAAGACAATACCATGTGATGTGGTTAATATATGTCCACCTTAATCTCTACTTAATCTGCTTATACACGACAGAGAATGATAAACCCAGAAAGAATCAATTCCTGAGAATCACTTCTCTTTCCCTTTGACTCATTGATTCAGGTTAGCTTCAAGATGATCTCCCAATGAAAATACTGCATGTGTTTTATAAACATAGGGTTTCCTGTATTTGACGACTATTCAAAAGTACTTGATGAAGACTAAACATTTATTGAAGAATTAGAATATTTACTTTAATCAGATGACATCGTCTTGTCTCCTTTAATCCTTGTGAGATATTTATTGCCACGTTAAGTAATTTTCTGAAGATCTTGCAGTTGGAATGTGACAGTGCTAGAATACATGCCCAATGTTCCCCAACCCTTGTAAGTCCACAGTTTAGGGGCCACATATTGCTACTTCTCTCCATCTTGAAACAAAATCTGCAGTCACCTGTAGATTAGGGATATTTACATATTACTCTTCCCTCTCTCCCTACAAAAACATACATGTTCTCTCATCAGAGGTTACAGGCTCACAGCAATGAGAGATACTGACAACCACTGGAAGGTTTTGAAGTTGAAAGATATTATCTAACCTTTAACAGGATCTTTTTGGCTGTTAGCTTGAGAGGAGACTTGAGGGATACAAGCATAGAAACAGGAAGATGTATTAAGATTCAATGTCTTATATACAGCAATAGAAACAGTAAGAACTAATAAGAATCGAGATATATTTTGAAAGTAAGTAGAATTTCCTAAAGAATTGGACTTTTGGAATGAGAGAAAGAGAGTAGTAACAAAAAAGTTCAGCATTCAGCCTGGGTAAGCGAAAGGCTGCTATGAACTGAGATGGGGAAAGCTCCAGAAGGAGCAAGTTGGTGGGTGCATGAGGGCCAATGTGAATTAGGGATTAGGTTTTGAGAATGTTCAGTTTGAGATATGATTTGCACATGCAAATGGAAACATTGCATAGGAAGGTAGGTATACAGCCTGAAGTTCATGAAAGTGGTCTAGGGTGAATATATAAATTGGAAGTTAATATATACAATAGTATTTAAAGCCACGGGGCCAAATGAGATCATTTAAGGTGTTAGTGTAGTTAAAAATTAGAAAAGAAGCAATGACTAAAATTTTAGGCCATCAATATTGGGGTATTGTGGGGGAAAAGGGAGAAGCATCAAAGGAGACAGCTGTGAGATATATTGTACAGAAAACTAAATCCAATAAAGTTTCACTTAAGAGATTTTATATTGATTGGATCCACTTTTGACAAACATGTACTCTAAATGAACTTTATTTTGTCCGTGAGATAACAACTCTATACTCAATTATTCATTATTTCAGGCAACAAGCATTAAACATCTTCTCAATGCCAGGTGTTCTACATACTGACAAAATCAAGACAAATTTTAAAAATCTCTACCTTCAAATAATTCAGTCCAAAGAAGAAAAATTGCATAACATAGGAAAAATTGCAATTAAAGTTGTCAGAGTATTATAAGAGTGATATAAACCAAGTGCTGTACTCCAGGACTTCCACCAAAAGTGCTACTCCAACTTTTGCCGGCGGCAGGTGCAAGGAGGGAGGTTATGTTTGCAAATGTAAAAATGAGAGCTTATAATCACCCTTGGTGCTCTTTTTTTTTCTTAATTTAAAAGCCCTCTCTAAAGCTCTGATGGCCCAGCAACTCCCATATTTCATATGCAGGCATTTGACTTATAAGGAACATCTAGTTAATATGGTAGAGTCCAGGAACACATCTTAACTTGTTTTTCTCCTAAAACCAAATGACCTTCAACCCCACTCAACCAACCCCTGCAGATGGACGTGGAATAATCTTAACTGACACTGAAAAATTTCCCAAGATGGCCGAATAGGAACAGCCCCGGTCTACAGCTCCCAGCCTGAGCGACGCAGAAGACGGGTGATTTCTGCATTTCCATCTGAGGTACCGGGTTCATCTCACTAGAGAGTGCCAGACAGTGGGCGCAGGTCAGTGGGTGCGTGCACTGTGCGCGAGCCGAAGCAGGGCGAGGCATTGCCTCACTTGGGAAGCGCAAGGGGTCAGGGAGTTCCCTTTCCGAGTCAAAGAAAGGGGTGACGGACGGCACCTGGAAAATTGGGTCACTCCCACCTGAATACTGCGCTTTTCCGACGGGCTTTAAAAACGGCGCACCACGAGAGTATATCCCGCACCTGGCTCGGAGGGTTCTACACCCAGGGAGTCTCGCTGATTGCTAGCACAGCAGTCTGAGATCAAACTGCAAGGCGGCAGTGAGGCTGGGGGAGGGGCGCCCGCCATTGCCCAGGCTTGATTAGGTAAACAAAGCAGCCTGGAAGCTGGAACTGGGTGGACCCCACCACAGCTCAAGGAGGCCTGCCTGCCTCTGTAGGCTCCACCTCTGGGGGCAGGGCACAGACAAACAAAAAGACAGCAATAACCTCTGCAGACTTCAATGTCCCTGTCTGACAGCTTTGAAGAGAGCAGTGGTTCTCCCAGCACGCAGCTGGAGATCTGAGAACGGGCAGACTGCCTCCTCAAGTGGGTCCCTGACCCCTGACCCCCGAGCAGCCTAACTGGGAGGCACCCCCCAGCAGGAGCACACTGACACCTCACACGGCAGGGTATTCCAACAGACCTGCAGCTGAGGGTCCTGTCTGTTAGAAGGAAAACTAACAAACAGAAAGGACATCCACACCAAAAACCCATCTGTACATCACCATCATCAAAGACCAAAAGTAAATAAAAGCACAAAGATGGGGAAAAAACAGAACAGAAAAACTGGAAACTCTAAAAAGCAGAGCGCCTCTCCTCCTCCAAAGGAACGCAGTTCCTCACCAGCAACAGAACAAAGCTGGATGGAGAATGACTTTGACGAGCTGAGAGAAGAAGGCTTCAGACGATCAAATTACTCTGAGCTACGGGAGGACATTCAAACCAAAGGCAAAGAAGTTGAAAACTTTGAAAAAAAATTAGAAGAATGTATAACTAGAATAACCAATACAGAGAAGTGCTTAAAGGAGCTGATGGAGCTGAAACCCAAGGCTCGAGAACTATGTGAAGAATGCAGAAGCCTCAGGAGCCTATGCGATCAACTGGAAGAAAGGGTATCAGCAATGGAAGATGAAATGAATGAAATGAAGCGAAAAGGGAAGTTTAGAGAAAAAAGAATAAAAAGAAATGAGCAAAGCCTCCAAGAAATATGGGACTATGTGAAAAGACCAAATCTACGTCTGATTGGTGTACCTGAAAGTGATGGGGAGAATGGAACCAAGTTGGAAAACACTCTGCAGGATATTATCCAGGAGAACTTCCCCAATCTAGCAAGGCAGGCCAACGTTCCAGATTCAGGAAATACAGAGAACGCCACAAAGATACTCCTCGAAAAGAGCAACTCCAAGACACATAATTGTCAGATTCACCAAAGTTGAAATGAAGGAAAAAATCTTAAGGGCAGCCAGAGAGAAAGGTCGGGTTACCCTCAAAGGGAAGCCCATCAGACTAACAGTGGATCTCTCAGCAGAAACCCTACAAGCCAGAAGAAAGTGGGGGCCAATATTCAACAGTCTTAAAGAAAAGAATTTTCAACCAAGAGTTTCATATCCAGCCAAACTAAGCTTCATAAGTGAAGGAGAAATAAAATACTTTACAGACAAGCAAATGCTGAGAGATTTTGTCACCACCAGTCCTGCCCTAAAAAAGCTCCTGAAGGAAGCGCTAAACATGGAAAGGAACAACCGGTACCAGCCGCTGCAAAATCATGCCAAAATGTAAAGACCATCGAGACTAGGAAGAAATTGCATCAACTAACGAGCAAAATAACCAGCTAACATCATAATGACAGGACCAAATTCACACATAACAATATTAACTTTAAATGTAAATGGACTAAATGCTCCAATTAAAAGACACAGACTGGCAAATTGGATAAAGAGTCAAGACCCATCAGTGTGCTGTATTCAGGAAACCCATCTCACGTGCAGAGACACACATAGGCTCAAAATAAAAGGATGGAGGAAGATCTACCAAGCAAATGGAAAACAAAAAAAGGCAGGGGTTGCAATCCTAGTCTCTGATAAAACAGACTTTAAACCAATAAAGATCAAAAGAGACAAAGAAGGCCATTACATAATGGTAAAGGGAACAATTCAACAAGAAGAGCTAACTATCCTAAATATATATGCACCCAATACAGGAGCACCAAGATTCATAAAGCAAGTCCTGAGTGACCTACAAAGAGACTTAGACTCCCACACATTAATAATGGGAGACTTTAACACCCCACTGTCAACATTAGACAGATCAACGAGACAGAAAGTCAAGGATACCCAGGAATTGAACTCAGCTCTGCACCAAGCGGACCTAATAGACATCTACAGAACTCTCCACCCCAAATCAACAGAATATACATTTTTTTCAGCACCACACCACACCTATTCCAAAATTGACCACATAGTTGGAAGTAAAGCTCTCCTCAGCAAATGTAAAAGAACAGAAATTATAACAGACTATCTCTCAGACCACAGTGCAATCAAACTAGAACTCAGGATTAAGAATCTCACTCAAAACCACGCAACTACATGGAAACTGAACAACCTGCTCCTGAATGACTACTGAGTACATAACGAAATGAAGGCAGAAATAAAGATGTTCTTTGAAACCAACGAGAACAAAGACACAACATACCAGAATCTCTGGGACACATTCAAAGCAGTGTGTAGAGGGAAATTTATAGCACTAAATGCCCACAAGAGAAAGCAGGAAAGATCCAAAATTGACACCCTAACATCACAATTAAAAGAACTAGAAAAGCAAGAGCAAACACATTCAAAAGCTAGCAGAAGGCAAGAAATAACTAAAATCAGAGCAGAACTGAAGGAAATAGAGACACAGAAAACCCTTCAAAAAATTAATGAATCCAGGAGCGGGTTTTTGAAAGGATCAACAAAATTGAGAGACTGCTAGCAAGACTAAGAAAGAAAAAAAGAGAGAAGAATCAAATAGACACAATAAAAAATGATAAGGGGGATATCACCACCAATACCACAGAAATACAAACTACCATCAGAGAATACTACAAACACCTCTATGCAAATAAACTAGAAAATCTAGAAGAAATGGATAAATTCCTCGACACATACACTCTCCCAAGACAAAACCAGGAAGAAATTGAATCTCTGAATAGACCAATAACATGATCTGAAATTGTGGCAATAATCAATAGCTTACGAACCAAAAAGAGTCCAGGACCAGATGGATTCACAGCCGAATTCTACCAGAGGTACAGGGAGGAACTGGTACCATTCCTTCTGAAACTATTCCAATCAACAGAAAAAGAGGGAATCCTCCCTAACTCATTTTATGAGGCCAGCATCATTCTGATACCAAAGCCAGGCAGAGACACAACCAAAAAAGAGAATTTTAGACCAATATCCTTGATGAACATTGATGCAAAAATCCTCAATAAAATACTGGCAAACCGAATCCAGCAGCACATCAAAAAGCTTATCCACCATGATCAAGTGGGCTTCATCCCTCGGATGCAAGGCTGGTTCAATATACACAAATCAATAAATGTAATCCATCATATAAACAGAGCCAAAGACAAAAACCACATGATTATCTCAATAGATGCAGAAAAAGCCTTTGACAAAATTCAACAACCCTTCATGTTAAAAACTCTCAATAAATTAGGTATTGATGGGACGTATTTCAAAATAATAAGAGCTATCTATGACAAACCCACAGCCAATATCATACTGAATGGGCAAAAACTGGAAGCATTCCCTTTGAAAACTGGCACAAGACAGGGATGCCCTCTCTCACCACTCCCATTCAACATAGTGTTGGAAGTTCTGGCCAGGGCAATTAGGCAGGAGAAGGAAATAAAGGGTATTCAATTAGGAAAAGAGGAAGTCAAATTGTCTCTGTTTGCAGATGACATGATTGTATATCTAGAAAACCCCATTGTCTCAGCCCAGAATCTCCTTAAGCTGATAAGCAACTTCAGCAAAGTCTCAGGATACAAAATCAATGTACAAAAATCACAAGCATTCTTATACACCAACAACAGACAAACAGAGAGCCAAATCATGAGTGAACTCCCATTCACAGTTGCTTCAAAGAGAATAAAATACCTAGGAATCCAACTTACAAGGGATGTGAATGACCTCTTCAAGGAGAACTACAATCCACTGCTCAAGGAAATAAAATAGGATACAAACAAATGGAAGAACATTCCATGCTCATGGGTAGGAAGAATAAATATCATGAAAATGGCCATACTGCCCAAGGTAATTTACAGATTCAATGCCATCTCCATCAAGCTACCAATGCCTTTCCTCACAGAATTGGAAAAAACTACTTTAAAGTTCATATGGAACCAAAAAAGAGCCCGCATTGCCAAGTCAATCCTAAGCCAAAAGAACAAAGCTGGAGGCATCACACTACCTGACTTCAAACTATACTACAAGGCTACAGTAACCAAAACAGCATGGTACTGGTACCAAAACAGAGATATAGATCAATGGAACAGAACAGAGCCCTCAGAAATAATGCCGCATATCTACAACTATCTGATCTTTGACAAACCTGAGAAAAACAAGCAATGAGGAAAGGATTCCCTATTTAATAAATGGTGCTGGGAAAATTGGCTAGCCATATGTAGAAAGCTGAAACTGGATCCCTTCCTTACACCTTATACAAAAATCAATTCAAGATGGATTAAAGACTTAAACGTTAGACCTAAAACCATAAAAACCCTAGAAGAAAACCTAGGCCTTACCATTCAGGACATAGGCATGGGCAAGGACTTCATGTCTAAAACACCAAAAGCAATGGCAACAAAAGACAAAATTGACAAATGGGATCTAATTAAACTAAAGAGCTTCTGCACAGCAAAAGAAACTACCATCAGAGTGAACAGGCAACCTACAAAATGGGAGAAAATTTTCACAACCTACTCATCTGACAAAGGGCTAATATCCAGAATCTACAATGAACTCCAAAAAATTTACAAGAAAAAAACAAAGAACCCCATCAAAAAGTGGGCGAAGGACATGAACAGACACTTCTCAAAAGAAGACATTTATGCAGCCAAAAAACACATGAAAAAATGCTCATCATCACTGGCCATCAGAGAAATGCAAATCAAAACCACAATGAGATACCATCTCACACCAGTTAGAATGGCAATCATTAAAAAGTGAGGAAACAACAGGTGTTGGAGAGGATGTGGAGAAATAGGAACACTTTTACACTGTTGGTGGGACTGTAAACTAGTTCAACCATTGTGGAAGTCAGTGTGGTGATTCCTCAGGGGTCTAGAACTGGAAATACCATTTGACCCAGCTATCCCATTACTGGGTATATACCCAAAGGACTATAAATCATGCTGCTATAAAGACATATGCACACATATGTTTATTGCAGCATTATTCACAATAGCAAAGACTTGGAACCAACCCAAATGTCCAACAATGATAGACTGGATTAAGAAAATGTGGCACATATACACCATGGAATACTATGCAGCCATAAAAAATGATGAGTTCATGTCCTTTGTAGGGACATGGATGAAATTGGAAATCATCATTCTCAGTAAACTATCACAAGAACAAAAAACCAGACACCGCCTATTCTCACTCATAGGTGGGAATTGAACAACGAGAACACATGGACACAGGAAGGGGAACATCACACTCTGGGGACTGTTGTAGGGTGGGGGGAGGCGGGAGGGATAGCATTGGGAGATATACCTAATGCTAGATGACGAGTTAGTGGGTGCAGCGCACCAGCATGGCACATGTATACATATGTAACTAACCTGCACAATGTCGACATGTACCCTAAAACTTAAAGTATAATAAATAAAAAAAAAGAAAAAAAAAGAAAAATTTCATACGATGAAACATGAGGAATGCTTTTGCACTTCTGTACAATAATAGTGAAATGATAAACATATTATGAATAGCCTCTTCCTTTAAAAAATACTGTGCAGCATGTTGGGAGTCTTGAACATGAGGAAGATTACTCTGAAAGGCGCAATAAAGTTCCTTACTTCCATGCCTAAGTCTAGAGAGTGTGAGAGAGACAAAAATGCCTCTAACCACATCATGTATCTCAGAGAGACACTGGACCAGCCTAAATGAGGCAACAAATGGAAGTGTCCTGTGTTTGAGCTGCATAGATAACGAGTAAAAGAGAGTTAAATGACTACTGATCTCACTAACATGAGGAAACATAAGCAAAACACCAGCATACAGAAACACACTGTGTCATACAGGCTTGCACAATTAGCCATTGAGACATATTATCTCAATGAGATGAAGAAAACTGGGCACATGGCCTCTGCAATAGACTACATATCGGAATCCGTGAGAAAGAGAAACAACATAGAACAGTTCAAGCTGACTGCTTCCAGCTTATACCCCTAGTTCTTCCCTAAAATATTCTTCAGAAAATAGCTATCCTAGAAAACACATGTGTCATTCAAAGATGACTAAGAATCATAGGAGAATCAGAATGAAGTCTATGGCTACCAATTGCAGAAAAAGAGAAACAAATAAGTTAAAAATAGAAAATGAATATAGAATAATAGAAAAATCACCTCATAAAGTAGATGTCAAAGACACATTTCTATATGATATCAAATACATTAACAAAACTTTAACATTTAAAAATAAAGTTTAATAATACAGCAATATAAAAGCAGATGTAAATAGCAGTTGATGCAATTCAGCAAATAATTAAATTTAAGAAATCACAGCACTTATGTGAATATCCACCATACAAACAAAAAGAGAAAGTCATTGCTGAAAACAGAATTGTAGATATTAAACAGAATTGATAACATCTAGAAAAATAAATTGAAAAAAGGCAGTGTCCCAAATAACAAGAGAATGACAGAAATTTAAAAAGATTCTAATCCAACATATTTTTTATCCCTGAACTAGAAGAATGCAACAAATAGAACATAGAACTATGAAAAATATAGCAGAAGAAAACTTCTTGAAAAAAAGAATATCTTAATCTGTATATTGAAACATGTACCATATCTAGGAAAATTTGATAAGAACAGTTAACCTGCAATGTATCCATTTGAGGCTACAGTACTTTATTTAAAAAAACAACAACACTTTTTGTTAATCCAGGCAAAAAATGTATATATCAAATAATCTAGAGGAAGAAACAATTCAGGTTAGTTGTAGCCTGTCCAGCAATAACTAACTGTAGAAAACAGTGGAAGAAAGTCTGCAAACAATTCATGGGAAAAAAGTGTGAGGCAAAAATTTGATAACTAGAACGTTGTTGTTCAGATACAAAGACACGATGAGCATTGTCCACACGTGCAAGAATGATGCAAAACTAGATGAGTCCAGGAAATACAGTACCCATTATTGTTTCGTAAAAATAGCTTTTTTGAAATCTAGAAAATTATGGAGAAGTGTTTTAAAAATTAAATAGATTTAAACATATAATTGAAGCAAAATAAAAACCTGTGGTAACCAGGATTGTAAAATATAATTTATATTTTAAAAGATAGACCTAATATAAATTTGCTTATCTATGCATTTTTATTCCACAGTTAATAATACTGCTTAAAAACAAATCAAATGATGTTTATAGAAAGGAAGAGCAGCTTATGCTGTAATCTTAGTAGTTTGTCAGGCCAAGTAGGGAGGATCACTAGTCTTGACAATATAGTGAGATCCCCCAACTTTACATAAAATATAAAAATTAGATGATCATGGTGGCACATGCCTGTAGTCTCAATTACTTGGGAGGCTGAGGTGGAAGGATCACTTGAACCCAGGATGTCAGGGATGCAGTGAGCATGTGATTGTGCCATTGTACTCCAGCCTGGGCAACAGAGTGAGACTCTGTCTCAAAAAAAAAAAAATACACACATATATATATGTATATATATGTGTATATGTATATATGTGTATGTGTATATATATATACACACATATACACACACACACATATATATGTTTAAGCACATTCTTAAAAGTTATATAATAATCAGCTAATAAAGAGGAAGATTATAAATACTCTAAAAGTATCAAAATATTACAAAATTTAAAAGTGAAAATAAGCCATAATGTAAACAAAAATACTTCGAATATAATAGAAACTAAGGCAAGATAATTATACAAAGAGCATACAATTATAGGATTATGCCTTTTGATAAAAGGACAGTATCAGGCAGTTGATACAGATACCATATGGACCAAAGAGCCAAACATATTGACTATCTGACCCTTTACAAAAAAAGTTGTTGGCCACTGATTTATTATATAAAATCATATTATGAATATTAAATATCTAAATGCTAGACATCATTCCTCATATATTATTGCATTAAAATGTATAAATAAAAACTCAATTTAAAGAAAATATAGTCAAAATACAACTCTATAATGACTAATAAGCTTAACTATCTCCTTCTACAGTGTATCAAATATAAAATGTAAGGAAGCATGAAGCAGATGTAAATAACAAAGCAAATTTAACAGTTCAATCTATAACAGGGCATGCATACAGGCACATTATATACTGTTAGTGTATATTACATACAGATTCAATGAAGGGCAATCTAGCATTACCCATCAATAGCTACAATTCTATTTCTAAGAAATTGTCCTGAATGCATATTTTCACATGATGGAAAAATTTGTATTATCAGAATGTATTACTGAGGCATCGCCCATAACAGCAATTACAAACAAATGAAAATTCAAGACATAACAAAAATAAAACTGGAAATAACTTAAAAATTAATAAAGAATAATGAATTAATTTTAAGATTGGTATGATGAAGCTATTAAAAACAGTAAGAATTTATAAGCTTTCAAGAAATATTAAGTGAAAAGTGTAAGCAAACAGAAAAATAAAATGAAAAAACACTCATATGTAAGTGTATGTAAGAAAATTTTCTTACAGATTATATAAAAATATAGATGAGTTTATATTTTAGAATTAAACATACTAATTAAGGTTGTAAAGAGGATTTTTTTAGTTCATTTAAAAAAAGGTTTATTTTTCATAACAATAAAATATTCAACTTAACTTCTTAAAAAAGTGAATGTCTCAGTTAAATGGTAGTGGTACTGGGCTAGATTTCTATGGGTAGATTAATGTGGAGTATATCAGAACCAAAAGACTGCCTATGCTTATTCATACGTTCGCCCATGGACACACTCACCCATGGCAAGAGTGGCTGCCATCAGGAACATTAGTATAAAGGAAATTAATCATCTACTTCCCTTGGAGAAGTTGTATGGACATAGCTGAAAGCTTCATTTTCCTACTTTGCTCCTGGGATCTCATGACCAAGAACCAGAACTACCTATTTGTATAATTTTGTAATATCTGAGAAATTCATGTCTGGCGACTGTGGGCTGCGGGCCTTCACTTTGCCTCGTTCTCCTTAATGAGATCTTCAACTTGGAGATCTCATTTCACACTTGTTTTCTCTCACTGCAGGTGATGTGGCACTCATCACATGCTCATATCCCTAAATGTAAACACATTGTCACCTACTGACTATTCTTACACAATATTTTCTGGGTACTGATTCAAATAAGGCTTTTATTTTTTTAATGTGTTATGAATTTTCTTTTTCTCCCAACTCTGTGATTCAGTTTTCTCTCTTTTTCTAATCTTAGGGGAATCTATAATAAGTAGGAAAGCAAAACTGGTACTTAAAAACTTGAAGAAGAAACTATTTTTGTAGTTCTCATTAAAAAAACAAAATACAGTTTGTATGCTATACCTCTTCACATTTATAGAAACTCAACATTTAGAAATTCTAATTGTGATAGTGTTCCTGTATCTCTGCAGATTGGAATTCTGATCGTAAAAGACATATAAGTGGGCCAGGCGAGATGCCTCAGACCTGTAATCCCAGCACTTTGGGAGGCCAAGCTGGGTTGAGCACTTGAGGTCAGGAGTTCAAGACCAGCCTGGCCAACATGGTGAAACCCCATCTCTGCTAAAAATATAAAAATTAGCCAGGTGTGGTGGCGCGTGCTTGTAATCCCAGCTACTTGGGAGGCTGAGGCAGGAACCTGGGAGGCAAACATTGCAGTGAGCAGAGATCCCACCACTGCACTCCAGCCTGGATGACAGAGCAAGACTCTGTCTAAACAAACAAACAAAAAAAACAAACAAAAATAAAAAAAAAAACAGACTAAATGATTTCAATCACCTATAAGCAACTAGAGCAATATGCAAGGTTAGAGCTCAAGAGAAGTCCAATATAAATCCACTCTCATTTGATAGATGAGGAGCTGATAATCAACACAATTGCCTTTCACGTGTTTAGGGTTTTTTTTTTCCACCTGTTCAAGATGCTGTAGAAACGGTGCTCATCCTCCAGAGGATGACCTCTTATAACATCACAGCCTCCAAGACCAGGGACTTTGAGTTAATGATGCCTACCAAGCTTTTATATCTAGAACAACACTTGGAATTAGGACTCTTAAGTTTTGGTCAGCTGGTTAAGGGTTTTGGAGCAGTGAGTTACTGTATCTCTGGAAATATGAAGTCCATTTGCAAACATGTGCATCAAAGAGACAATTACCTGGTCTGCAGAGAGAGAATAATGAAGTCGTTGTGCAGAAAGAAAAGGAGTGATTGTGCATCCTAGGAGAAGCAGAGAAAATTCCTTTGACTCTGTACTCCAATGCTGGTTGTCTCTGAATTTTTTATTTATAAGTGACAGAAAATGTAACCCAGACTTCTGAAGGTCAAAATAGAAATTACATATTCATGGAGTTAAAATATTAGGGTGTGTTTTCGGTGCAATTTGCTCCAGAACCCAGATGTTTTTCCAACATCATTTTTTTCCTTTCTCCAGTCCTTGATTTCACTTCCCTAAAATCTACTTCACTGGGAGACAATCTCATCCCGTGTGTGCCAAAATAGTTGCCAATATTTTTTTGATGCTAAATCCAGGTTAAAGTAAAGAAGTAAAGGAAGAAATTTTCTTTTCCAGAAGTCCATTGAAATTCTCATTGTATCTTACCAATTGAAATTGAGTCCTTGAACCCAAATTTTGCATTCAGGGTTGTTATGGACTGAATTTTGTCCCCACAAAATTCATATGTTGAAATTCAACCCAATAAGTGACTGTATTTGGAACTTTAGGGAGGCAATAAATTTTGATCTTCCAAAAAAACTGTGATAACCTGTTCCAAAGAAATCACAAACAATATATCTACAGCTGAAATCATCATTTCCCCAACAAACCTCTTCGCATATCTATCCTTATATGTTCTTGTTTTGGCCTCTCTTTCAAGCCTGGAATCTGGAAAACATCTTTGAGATCCCTTTGAGGGCACATGATTCTACCCTCCCTAATATGATTTGATTACATTCACATTTTTATCCTCTTTGACAGTGTATAAGGTGAGGGCCATCACCTATCTACCCTGCAAGGCTGTAAGACTGTGGTAGCTACTCTCAAAAACAGTCAGTATTAGGATGACAGAGACATGTGACCATGTCATTTCCTTGCTGAAAATTCCTGGATGATTTTATGTTGCTTACTGAATGCAAGCAAGTTCCTTTACAATAGAGTCACTAACGGCCTTTTATCTTCTATCCTACTCACTTCACATCCTATGCTCTATAGAACTGGTTATGCCCTTAAACATATTTTTTTCTGAACTGACTTCAAGTGTGTCCTGGAGGTTTCTTTGGCTACTGTCTCCAACAAGTCTGAATTAGTCAGGCCTCTGCTGTCTGCCGGACCCTATAACATCACATTCCCCATTGCATCACAATTGTCTTTTGCTATATTTGTATTTCCCACTGATTTTGTGGAAACCGTGAATGGTTTGGTTGTGGCTGTGATTATTAATATCTTAATTTTATTTTATTCCTCAGTACCCGCTACAGTAAATGACACACTGTGGCGGCTCAGTAGGGAGAGCTTCTTCCTCCACCACATCCTCAGTCCATGACAGGGAAGTAGTAGCCGTGACTGTGGGAAGTTTTGCAATTTAATGAACTGTGTGTCCTACTGAGGAAGATGCATATCCTAGTATGTATGTATGCATAGTCTATTGGTCAACCTTTCTACAGCCTGTCTTCACAGCTCTCCAGGTGAACTGTGGATACTAAATGTCTTGGTAAAGCTCAGACACCAATTTTTGAAGAGAAAGCACATGCTTACTCTTCTGAAGATCCAGTTATTGTAATGATGTAGGAAGCTTTGTGACACATGCAAATTGATGACTTCCAAAATATAAAAAAAGAAACCTGAATATGTGCATATTCAATTAGAGCAGCTTATTCTTGAGGCTAGCTTAGGAGAAAAGATAATCATCTGTAGACAAATGTGATTTTGCAGTGAATAAACCTCTTAAGATTAGAGAATTAAGACTGACATTAATTATATATGTCATTATTGTACTTAACTCCTTGGTTAGGAAGAAAAAGACATATATAATGATGATGAAAATTACTAGTATTTGTTCACATTACAGTTAGAAATCTTCTCTCTTACATCTTTGGGGAATACCATCTGGCATGAAATGTTGGAACTTGCTAAATGCTCTCTAATAACAAAAGTAAACCGAATTGATTTGAAGAAGGTGATTTTTTTTTGTTATTGTTTGTTTGTTTCCTGAAAGCATGAGTAGAATTTCTATGTTTTGTAAAGGGGCACTTTTTTTTTTTCTACTCTGTCTCTCTGGATTCTCTGAAAATACACATTCCACACATGCGGGATTTAATTGCCTGAATCACCTTTTTGCCTGACAATTTTTGTTTAATGTTCCTGAAAGCTTGACAAATTTGACATTGACTCATTGATATACTGCAGTGATTCCAAAACATTCAAATAATTAGATGGGTAAAAGTTCAATATCTCTTCCTTCAAAATTGGTCACGGTGATATCGCAAGGTAGAAGGGCACAGAATCTGGGAAGCCTTGGCTTCACTTGTGTGATACCATTAGCAAGCTCTGAATCTCCACATGGCTGAACTTTCTCCACAGCCAAAAAGAAATTAAAATGTCTTCCATTATTTCTCGTGGATAATTATAAACTTCGGGAAATTAATACGTTTCAAGGAATATTCTGTTTCCCTTCTGAGAATTTGCAACAGTCTCAAATATATCTTTATTCTGTTTGTTTTATTTTATTTTATTATTTTGTGTTATTTATTTATTTATTAATTTTTAGAGACAGGGTCGCACTCTGTCACCCAGGCTGGAGTGCAATGGTATGATCATAGCTCACTGCAGCCTGGACCTGGGCTCAAGAGATCCTTGCGACTCAGCATCCTGAATAGCTGAAACCACATGTGTGCCCCACCATGTTCAGCTACTATTATTATTATTTTTTAGAGATGGAATTTTACTATTTCATCCAGGCTGGTATTTTGTGATTTTTTTATAAAAGTTGCCCATGTTTTTTCTATGAGTTTTACAGCAGTAGATGCACATTTGTGTTACTTGTATTGCAGCCTCAGTACCTAGCTCAGTGCCTGGCACACAGTGATAGCTCAGTAAACGTTTGTTGAATATTTGAAGAACCATTAGAGTTTTAATCAACAGCCATAGCTCAATACTTGGCTTCTTAAGTGAAGGGAGAAAGTACCTTAATGTTTTCTGAGTACAAAAAATGGAAGGAAGCATGATTATGAATGTGCTCAACAGTTCTAGACAGTGCAATACACAAAAAAATGTATGAATGAATGAATGAATGATGAAATATAAAATAATCATTCCTTACACTTTGTGCTCATTGCAGTAGTGTTTATGTTCTGGAAACTCCTTGAGCAGAAACCACCAAGAAATGTTGAAACCAGAACTTATTTACATTTAGATTGTCATACACTAATGTCCTTGCCATATTGGAATATCAGATTTTCTTAATAAACAGATCTTAAGAAGTTATGTAATTCAACTCTTTCTTTCAGAGACTGGATACCTGAAGTCTTATATATGTAAAGACTTGTCATCACAAAGAAGTGATTGAACTGGGCCACGGTGTCTTAGGGAGTTAACAATCTTAAAGGCGATTCTCTGAGAGTATCAGTAAATTCATTTTTTAAATAGCTCTATTGAGGCATAATTGATAGGCAATAAACTGCTTATGTTTAATTTATGTATTTTGATAAGTTTGGACATATGCATACACCTACAAAACCATTACCATAATCAAGATAATATGTGTATCCATCACCTTCAAAAGCTTCCTTATGTCCCTTTGGGTTTGGTTTATTTGTTTGTTTAATTTCGTTTAGTTTAGTTTAGTGTTGTAGTAAGAACACTTAATATGATATTGCCCTCTCAACAAATTTTAGTGCATAATACAGTATTTTTGGCTACAGGAACTATGCTCTACAGCAAATCTCTAGAATGAAGTCATCTTGCATAACTAATACTTTAAACCAATTAAACAGTAAGTTTCCATTTTGCTCTACTGCTGGTCCTTGGTAATCACCATTCTATTATTTGTTCCTATGAGCTGATGACTTTAGGTACTTAAAATAATTATGTTTTAAAATAGAAGAAAAACGTTAGGCTAAAGTCTTATAGAAAGAAGCCAAACTACTAGAATAAGTATTATAAATGATATTTGCAATATGAATGAAAAGATATGAGCTTCCTTAATAATATGGGCTTTAATACGACACCTTAATCTTAAATATCTGCTACTTTCCTCCCATCTTTCTTCAGAATAAAAATTAAGACATTCTAGTCAGCCCCAAAGATCTTTATGCAAACCCCTGACCCCAGACCCAGCATACAGCTTTGAAAAATTTTATTTAGAACAGGGTAAAAAATGCTGAGATTTTTAAATTAAAAGAGAAAATGTAAAGTTGATCTCTTCTCGATATACTGTTCTAGAAATTTTAACAAGTTCATGTAGCACAGCTATAATGAGGATACAGAGCAGTTCCATCACCATAAAACCTTGCATGTTATTCCTTTTTTCCATCACACCAACACTGGCAATACTGATGTGCTCTCTTTCACTGTAACTTGACTTCTTGAGAATCATAAATGACATCATACAGTATATAAGCTTTGAGACAGGCTTCTTTGACTCAGTATAATGCCATTGAAAATGTCTTTGAGATTCATCCAAGTTGTTCTGCATATCAAGAGTTACTTCCTTTTTATTAGGGAGTAATATTCCATTCTATGGATGTACCTTGGTTTGTTTATTCCTTCATCTTTTGAAGGATAATGGGTTGTTTCCACTCTTGGTGATTATGAATAAAATTGCTATATACTTCATACACAGATACTTCTGTGAACATAAATGTTCCTTTCTCTGGTGCAGGAATAAGCAAACTAAGGCTTACAGACCAAACACAGTCCACTGCATGATTTGTAAATATACTTTACTGGAATGCAGCCATACTCATTTGTTTACATATTATCTATGACTGTCTTTGAACTACAGCTGAGCAGTTGCAATAAAGCCCTGTGATCCTCAAAACCTGAAGTTTACATTATTTACTAGAGACTATAAAGTTTTCTGACTTCTGCTGTTACATACATGTCCAGGAGTGGAATTACTAGACACTGTCATGAAGGGAGTGAACTGTAAGGTGGGCCTCAACAATCTCTGTCTTTCAATGTTCACTACTTTGTAATCCCCTAGAGTGTGGGAAGGACCTCTGATTTGCTTGTAACCAACAGAATATGACAAAGATGCTGTGTCATTCCTGTAATCATAAGACTCTCCTTGATGACTTGACAAAGTAGGGAGTCATATTGTGAAAGCCCACCTGGTGAGGAACTGACCAGCAGACTCCAGCAGCTGTGGGAAAACTCTACTGATGACAGGCAAGAAGCCAGACTGCTCAGACCTAGAGCTATAAGGAAACCTGAGTAAGCTCGGGATGAAGTTATCCCCAATCAACCCACCAGGTAAGAATAAAGCCTGGGGGACACCTTGATTGTATCCTTGTGACCCTAAGCAAAAGATACAACTAAACTATCCCTGTGCACTTGACCCATAGACACTGTGAGATAATGTGTATTATTTCAAGCAAATGAATTTGTAGTGATTTGCTATGTATTAAGAGATAACTAATACATATTCTAAATTTAATATAGATATTACAAGAGCCAGTAAAGCTATTTTCCAAGATGTATTTACCATTTTGTGTTCCCACTAGTAATCTATGAACTTTTCTAGCCATTAGTTGATGTTGTGTGTGTTTTAAGACACTAATAGGTGGATAGAGATATCTAATTATGGTTATAATTTGAATTACCCTAGTGTCTAATGATGCTAAACATATTTTCATGTTCTTATTTGTTTATCCATATACTCTCTTGGTGACATAGCCTGGCTCTGTGTCCCCACCCAAATCTCATCTGGCATCGTAATCCCCACGTGTCCAGGGAGGGGCCTGGTGGGAGGTGATTGGATCATGGGGGTGGATTTCCCTCTTGCTGTCCTCATGATAGTGAGTATGTTCTCATGAGTTCTGGTTGCTCCATAACTGTATAGAGCTTTCCCCTTTCTCTCCTACCACCTTGTAAGATATGCCTTGCTTTCCCTTCACATTCTGCCATGATCGTAAGTTTCCTGAGGCCTCCCCACCATGGAGAACTTTGAGTTAATTAAACATCCTTCCTTTACAAATTGCCCACTCTCAGGTAGTATCCTTTACAGCAGTGTGAGAATTAACCAATATACTTGGTGAAATTGCTATTCAAATATTTTGTTCATTTTTTTTAAAGTTGTGTTTTGTTTTCTTAATTGAATTTTGAGAGTTCTTTATATATTATGGATACAAGTTTTTTATCAGGTGTGTGAATTGCAAGTTTTTTTTAGTTCATAGATTATGCTTTCCTTTTCTGAAGAGTGTGTTTTATAGAGAAAACATGTTAATATAATGAAGTACTAATTATATTTTGTATGTCTTGCTTTGGTGTTATGCCTCTTTACCTAAACCCATATCTCAAAGAATTTCTCCAGTTTATTTTATGCTTTTTACTTTTTATATCAGTGGTAAATTTAGAGTTAGTATTTACATGAAGTTTGACAACTGCATCAGGTTTTTTTTTTTTAACATTTTTTCATATGGATGTTTAATTATTACAACTCCATTTGTTAAAATACTCCATAGGTCTCCTGACTTGTTTTTGCGCCTCTGTCAAAGTCAATTGGCCATATTTGCACAGACTTTTTCTAAAGTTCTTTGTTCAGTTTCTCAATTTGTATGCCTATCTTTTTGCAAATACCGTAATGTTTTGACTGCTGTACTTCTATAGTAAGCCTTAAAATTATGTGTTGTAATTGCTCCAACATTATACTTCTTTTTCAAAATTGTCTTAGCTATTCTATTTGCTTTACCTTTACATGTAAATTTTAGAAACAGCTTGTCTATATTTACAACAAATTCTTCCACAATTCTGATAGGGGTTGTATTAAATCTATAGGTGCATTTAGGCAAAGTTGACAGCTTTAAAAGTTTGAGTCTATCAACACATGAACATAGTATGTCCTCCAATTATTTAGGTCTTGTTTGAATTCTTTTGTGGCTTTTAGCATAAAGCATCTGAACTCCTTTCAGATTTGTAGCTAATTATAAATTTCAGCTTAAATTAAGAAAGTAGTATTTCTTCCGGGCACGGTGGCTCAAGCCTGTAATCCCAGCACTTTGGGAGGCTGAGGCGGCCGGATCACGAGGTCAGGCATTTGAGACCAGCCTGGCCAACATGGTGAAACCCCATCTCTACTAAAAATACAAAACTTAGCCGGGCGTGGTGGCACTCGCCTGTAATCCCAGCGACTCAGGAGACTGAGGCAGGAGAACCGCTTGAACCCGGGAGGTGGAGGTTGCAGTAAGCTGAGATCGGGCCACTGCACTCCAGTCTGGGCAATAGAGTGAGACTCCAGCTCAAAAAAAAAAAAGAGAAAGTAGTACTTCTGAATCTATTAAAAGTAGTACTATTTCTTTTAAATTTCTAATTGCTTATTGCAAGTATATAAAAAATACAATAGCTCTTTTGTATATTGACTTTGAATCCCGTGATATATTGCTAAACTCACATCTGAGTTCTAAGAATGTCTTTGTAAGATTTCATGGGCTATCCTACATACACAATCTTACTGTTTGCTAATAGTGGCAGTTTTGTTGTTGTACCAATATGTATGTCATTTATATTTTTTCCTTGCATTTTTGTACTAACAAGAACCTCTATTTAGTATAAAAATATTAAATAAGAGTGGTAAATGGGACATTTTTTCATTGTTCTCTGTCATGATAAAGACAAAAGACGCTAGGCTTCTGCACTGTCTTTATTAATGTGTGGGTGCCAGATGCAATATTTAAATGTTATTTTCTAGTGTGGCAAATTTCACTAAGCAGCTAGGAATCTTCAATAACTCTCTCTGCCCTCCCCACTCTCCTGGAGCCAGCTCATGCCCAGAAAATTCTGCTAATTCAATATCTACCTTTGGAGATGTTACAATGGTTTCTCTGAGCCCTTCTTGGCTGAGAGAGTTAAACACACTTGCTCTGTGTTAATGTGACAACAAGGAAAGGGGGAAAGACCTAATTTGAGAACCTGATTTTATCCTTTACTCCTATAGGAGCTCCTTCTCTGTGGTGATAATATAAGGCAATATAAATGGAGTAGGCAATAATCTAGAGTCATTTTGATTGAGATTAAGAAGATCAGGATGCTTGACAAGCAAATGCAGTCAATAACCAGTAGCTTTTGTTCATATTCCAATTTTTTTCTAATTTGAATATTTTATTTATGTCAAGGTACTATGTTTGGTGCTTTAAAATATAGGTAATTTTATTTTTATCTTAGATCCATGAAGTTGTAGTCTTATTTTCATCCTACAAGAAAGAAAATGGGAACCCAGAAAAATATGGAACTTATCCAATACTATAATGCAAATAATAAGCTATGTGAAGATTTAAACCCTGATGTAATTGATTCTAAAGTCAAAGGAAAGCCAACAATTCCTTTTAAGTGAAGAACAACAAAATCACCTCTTTAACATGCAAATGAAGTTTTGAGAGCATATGATCCTCTTAGCATTGGAAGAATATCTTAGACAAATTAAGCAAAATGCAATTATGTCAAAAGATAGAAATGTACATAAACATATAAATGGAGAGATGTGATGAACCATAAATCAGAAAAGGGGAATAAATAGATTTTGGTCTGATAAGATTTCACTCCCTTTGCTGCCAACCCTTGCGGCTTAACTGACCAAAAGTCACTATGAAAAAAAATAAAAACAAACTACCAAGAAACAACAAGAGCAATAATAAAGCAGGATATGTGAGGCTTCATGTTTGTACATCTGAGGAAGTGGTTAATGATGCACATTACAAAGGGGAGCAAGACGGCAGCATAAGGGGGCTGCCACACACGGTTAGCAAAGCAGAAGTATGTGGGTGCAGTGCAGTAGTTGCTCTTTAATATAAATGCAAGAAAATGAGCACTGCACTTTTCTCTTTTTTTTTCAGAATTTTGTTTTTCTGACACTCTGTGCCCTTATGCTGTCTGATGTGGCCATGGACAAGTTTTGTACCCCAGCTTTGGGCCTCTGCCTTCCTATGGATATAAACAACTAACTGCGGTTTGCCTGACCTGGCCACATTTTAGCTTTATGTGAGAGGTTTGGCTCTTAGCCTCTATATTTTACCTCTCCTCAGCAAGGATGCTTCATTTCAAACCTGGCACCCAGGTCCAAAAGAGATCCAGCTCATGTAGACTTTGCTGAGGAAGAGTTACCGTAATAGTAATTTTAAAACTCTTAGATTTTATCTCATTCTCAACTAATCCCTATAGGTAGGAAGAGCAGATGGATTAGCTCAATCTTTTGTATGAAAAAATTATGGTATAAAAAAGGACCAATGCTTATGGCTATCAAGTGGCTGAGACTGTACTCCAAATACCCAGATCACAACTATTTCCATGATTCAAGTCTGCCAAATGAAATTAGAATTGCCACTGCTAAATCATCCTCTTGATGGATTTTGGAACTTCTTTGGAATAAGAAATTTATTTTTTTAAAATTCCAGGATTGCTGACACTGTTGGAAGCATCAGAAAATGATCATTGTACATTCAGAGTGAGCTTTTTCTTCCCCCATACAACAAGTAATTCAATTATAATAACACTTTTAACAATAATGCAGTGCTTTGGGATAAAATTGCTTTGCCATCATTAATTAATGCATTCCCTCAAGGACATGTGTCTTAATGCCTCACTTTTCTTCGGTCTACCTATCTTTTGCAGCTTAGAGGAAATAACTCAGCAGAGCTGTTTCTCTTGGTACAGACAGCATGACTCAAAGCATGGGGTCAGGTTAACTTGCATCTATATTTGCCACAAATGTCACAGACATTGTGGAATACATAATTTAGCTTGGCATTATTTATAAATCTATTTTCAGCAGCTTACTCTTAATTGGAGATTAAAAGTCAATAGGTAGATTAAGTTTAATTCTACTAAGATACGAGCAGTTGCTTGCTCAATCAGCTCCACTTGCAGAATTCCTGTGTCCCAGGCTAGGTACACATTAACAAAATCCACTTTATTTTTTCTTCTTGTCTTTATGTTGTGAGACATTGTAACATGGAGTCCTAGCAAAAAAGTTGACTAAAAATGTAAAATGTTTCATCACTGTCCAACAAAATGACTGAGAAGACAAATTTTGGGGGAGCTTTAAGTTTACACTGAGATGTACACACAAAGATGATGCAGTCGTTTGGGGAAGTAATAGAAAAAATGTATAACATCTTTTAAAAATGTTCAGTTAAATAGATGAAAATAAAGGGTTCTTGAGAACAAAGTAATGAATTTAATCAAAATTTTATATAAAAACTAGAATGTTGACACTAATTGATTGATAATTTAGAATATTTATGAGAATGCACTTTGCTGATGTCTAATATTCATCAATTATCTAGTCTGTCCAAGACTATGCTGGATACTACAAGGCTAGTGACTCCCAAAACCCACTGGCCATTATAATCATGCATGCTTTTAGGTTTTTCTTTGTTTATTTATAAAATAGATGTTCCAACTCCTTCAAGCCCTAACAAGTCAGAACCTGGGTTGGGGCTGGTAGCAAAGAGAAAATTTATAAATATAATAATCTTCTCAGGTGATTCTGAAGCCAATAATTTGGTCCTTGGAAGTTTGTGCTGTATGGAAAAAAATCACCCTTCTTGGCTGACATCTGTTTTGCTGGTAACACAAATGCAACTTATTAATCATCTCTGGGTAAGCAAGGTAAGATTTGTGGGCCAAACCTGACCCTGTCCCCTTGTTTTTCTATGCCTTGAGAGTTGAGATTTTTACATACATATGTGTGTATTTACATGTTTGAACAAAATCAAAAGAATTACAATGTTCCATAACATGCAAGATTTATGTGAAATTCAAATGTCAGTATCTGTACAAAAGTGTTATTGGAATACAATTATACCCATTTGTTTATACACTGTCAATGGCCATTTTCATGCCATGATAACTGAGTTACATATTTGCTACAGAGATTGTATGTGAACTGCAAAGCCTAAAACATTTAAAATCCACCCATTTACAAGAGAGGTTTACTGACCTTTTATTCCCCAGTTTGAAAAGCAAGTTCAAAGCACATGGTTTGCCAAGGCAATTTGGTGAGACACAGGAAGTAAAAATGCATCCAAACTCCAGTATGGAAAGTATTATCTCTCAGTAAAGGAAATCCAGACGCATTATCTTGTTTGCAGAAGTCCACAGTAAGGAAGACATCCTCCAGAATAGTGGTTTTCAATGTGTCACCATGAAACAGCAGCATAAGCATTAATTGGGAAGATACTCAAAATGAAAATTCTGGGCCACCACCCTGGACCTATCAAATCAAATATTCCAAGATCCAGGTCCAGTAACCTCTATTTTAACAAGCCTTCTAGAGGATTCTCACACACATTTACAGTGCATGGAAACTACTTCTTGAGAATCACTGTGCTAAGGAACATTTAGGACAAATAGAAAAATAGTCATGACCATGAATGTGGATAAAATCTGTTTACAACCAAATAGTCAGGCCCATTGTTTTTGTCACTCCTTGATGCTGACAGAGTAAAGTAATTTTCCCAAAAACAGACACAAAAAATAAGAAAAATAAAAGGAAATTATATTCTGTTTGGTGGAACACAAACTTATGAAGTGCCTGAGCTGAGATTTTAGTGTAACCACGACCTTGAATTTAACATTCACATGAGGCTCCTGATAGAGATCAAACACTGAGTGAAATTTAACATTTCTCTGACATTTGACATAAAAAGCCAATTTAAGGGAGGCGAACTACGCTTATTCCACATGCAAAAGACAGGATATCATTAACCTAACAGCTCCTCTGCAACTATTCTCTTATCTCACATTCTCAAGAAATCTTAATCATTCACTGTGAAGATTCTCACTTCTTCAAAGCACATTTCTAACATGTCATCCTACCTTCTTTTCAGAAATGTAATCCTGAAAATGGCTTACAAGAGAAAATCTTGGAAGATAAGACCGTAACACTAAAACGCCTCTCCAGATGCCTTAGGAACATCCCCAAGCAGTAACAGATAAAGTCCCTCCATAGGATTCTTGGCTATGTTTAGTTTCTCATAGAAAAAAATAAAATAACAAAACACAAATATGTTTTCTAGTCTCAACGACAACCCTAGTAGCAGGATGGTGATGTAGCTCTCATTTATTGAATATACATTCTGTGCCATGCACTGTTTCAGAAGTATTCCGTAAAGTATCACAGTTCATCTTTACAGAAAGCTGGTGAGGTAGATATTAGCATCTACCTCTTAAAGGTTTTTTCTTTTAAGATGTAGATTGATTTTGAGCTCCTTGGTGAAAGAGAGAATTTGAGAAGATACTCAGAAGTGTAAAAGACTGGAAAAAATAAATTCTTCTTGGAACAAGAAGAAAAAAAATGTGTCAAAACTGCCCCATCCCCAGCAGAGAACACAGTAGAACTTTTTTCCTGACCTCCCTCTCTACTTCCACCTCCCATCAAGGCCTGAAGCTTGAGAGGATCTAGCAACATATCCTTGGTGCAGACTTGATGGGCTTCCTCTCTCTATAGCAGCCTATGGGGACAAGCAAGATCCAAGGCAGAAATGCAGACCTGGGCAGAGTCAGCATGGTGAGGGGCAGCAGGTGGGAAGAAGCCAGCTGTCACTCTGGTGCCTCCCTGAATTCCAGGGAAGGTGGGGGACTGAGATCATCCTCCTATTCAGTTGGGACCTCTACGTTAGTGGATATGAGGGGGTTGGTCTCTCTTTTATTAGTATTTAAATTATTATTAGTATTGAAATTATTATTGATTTGAAATTTGAAGGTGATCCTGACATGGATTATTGTTCTAGAATGTAGTAGTTGGAAGTGTACCAGGGTATAAATTCATGGTAGAATTTACTCTGCAGTCACAAGAACCAAAAGACACAGTCATCTCATGGGGTAGGAAGAAGACATATAACCCTATTCCCTGGCTAGGCTCAGCAGGCTGCAGAGTAGAATGGACATAGAAATATCACTTTTATCACTGATTTTCACCATGAACATCAGGAAGCTTGAACCTGAGAGGAGCTAATGTGCTGGCTCAGGAAGAAAAAGCCAGCTCACCCTTCTCTCCATCTTGACCATGGACAGCTCATCGTTTTCTCTACCAAGAAGACTTTCATGTGCCTATACTCTCTGTCTCCTTCTCTCTTACTCTCTTTTTATTTTTTTTCACCTCTGTCTCACACACACACACACTCAGAGGTGAACACTTGCATGCACACTAACATTCAGATCTACAAAGAGAATGCACTCATTCCTGAAATCAATCCAAATGTTTCACTGTTGTTGAACTGCTTTGAACTCTACATGTATTATCAATGAAGACACTACTCTGTGCTTTGTATGTAAATAATCACACTTATTCTGCCTCCTGGCTCAGTAAATATTATAACCATTTTTTTTCAGATGAGGAAATTGAGTTCATAAAGTGAAAACAACTTGTTCAAAGTCATACCCAGTGTTGACTTCAAATCTTTTGAGAGCTTCTGTGCGTCATTCACTCATTATCATGATTAAAAGTCTCCTGACTCTAGATGGAACTTTGAAATTGCTACTGAGATAAATGTTGCTCTCATGTGTTATTTCCACTTCACTAAAAGCATTTAGATGGACTGCACTTTTCCAAGTGATTCTCAACCTGGTCCAGTTATTTGAAATTCTAAAATAAAATCTTCCTTTGAACAACCACAGATTCGAATTCACCATGAAAAGTCAAACAATTTTGCTTTTAAGACAATTGTCATTGAGCTTTTCACTGTACTATTGACACTGATATTTCAAAGAAAGAAAGAAGGCACTCTTCGGAATACACACCAACATTGCAATTCAATGGCTAGAGATTTCCTCCTCTCCAGGTCCTTTTTAATTATAGAGAATGAGTTCTTTTTGTCTAGGACCTCATCATTTCTTCCACAGAGTACTTTTTTGAAATAGCTATTTCATCAAAGAAACAATTGACAGACTAATTATTTAAATAAATACAATAAAATTCTGTTGATGTGTGACCCGAAGATGATACAATAGCAGTCACCATAGACAGGGTTACCCCTTTAGTGGAAAATTGTGAATCTAGAACATTGCCTTCCCCATGATTTTAACTTCAAAGTGAAGCTACTTTTTTCATTGTGCATTAATCTTTTAAGTTAATTTTAATTTTCTCAAGATGTAAATCTTTTACAACTTGGAGATGAACCGATATAAAATATTCATTGGTTCTGAATAGAACTGGACGATTTCAGCTGTGTCCCACAAGCTTTTACAAATGGAAGATAATCTCCATGAAGAATTTAGATGCCAGCCTGAGTTATGACTTTTGAAACAAAATGACCTCATGCATATTTAGATCCTGTATATTCATGGCTGTTTTTTTGTAGGAACATTTATTATTGGTTACAGTAGTTTTCAGCCAACAAATCAGCCCTAAATTTTGACTTACTAGACTCTGTACTGTCAGTTAAAATGTTAATCTTGTTGAAGTCTTTTAGTTTGCAAGAGGTTTTAAATAGACAAGCCCTTTATCTGAATTGTATTATATACACTGACTCATTGCTGTTTGGGCCAAGAAATGCATCAGAAATAACATTTTTTTTTCATTAAAACAAAAAGAAATTATATATTCAGGATGTGGTTTAATTTCAAAACTTAGGGCCAGAAACGTCTTCAGTAGTGAAAACCTCGAATCATCTTAAAGTCCTCCTTTTACTCAACCTCTCAGGTACCACCAGTCACCCAGGACTAGAGGCTCTAACTTCAAAACACCTTTAGAATCAGAATATTGTTTCCTCTGTCACTTTCTCACTTAACTCTGTCACCTTCTATCTGATGTTGAAGCTTTGCAGGTGGTTTAGTTGCCCTAATATCACTGCTTCATCTCCAGCACTACAGTATTTTCTATCTCAGACATGTTTGAATTGCATCACCCTGCTACTAAAAAAAGTGCAATGACTGACCACTGCCTACAATAAAGTAATACTCCTTAGTATGTCATTTAAAGCTGCTCAAAATTGGCCCCAAATTATTTTTCTGGCATCATCTGTGCCACTCTTTCCAGCCCCACCCCCAGACACCCTATATTAGACCACTCTGAATCACTTACTCTTCTCCAAATATACTATGCACACTGGTATCTCCTAGCTTTGGCTCATGTTGTTCCTTCTGTTCAAATTTCCTTTTCTCCCTTTTTTTCACAGTTGATATATTATGCTTGTTTCTAAACCTGGATAAAATATCAGCTCCTTTTTTAATCCGCACAGCTCCCACCCGCAGAAGCAGTTAATTCGCTCGTTGTACTTTCATAATTCTGTCTAATTCCTAACTATGCACTTAGCATGTAGCTTGTTGTATTTGTCTGTCTCCCGAAGAGCAGCAATCAGATTTTATTTACCTTTACAAGTGCAGCAGCTGGCTCAGTGCCTGGCATGAATAGGTGTTTTTGGATTGTTTATGAAAGCAGATCTGGACAAAGGTGGGGTACATCTTCGTAACATTAGACAAAAGATCATGGTCAAGAGTTGCAGTCATGTAGTCCTGCTATGTTTATGTTCTGGAATTCAATAAGCAACATCTGGATGTGGACTTGAGCTACTAATGAGGCTTCTGTTGGCATATCCAAGGGGCTCTAGTAAATAGCACAGGTTTAGCAAATGGGTTTACAAATGCAGATAGAAGCCACATTGAAGATTACATGCAAGGAGTCAGATTGACACCAAGCATATGCTAAAGGACAGCTGCTACTCTTGGAAACAAGAATAAGTATTTTACTTCAACACTCCCAATGTGCCAGGCACTTTATATATGCATCATTAGATTCATTGATGACAATGAGGAAGATAATAATAACAGTATAATAATGGCAAATAATTAACTATCATCCACATTCTAGAAAAAATTGCAAAGATCTTAATATATTGTCATAATCATTCCCCCAAACACTTTTATGGATTAAATGTTTTCGTGCCTATTTTACAAATGAGGCATGTAAGGCTCACAGACTTTACTGACTTAGTGTAGGATCACATAGCCATTGTTATTCTAAATATCTTTAAAACCTCTGAAGTTGAACAATTTATCTGCATTTTATAAAAGAAAAACTGTCACAAGTCTGTATGTTGCAGTAACACAGCTCTCAAACAGGATTGCATGATCACAGCCATTTCTCTTTCCTATAATAAACCTATTCAGGTGTGGGAGACTGCTCACTCTTAAGCAAACATCTCCAAAGAGACATAGAACAGGTCGGGCACATTGGCTCACACCTGTAATCCCAGCACTGTGAGAGGTCAAGAGGGCAGACCATTTGAGGTCAGGAGTTCAAGACCAGCCTGGCCAACGTGGTGAAACCCTGTCTCTACTAAAAATACAAAAAAATAGCTGGATGTGCTTGCTTGAACCCAGGAGGCAGAGGTTACAGTGAGTCAAGATCATGCCACTGCACTCCAGTCTGGCTGACAGAGCAAGGCTCTGTCTCAAAAAAAGAGATATAGAGCAAGTTGATTTTCACCAACACTCTTAGCCTGAAACTCCTTTTTCTAGCACAATTCCTATTAATTTCTTTAGATGCAGCCTTGTTTCCTTTGGAGTGCTGAGGAATTACTAGTAATATTTTTTAAATAATTCCAAAAATTTGGGTTTATTATAAAACTTTTAATTTTCCTAAAACAAAAAGTGTGCTCTTGAAACATGTCGAATGAGGACATTGCCTCAATATACAGCAAAGCAATAGTTGTCTAAATTGGTTTTAGGGTTCTACTATGATTACACAATCACTATCAATATTTCCCAATTATTATGAGTAAATGTTGAAAAAAGACGGATCTAAATGTTTTTAAAAGTGAGCCAAACTTTATATTTTGTTTTTCTACCTAACACCAAGTCATTTACTTAACTAGACTTGATCATTTATAACTTGTTTCTCTCCTTTTGGTCATGAATTAGAAATACCCCAGTAGACCTTAAACTGAGTCTGTGCTTTTTATAGGCCATCAAAATCCTTCTAGCTAGAAGTTACAAAAATGTCAGCTATATTCTTGGGCAATACTCACAACCTGTTTCAATGGTCAGTCTGTTCAACAATAAAGAAAAAAAGCAGAAAAATGAGAAGATGGCAAAATAACGAGAGAAAGATAAACTTCACAGAACACAGAAATAGGACTTAACTATCTACTGGAACCAATTTCTTCATCTTAGCACGAGTATTTGCTCCTTCACTTCCCCTGATAGAGCCCCTGTAAATCATGCTCTCTTCTTGTTGTTGACACTCTTCAAATGCCCTATGTTGCTCTCTTTATTGTAACTTGCCTGGGGCTGTTATGACAAGTACAAGATACATGCAGAAAAGAAATGGAATAAGAATGCTTAAGGACAGTTCCCCCCCAGCTATTGCTAGGTCATGGTAAACATGTTGATTCTTTTGGTTTTACTTCATAAACTGGATCCTCCCCGCTTTGACTCAATCATTTGTATGTGTGTGTGTGTGCGTGCGTGCATGTGTGTGTGTGTGTGTGTGTGTGTGATATCAATGCCATTACCATCTAAAAGCCCTTACTGGGTATATTCATATGAATGCAATTTGTTATTCAAAGCAATTTGTACAGCCGAGACCCATTTCCTTTGCATTCTAATGTTAGGAGGGAGGCTAAGGGCAGGACCCTGAATCTTCCAGCCACTATTACCTGTAAAAAAGAGAAAGATTTTGAGTTTGGTACATTTCAGATAGATGTGGGTCTCATTTTCTGGCCTTCTCATTGATAGATGAGGTGGTACGAAGTACAAAGAAATATTTGTAATTTTACATAGAGGTTGGCATAGTTAAGTATATTATGCAAATATTTATTGAGTGTTCAATTCTAACTCAGAACTATAGTTTCATTGTAAATGGCTAAAAGAAACTTCTTTCCCTCAAAAATTACACATATGTAAAATGAAAAATAAACCCATGAAACACATAAATTAAACACTGTCTCACTTCTTATGGATAATAGATGTTTAATCTGTCGTTCTACATCATTTGTGCTGCTGTAACAAAATACTGGAGTGTGGTATTGTTACAGCCCCACAAATGGACAAAATTCATTTCCTTAGGGTTCTGGAGGCTGGGAAGTCCAACCTAAGTCACCAGCAGGTTTGGGGTCTGGCAAGGGCTGTTCTTTCTGCTTCTAAGATGGCTCCTTGTTGCTGCATCTTCCAAAAAGGATGAACACCATGTGCTCACATGGCAGTAGGGACTGAAGTGAATAAATCCACTTCCTCAAGCCCTTTTAGCAGGGCCTTAATCCCATCCACCATCAATACTACCCTTCTGACTTAATCACCTCCTAAAGACTCCACTTCTTTTTTTTTTCTTTTCTTTTTTACTGAGACAGAGTCTCACTCTGTTGCACAGGCTAGAGTGCAGTGGTGCAGTCTCGGCTCACTGCAACCTCCGCCTCCCGGGTTCAAGTGATTCTTCTGCCTCAGCCTCCCAAGTAGCTGGGACTACAGGTGCCTGCCACCACGCCTGGCTAATTTTTGTATTTTTAGTAGAGAAGGGATTTCACGATAATGGCCAGGTTGGTCTTGAACTCCTGACCTTGTGATCTGCCCACCTCAGCCTCCCAAAGTACTGGGATTACAGGTGTGAGCCACCACGCCTGGCCAACTCCACTTCTTAATACTATCATTATAGCTATTACATTATAGCTATTACATCTCAACATGTAAATTTTGAGGAGCATTCAGACCACAGTGAAAAACTTAGGCTCAAATAGCTAATGTGAGGTAGAATCATAATGTACCAAATATCTCCTGATTTTAAATTATATGCCCTCTTCATTATTTCTACGCAGTTGACAATTCAAAGTGGTTAATGAATAAGTTCATAAAGCAGTAGAATAGACTTCCCAAATAATGTTGAAGTCAAAAGAAGAAGAAATCACAGAAAGACAAGAAATAAAAGAGAAGAGGCAGCCTCAAGTAATGATAATATAGGGCTTAGAATGATAAATTTGGAAAGGAAAATACCAGAGGATTCCAGATTGAGGAATCAGCCCACACAAACACACGTATAGGAAGGAGCAGGCTTCTTATGAAAAAGGGGAAAAAAAGTGTGTGTATTTCTGATCTATTCTGTTCGAAGGAAAATGGTAATGACAAGAAAATATATTTTTTTTTGCTAAGTAACAACAAATCCTTGAACACTGCTCTTCTTTACAGCTTGAAACTGTGCATTCTTGCTGCCTGCAAAAATTATTGGGCAGAAAGAGGGTGCTGGAATTTCATATATCTTAAATCACTTTAGAATTGACTTTAGTGGTTTTCATTCTGCTTTCAAGCATCTTCAAAATTAGAAAGTTTAACTCACAGCAATTATTTTCTCATCCACAGATGTAATCTCACATTTTATGGAACTTGAGTACCTGTCCAATTACCTAATATCCACATGACACAAATTCTGCACCTTAACTACCACAGTCTAAAATCTGACCACCTCCCACCCATCAAAAGACTACCTATTTTCTCTGTTTTAGCATTATGCAGCTAAGTTATCATCTGTTTTCTAAATGTTGCTATTAAAGAAAAATCCCAACTAAAATTTTATTAGACTTAACATTACCTTTGTGTAAAAGTAAATATTGAGGTCCTGTTGAAATCATTTAATGGATCTTGTGGAAAATTACAGTCAAAGGGGTTGTTCTCTGGTGGGCAGGGGCAGGGGTCACAAGGTGCTCAGTGGGGAGTTTCCAAGACTCATCATCCAGGAGAAGGAATTTCACAAGATAGTGTCATCACTTAAGGCAGGAATTGGCCATTTTCACTTCTTTTGTGATTCTTCAGTTGCTTCAGGCCATCCGGATGTATACACACAGGCTTGGGCTCAGAGGCCTGACATTCCTGTCTTATTAGCATAAGCATTGCCTTGAGCCATGGGGTTTGAGGCCCTTTGATGGCCTTTGCAGTGAATGACTCCAGCTTCCTTTGGAGATAAAGCAGCCTTGAGAAGAGTTTTCATTAAAGAGGCATTAATGATGGGGGGACCTTTTCATAGTGAGGGAACCTCTTTCAGCCCATATAACAGCATGATGGTGCAGGATATGGAAGGCATATTTAAAATCAGTGTAAACATTGACACACAGTCCTTTTGCAGGAGTGAAGGCTCAAGTTAAGGCAATGAGTTTGGCTTGCTGAGAAGTAGTGGAGTGGGGCAGAGCAGTAGCTTTAATGATAGATATGGAAGATACTATAGCATAGTCTGCCTTTGTTGGTGAGTGGCGATTAGGCCTGGTGGGACTGCCATCAATAAACCAAGTGTGCTCAGGGTGAGGAATAGGAAAGAAGGAAATATGGGGAAATGGAGTGAATGTCTGGTGGATCAGAGAGATACAGTCATGGGTGTCAGGTGTGGTATCAGGAATAATGTGGAGGCCAGCCTAAAACAGTAAGATCAAGTTGTTTGGACAGAAAGGCTACAGGGTGCAGTCCCAGCTCTTGTGTAAGAATTCCGACCACAAAGCCCTACACTTCAGCTGTGTGTAATGAAAAGGGTTGGGATGAATAAGGGAGAGCTAGTGTGGGAGCAGCTTCTAGGGCTGTTTTTAGGGAACAGAAAGGGGAGTAGGGCAAGGATCTAGGATCTATGGGGTCAGCTAGGTTTCCTTTTGTGAGTTTATACAGTGGTTTAGTCAGGATGGCAAAACCAGGTATCCAAAGGCAAAAGTACTTAACCATGTCTAGGAAGGAAATGAGTTGTTGCTTTGTAGAAGGGGTTGGGGTTTGGGAGATTAGGCAGGCACAATCAGCAGGGAGAGCATGTGTGTTTTTATGAAGAATTATGTCGAGACAGGTAACAGATGAGGAAGAAATTTGGGCTTTGGAGGGTGATGTGCGATGTCCTTTTGAGAATAGATGTTGGAGGAGCAGGAAGGTGTCTTGTTGGGAAGATTTGTAGGAGGGGCTGTGAAGGAGAAGGTCGTCAAAATATTGAATAAGGTGAGAAGAAGATGGACTGAAAAAAAGTAAATCATGAGAAAGGGCTTGGCTGAAGGTAATGGGGGCTGTCCCTGAAGCCTTGTGGCAGTACAGCTCAGGAAAGTTGCTGAGGCTGATGGGTGTCAGGGTCAGTCCAGGTAAAAGCAAAGAAAGGCTGGGATGAGGGGTGCAAGGGAATAGTGAAAAAAGTGTCTTTAAGATCAAGAATGGAATAGTGAGTCATGCAGGGAGGTATTGAAGACAAAAGAGTGTATGGGTTGGGCACCACAGGGTAGATACGCAAAACAATTTGATTGATAAGGTGCAGATCCTGAACCAACCTGTAAGGCTGTCCGGTTTTTGGACAGGTAAAATGGGGGAATTGTAAGGAGAGTTTATAGGCTTTAGAAGCCCATGCTGTAGTAGCGAGTGATAACAGGCTTTAGTCTGTTTGAAGTCCGCGGTGGGTTGGGATACTGGCATTGAGTGGGGTAAGGATGATTAGGTTTTAATGGGATGATAAGGGATGCATGATCGGTCACCAAGGAGGGAGTATAGGTATCCCACACTTGTGGATTAAGGTAGGAAGATACAAGGGGAGGATGTGAAGAAGGCTTTGAACTGGGGAAAAGGGCAGCAATGATGTGTGGCTGTAGCCCAGGAGTAGTCAGGGAAGAAGATAATTTAGTTAAAATATCTTGACCTAATAAGGGAGCTGGGCTTTGATACCGAAGTATTATGTTAAACTCAGGTACCACTTTCTCTTTAACCAATAAATCATTTTTCTCCACCAAAATGCTAATTAGCAGAGACATTTGAGGGACAGGACTAGCAGGATTTCCTAGGCCAAGTAAGAATTCCTAAGCCTAGCTGGGGAAGGTGACTGCACCTACCTTTAAACATGGAGCTTGTAACTCAGCTCACACCTGACCAATCAGGTAGTCAAGAGGGCTCACTAAAATACAAATTAGGCTAAAGCAGAGGTAAAGAAATAGTGAAATCATCTATTGCCTGAGAGCACAAGGGGAGGGACAATCATCAGGATATAAACCCAGATATTCAAGCAGGGAGCAGCAACCCCCGTTGGGTCCCCTCCCATGATATGGGAGCTCTGTTTTCACGCTATTAAATCTTGCAACTGCATACTCTTCTAGTCCATGTTTGTTATGGCTCCAGCTGAGTTTTCGCTCACCGTCCACCACAGCTGTTTGCCGCCGTCACAGACCTGCTGCTGACTTCCACCCCTCCAGATCTGGCAGGGTGTCCGCTGTGCTCCTGATCCAGCGAGGCATCCATTGCCACTCCCAATTGGGCTAAAGGCTTACCATTGTTCATGCACAGCTAAGTGCCTGGGTTTTTCCTAATAGAGCTGAACACTAGTCGTTGGGTTCCATGGTTCTCTTCCATGACCCACAGCTTCTAATAGAGCTGTAACACTCACCGGATGGCCCAAGGTTCTGTTCCTTGGAATCCATTAGGCCAAGAACCCCAGGTCAGACAACAAAAAGCTTGCTGCCATCTTGGGAGCAGCCACCACATCTTGGGGACTCTTAAGAACAAAGACCCACCCATAACACATTGACAGTATGAATGATTTCTTTTTCTCTTTCCAGGCATGAAAGATATTGAAAAACTATGGGAGTAACAAATAGCCAAATTCTCCCCTCCAGAAAGACGGAAAGAGAGAGAGCAAGAAGGACCAATAGCTACCACTTGTGAGCACTTCCTATTGGCCAGATGTCTTACCATATTATCAAGAAATGCTGCAAGGTAATAGGATTATCTCATTTTCTAATAAGCTATTAAAAAGCAGAACCCATATGTTATTTGACTTTAGAATCCCAGTGCTCCAGTGCCAGTACATATTGAAGCTCAAAAACGTATTTTCCATAAAGGAAAGAAGCAAGGAAGTGAGGATTAAACTCTGATTTTTTTATATTGCCCAAATTCCTGTCTAAGGGGTCTGGGGAGTCATGCCCTACAAACCATAAATTCTCATCAGATGAGTTTTATTTAACCCTGTATATCATGACTTATTTTCCAGTCTGACTCTGGTATAACATGTATGTTATACATACATTCTTGGGTATGACAAAGAAGAAAGTAAAAGTATTTTATCCCAAAAGCATGTTTCTTTGCCGTATTTTGAAATGGTTCTGAAAAGCTGTTCTTTGTGGCGGGATATATGCATCTGTAAAGAATCTCTATTGACGTAGCTAGATCTTTTTCTTCCAGGCCCTACCAATCCTGAAGAGATTTAAGTGAGAGTCCAGCACCTTTTAAAGATTTGAATAGGAAACATTTGTCATCTACTGTCTCTAAGAGCTGGGCAGCCAGTATAAGACTTTAAAAGAAACTCCTGGGTCTCCACAATCTTTCATCTTAACCCAAACATTTCCTTTCTATTGATCCCAGGTCTTTAGAGAAACTCAACCAATTGTCAATCAGAAAATGTTTACATTGACCTGTAGTCTGGAAGTCCCCCGGCTTTGAGTTGTCCAGCCTTTCTGAACCGAACTAATGCATTTCTTAAATGTATTTGATTGCTGTCTCATGCCTCCCTAAAATATATAAAAGCAAACTGCACTCCTACTACCTGGGACACATGTTCTCAGGACCTCCTGAGGGCTGTGTTCTGGGCCATGGTCTCTCACATTTGGCTCAGAATAAATCTCTTAAAATATTTTACAGAGTTTGACTCTTTTTGTTGACAGAAGGTAGGAAAAAAAGAAGAAATGAAGGGAGTAAGGAAGGAAGAGGCGTGAGCCATTAAATAACTGCCTCAAAGTCCTTAGGCTAGCAGTAAGCAGAGCAGATGTTCATAATCCAAACCCTCATCCTTTAATCTTCAATAGTCTTCTAACCATAGATACTGCCAACCAATCTTAAGTCATAGCTGGTCAACTAGAGCTAAGCATCATCCTTAACCAAACAAAACAAAACGGAAGTGTTTTCAACCTTGAATATACGCATAACCAGTCTATTCACCAGAAAATAGCTCCTTTTGCTGAGAGTAAGCCAAGAGAAAACACGGAATTATGAAGTGCTTGCAACCAATTCCTATTGCCTTGGCTGTGTGTAGTTATATTGAGCTATATTTTTTACTGAATTCTATGGAAATTAAAACTCAATTATTTAAAATGCAATGCATTTAAACAATGATAGTTGTTCTGCAGGACTTGTGGGGAGACAAATAACCTCCTGGGTGGTATTGATGGTTTCAAGTAGCAGACTCCCCTTAACATCAGCTGGCCATTTATCCTAAAGAAATATTTCCTGCAAGACAGTTATTGCTAGTATATGCTACTTAAAAAACATAAACACATGGATGATTCAGGGATTTGCTGGTATATGCATTGAATACTAAGAGCAAGCAACATATTGATGAACTCGTCATAAAATTTGGTAATTAACGTTGTTCAAATGACTCAAGAATCCTAGGAATGTGGCAACTTTTGCCAATAATAGCAAAGATATTTATTCTCTCCCTGTTTCCCACAACAACAGAGAGAATCACAGGATTTCTCATTATAGTAAACCCATTCTATTATTCATTCCTTTCCTTGCTCATTTACTGATTCATCTGTACTTTTTCATCATGGTTGCTTGTTTTTGTTTTTGTTTTAGAGACAGTGTCTCACTCTGTTGCCCAGGCTGGAGTGCAGTGGTGTGATCATAGCTCATGGCATCCTTGAACTCCTGGGCTTAAGTGATCCTCCTGCCTCAGCTTCCCAAGTAGCTGGGACTATAGGTCTACTGTACCTGCCACTTATTTATTCCACTTAAAATTAGGCCACTGTACCTCCCTAATTTTAAAATTTTTTTATAAGGATGAGGTCTCACTATGTTGCCAAGGCTGGTCTTGAACTTTGGGCCTCAAGTGATCCTTCCGAAGCATGAGTTTACAGATGGCAGCCACAGCATCCAGCCATATGTGTGCTTTTAGCCCTTAACAATACATTTCTTTTAAACAGTATGACCTATTTTTTTCTTAATTTAGGGATTCAAAGATGAAAACAGTATAATCACTTTCCTTAATTGACTCAATGTGGACAAAGAAGCAAAGACACAAATAAAAATATATGATACAATGTGGTAAATGTACTGATACAGATATAAACAGGGTAGGAGAGGACCACAGAATAGGGACAGAAACACTGAACACAGCTGAACCCAGCTGGATTTCTATTGTGCAGAACTGTGTAGTGTGTGTGTGTGAAGTGGAGTGAAGGAGGGGTAGTGGAGTGGATGTTTGAATGGCAAGACATTCTGTCAAGGCAGGCTTATTGGAGGTATGGATGTCTGGAAGAAGACTTAAAATACGTGATAGAGTTATGCAGACAAAACAGAGATGAGAAATAGCATCAGCAGGCCAGATAAAGCAAATCAAAGGAGGGGACAGGTGATATTGTCCTTCCTTGGAAGTACTTCCTTTGAAGTACCTTATATTATAAAGAATTCTGTACTGCTAGAACAGAAACATCAGAGTGAGAATTGGCCAAAGATAATTCTCGTTCAGTAAAACTGAATTCAATCACAGACGATCTTTTCTACCACCTCTGGAGTTTTGAAATTTACCATGGTGTAACTGGGCAGCCTCTGAATCACTAGAGGCAGGGGAGTTGGCATGGCCATACTAAACTTATAGAAAACAGCTCTACAATAACTTCCCTATTAGTATTACCAAAACAAAAAATAAATAATTTTTTAAAATCTGAAAAAAAAAATTTGCCCCAAACTCAATTGACGATAACAGCTTACCTGAAATAATGCAAACTGTTTATAGTCCTTATTTATTTCACTTAAAGTGCATGTTCCTTAATTTTTCTGGAGACATAGTAAGTTTAATACAAGATACTGCTCCAGACCTCACAGGCCCAACAAGTACCATATAAAGGAAATATAACCAGACCACCCAATAAGCTATAGAGTTGTAGAAAGGCAAAATTGTCAACACTAAATAATATGGGAAAGTTCTCTTTTTTTCCCTTTTTAAGACACAGACAATTATGCATTTCTATAAAAAATTCAAAAATTTAGCTGGGCATGGTGGCATGTGCCTGTGGTTCCAGCTAATTTGGAGGCTGAAGTGGGAGGATACCTTGAGCCCATGAGGTCAAGGCTGCAGTGAGCTCTGTTCCTGCCACTGCACTCCAGCCTGGGTGACTGAGTGAGACACTTTCTCAAAAACAAACAAACAAACAAACAAAAAAACAAAAAAACACCAGAAAAAGAAAATTATAGACCAAACATTATGGGACATTAAATTACTTAAATCACAGAGGAATTGGTCCTAAGAAAAGCAGAGATTTTTTTGTTATTGTTGAAAGACATACAGGCTTAAATATATAAGCAGGACATATGTATTAGTCCGTTTTCATGCTACTGATAAAGATATACTTAAGACTGGGCAATTTACAAAAGAAAGATGTTTAATTGGAGTTATTGTTCCATGTGACTGAGAAGGCCTTACAATCATGGTGGAAGGTGAAAGACACGTCTCAATGGAGGCAGACAACAGAAAATTGTTTGTGCAGGAAACTCCCCCTTTTTAACCCATCAGATCTTGTGAGACCCTTTTGTTATCATGAGAATAGCATGGGAAAGACCTGCCCCCATGATTCAATCATCTCCCACAGGGTCCCTCCTACAACACGTGGGAATTATGGGAGCTACAAGATGAGATTTGGGTGGGGACACAGAGTCAAACCATATCAGCATAGGGATAAACCATGGTTATCTTTTAATTCTTCCTGTCCTAAGTAAGACAATCATATAACAGAATTGGATATATTTACAAAAATCCGACATTTTCTTGGTTTATACTTTTTTTTTTTAAATGGAGTCTCACTCTGTCACCCAGACTGGAGTGCAGTGGCGTGATCTTGGCTCACTGCAACCTCTGCCTCCTGGGTTGGAACAATTCTCCTGCCTCAGCCTCCTGAGTAGCTGGGATTACATGTGTGTGCCACCACGCCCAGGTAATTCTTGTATTTTTAGTATAGACGGGGTTTTGCCATGTTGGCCAGGCTGGTCTTGAACTCCTGACCTCAAGTGATCCACCCACCTCGGCCTCCCAAACTGCTGGGATTACAGACATGAGTCACCATGCCCAGCCTGGTTTATACATTTAACTGCCTAGTAATAATTACATTTTACTTTAGCCACCCAAATAAAGGACTAAGTTTCTTTACTCTTATTTTACCCTTCAGAAAACTGAGCCTTAGTGTATGGCAAATAAGAGTTCAAGTCCTGTGCACACAAATACTTGAAAAACAAAGGCAACAGTGGCCTGTGTTGTTCTATCCGTCTTTACTGCTGACATCCTGATTGGTGATAGATCTGGATTCTTTAAACTGTCCCCTAACCGGGATTTTTGTCTGTTTTGAAACAATTCTTTTGCTTACAGCCAGATTTTGTAAAGCAATGTGGTACACATTGTGCTTTGACTTTATTATATAATGTTTTTCTGGTTCATTTCTGGTGGTCTATCTGCTCATCCACCTTCTTTGCACTATTGTTTCATGGCTCCCATACTGATACATTTCTGTTTATTATGCATTTGGGAATGTCTTTTATGTCTCACTCATTTGAAGACAGTGAAGGAGAGAGGCCAAGGGAATAAACTGAGTTCATAGACTAATAGATGTTCCATCGTTTCTGAACCCTTGAGACCAAGAGTCAATTCTGTGAGCTTTGGTCTTCTGTGGGCCAGCAGGAAATCACTTGAGTAGAAATGATGCCTTTTATGTCACAGATCCTTTGGAGGCCATTTTATGTTTACTTCTTTTTAGCTAAAATAAGGAATTCAACTGAAGAAGTGATTGCCATCCTTCATCCTAAAATTGTATTTTTACAAAAATATAGTGTCCCTCTATTTCTTTATTCAGCCAGTCCTTCCGTGGTACTCTGCAGCCTCAATAGGAGTTCAGGACGCTTTGGAAATTTGTCCACTCACCTAGAACAAGTTGATCTTAACAAAGAAATTCTAGTAAGAACACTACCTTTTGGAAATCTTTGTGGTCAGTCCCTCTTTAGCACAGGTTTGTTCTCAACTTCCTTACTTAGCCTATGTTCACTACAACTGGCAGAATTTCATAGATTAAGGTTTGCAGTTGGGCAATTTTTCTGTTTTTATAGATGACATTTACTGTTTCTTGTTCTTTCTGTTTTGATTTGGTTTCAGAAAGACAAGTCTTACTTAGTTATTTTGACTGGAAGTGCATAGTAAACTTTCTAAAACATAACCCTGATTTCTTTGCCTAAAATCTTTGTGTCTCTACTCTCTTCAGTGTATATCTAAATTTCTTAAGTTGGCCTTTAACATCCTTCATGACTTAACCCCTGCCAACTTTCCTGTTTCATTGATCAAAACTATCCTTTCATATTTTTGACTTGAGATAGTCTGAATCATAACCATTCACAATTCCCTGCACATATACAAATCTTGTTCACTTCGAGGACTCTGTCATCCATCTGGAAATTTCTTTAAAGGGAGATAAGACAATTTTAAGTTGCTAGTGTGTAGGTAGGATAATTATTTTAAATTATAATTTCTATTTATAATGGACCGTATGGTAAAATAACAGTTATATTTTTGTTTTCCAGGGAATTAGTTTTAAAAAACAGATTCATTACCATCTCAAAAAATTAATATTATAAAAACTAATCATGTCTATCTGCTCATCTTTTAGTAATGTGTTAATAGTAGAATGAACAGTGATACTTAGAAATAACTGGTATAGAAATTATTCCATTTTTATTTGATTTTGTATTAATTAAAGTACCAGCAGGTACTCAATAATTAAACCCCCAAATTTTAGAAGTTTATTTCTCCTTTATGCAACAGTTCATTGCAGGTGTTTCTGAGTGGGGGGGTGACTTACCTCCATATGGTAATTCAGGGACTCCAGTTACCTCTATTTCATGGCTCTGGAATATTTTAGTGTCTCAGAGATCTCCACATGCAGATGGAAGATAAAAAAAAAAAGAGAGTGTAGAGAGAGCATCTGCTCTTTTTTAAAACCCCAAGATTGTTACTGAAACAGTAGGGATTTGGTCTAGGTTCTGCTGCTTGCTGCACAGAAAGCTGATTACTGAGACAACGATTATTGCCAAGGAGGAAAACTTTAATAGCATGCTGCAGCCAAGGAGATAGGTGATAAGTCTCAAATCCATCTCCCTGACCAACTAAAATTAAGAGTTTATATAGCAGAGAATAATTGTAACAATGTGTAAGAAAAAAGGAACTAGGAAGGGGTAAAGAAGCAATCATGATGAATGAGGGATCTGGCATGTGGTGATCTGGTCAGTTTCAGTTATTTTATACTTTTCTATTGAGAAGCCACAAGGTCGTTTTCCTGAGGAAGAAACTAAGGTAAAACAAATGTAAGTTTCAAGCTTCAAGACCAGAAGGGTCAATTTCTATGTTTATCCAAAAAAACTGTCTATGGGACTATTGGGTCAATTTCAAGGTTATACTATATACATAACTTGAGCTATTTCTTTGATGAGACCTAGTTACAGGGTCAAACCTGTATGCAAGGGGAGAGATGGAAAATTAATCTTGTGACTGAGAATCTTCTTCCCAGGGGGCAACTTCATGTCACAGAAGAGGAAGCATGAATGTTAACCATCTGTAGCATTGTTGTATTCTAGCTGGTATATTTTCTTTGAGTTAATCTTTCAATATATTTTTCTTTGAAAGTGTGTATCCCAAAATTAATACTTTATCAATGTCAAATAATACATCAAAGAAAAGAAATAATTATATGATTATAAGGAGGATCTGTTACTTTTGTAACCTGGCAAAACAAGGTGACAACATCTTTTTCTCTCAAGCCCAGTTAGAGTAGGCAGATTGTTCTTCAATCTTCAGAGATAGGGCTTAATTGGCATAAGTCAATCAATATATTCCATGCTTTGGATAATTGCAATTGATCAAGAATGATTATATGCTCTATTTGGGGCCAATAAGAGTCAAGTTTGAAAGTTTTATTTGACTTCTGCAGATGATGGAAGTTTTGGGGTTTTTTGTTGTTGTTGTTGTTGTTGATTTTGAAGCTGAGAAGACATATGGTATGGAACGACTGTCCATTTTCTCTGCCAGGAGATTTTATCTAAAATAGAAGGAGAGAAATTATCTAAAAATAAAATCAGCACAAATAAAATGAGACCAAGAGACACAGAGAGAGAAATTAGACTCTGTTTACATATTTTGGGCATTTGAATCAACCAGTCATGACGTCTACCATTGAGATTTTTTTCTGAAAAAAAAAAATCTTACATTTTGCTTATGTATATTTTTGTTCATTTTTTCTATCAATTGAAATACAAAGAATTCTGAGTGACACACATGCCAAATTGGTATTGAAGAGTCTAGCAGATAATGGCTCTTCTTCTTAAATCTAATTGAGGAAAACAAATAAGTGACCTATAAAAGCCAAAAGAAACAGCCAAAAAACTGAACATCCCAGATATGATTGCTAATGGACTTTCTTCATTATTGATAAATATGTTTCCACCTGAGTAAAGATACTAAGTTGCCCAACATCCAATAAGAACAAAAACAAAACACTAATTTTAAAAATGAATTATAAGCTATTTGAATTTGAAAAGAGCGAAGGGAGAGTTTAAATATTGTCTTCTGGTGGCAGAAAAAGAGAGCTAAATAATACCTCGAAATTTCTTAAGCTATCCAAGTTTAGTCTAGAAAAAAATTGCAGGTACACAATTAATTGGAACATGATTTTGCTGCCATTATGCAAGATATCAAGATATGAATTGTGTGTATATGTATATATGTCTATTTTTATTCATTTTCCTATTAATTAAAAATTGTGTGTGCATATAGATATGTATTTATTATATATTCTTTAAAAATATATGTGTGTGCATATGTATATATACACACACATATATAAAGAGAGAGAGCCTTCTATATTAGAAAATGATGTAAATATCAACATGCCACACTCTTTCTTGACTCATATTTGGTATGGATTAAAGGACATAATAGGCTATGTGAAAATATTTTTATATACAGTTATGCATCACTTAACAACAGGAATGCATTATGAGAAGTGTGTCATTAGATGATTTCATCATTGTGCAAACATAAATAGAGTGTACTTACACAAATCTAGGTGGTATAGCCTACTACACACCTAGGCTGTGTAGTATAACCTATTGCCCCTAAGCTACAAACCTGTACAGCATATTACTGCACTGAATAGACAATTGTAACAAAATGTTTAAGTATTTGTGTATTTAAACATAACTAAACATACAAAAGGGACAAGAAACATAAGGTTTTATAATTTTACAATACTACCATGATATATGTGGTTTCTCCTTGGCCAAAATGTCATTATGCATCACATGCTTATACTATAAAGTGTTAAACATATGACAAGTATTATTGGCATGGGTATAATTATGCAAGAAATTAAATGTCCACTACAATTCTAGTGGGAGAATAATAATAAAATCTTAAGTAGACTGGAAAAAAAGTTTTTAAAATAGCATTGAAAATAGACATCCAAATTCTTTAAAAATCAAAGTACATTACATGCAAATTAAAAGCTTTTAAAATTTGCTTAAGCCTATAAAGGACTTTTATCAAAAAGCATTATTTTGAAAAACACAGAATTGCAAATAAGAATTACATCATTAATATTATAATGTATTTATTTTTTCAAAAAGTCACCAAGCATTTATGCAAAACACTCAAAATTACATGACATAAAATCATGCAGAAGATATGGTGCTGCCTAAGCACTGCAGGAATTGGAAAGCATTACAAATGGAAAAAAGAACACTGATTAAGAGATGTATAAATATATTTAAACATACTGTAAAAGAGAACAGCAATAACAAATCTACTGCTTTTGTGTGATTCATATTACGTGCGAGACTATTCACTTATCTTTGTTTAGCACAGGCTTCACAGTTTCTTTTATTTCAAACCTTTCTGTGTGAGTAAGACAATTTGGCAAGCAATTTGAGAGGTGGTTGTAACATATCCTACTAAATTGTCTTGTTTTTCCCCACAAAACACTTAAATAGCACAAATACTTTGTCAGATCAATGGTAACATACTGTCTAAATGAAGGACTGAAGACCATTAATCAAATCTAAATCAAAGTGAATGGCTTAACTTTACTCCATTTGGAGATTAAATCTAAGCATTTAAATAGACACACCATAAAAATACATAGTTTACAATATTTTCCATCCATTCACTTTCTATGTGACAGTAATATTGCCAAATTTGACGTTTTATTTTGTTCAAGATCTGTCTTACAAATTATTTTACCAAGTATTTTATACACTTTAATCATAGAAAAACAATGTTAAAAACAGTTCTATAAAAAGTAAGAATTGAAATGTCGAGGCCTGAGGGAAGTCAGCCACAAACAAATTGAAGAGTCTGTTTGTGCCCTTAGGAATTTCCCAGGGTCTGGACGTTCCATCTTCTTGGGAACCACATGGTTCTCCCTGTCTCCCCCTTGCTTATAAGCCTCCCCTCACCCAGATGCAGACTATGAAGGAAACTCTGGTTCAGAAATCCGCCATGACTTGAGCTCTGCATTTCTCTCTCTCCTGTCTAACTTGACGCCATTTACACCTGTCCTTCTCCCCTGTCCCATTTCATCACTTTTGATGGATTTTCTGGTTTGCCATCCTTTTCTAGCTGCACTCTGTTGTTTAGCTGATGGAGAGACGACTGCCCCTCCATTTGCTAGCTGTTCCCTCTATTGCTGACCTTCTTGGTCAGAGTCTTCTTCATGTAAACTCATCAACCAGGGCTGGTTGTTTGCTTAATTTTCCAGAGCTTGTTATAGGATCCTTGGCCACACACTCCTTTTATTTAAAATCTACAACTTGGAAATAGTTTCTAGGGTTAAACCTTCCCCCAAGAGTACACGGAAATCCTCACTTTCTACTAAAGATGAAAGGACACCTTCCAATTCTTATTTCATCAAATTAAAAGAAGGTGAAACTGCAAACAAACCTTTTATTTAAAAACAAAAATATAATTATAATATTTACCTTTATATTATTCAAGTACTTCTTATTTACCAAAAATTTGTTATGAACTTTCTAAGTAATGTCGCTAATTATTATTTAAAAAGTAATTGGCCTGAAATTAACCCCTGAGTTTAAATGTAAATACGCTCTAGTAGATTATGGTGAGTAAAAAGACAGCACCCAAGAGTTTTAAAGTTTCTATGTAGTAAGCAATATAAATTAAATTTAAACTTTGAGTAATTTTCCTTAATCTGAGATTGGGCCATGGCTGAAATAAATCTTTCAGTAACAGCAACAACAAAAATATATGTCAAACAAGTACTTATCTCATTTTTCTTGGGGAATAACACTGGATGCATGCTGTTGATAAGTCCAGATAGGTTTGATGGGAAGCATGACTTTATAAATATTTTAGCTGTCACAGCTAAGTCTTGTTCTACTTGCTTGAGATTTTCTTTTGTCTGATAGGTATACATAGCGTGCACTGTGACCAACACACTGTTGTAGGATCTTGAGATATTTTTGTGTTCTTGTTTGAGCAGTTACTCCTGGGAAATGAGAAGCTGAGATGAAAATGGCTGGAAAAGGCCATAAAAGACACGTGAAGATTATGACAAGTAGCTTTAAAGAGTTTGCCAAAATTTAACTTGGATGGGAATGTTAATGTCCTACACACGATATTATTTATGGAAGTAATAATGTCAAACTATAATTTTTTGATGTCATTGTTATATTTAATCAGCATGGGAGGACATGACTTGTTGATGAGGTTTTCCCTGGGGAAAGAAAAAAAATACTTCCAGCATAAATATACTGAAATGATGCTTAATTTTGGAAGTGAGGTGAGAAATGGGGAAGCCAGACTTAGATTAGATGGAGAAAAACCTTTTCTCTTAGAAATGTAAAGATAGTTGAATTCCTAGACTATGGCTATTTTCAAAAGTCATTAACCACCCACAACATGGGAAAAACTCATCTAAAACAATTCCTGATGTTCTTTGCCCTTAAAACTTACTTGGGATCAGTGACAACTAATCCTTCCAATGGTTCAGTCCAATAGACTTGGAGCCGTCCAGATTCCTTTCCTTTACTCACATTGTACATCCAGTCTGTAAGCTCTTGTTATACTATGGAGACACTAAATAAAGAACTAGAAACTGACTAAAATAACTTTAATTATTTCACTGAAAATTAGTCAAATATCTACAGCATCCAAGAGAGCACCACTCAAAAAAAAAAAAAAAAGTCAGCTTAAAAACATACAAGAAATGTCACTGTGATTTGACTCACCCTTGTTTCCTCTCCTCCCTAGCACAATGTGTCACAGTTTTAGGGGACTGACAAGCTGGCCCCACTCCCCATCAATGAAGCACAGAAAGCCGAGCTGATCAAATTTGCAATTTCCACCTTGTGTAAAGGCTGACTAAGTGATTTGTCTCTGTGTCGCCTAACACACATCTCAAAAGGCTAAAAGCCAGGAGAAGCAATGGATCCAGGTTGTGAAAATGGACTACAGACTTTCAGATGCTTGGGAACAAGATATTTCAGACAGAGAAATACAATAGAATAGTAAGGCAGTAAGAAGAAGCAAGGGGCAGTAAGAAGAAATGGGGCAGTAAAAAGAAGCAGGGGCCAGGGGTGAGACTATTAGGGAAGTTAAGATATTGAACTGTTATTCAATATCTTGAATTGACTGTTAAGGAAGTTAAGATATTGAAAAGCAACTTGTGTATACCAGGGAATTGGAAAAAACAAAACACAAACAAAAAGCAAACAAATCAGAAAACAGACACACACACTTCCAAGAAAGACACATGCCCAGAAAAGGCCAGAAAAGAGCTTAAGACTCCATGCTGGTTGATTAGAAAATGTCTTCCCATGCAAGAGCCAGTCTGCAAACATGGAGAAAGGTAAATGTCTCTTCAAATGTGTAATACTATGGTTTGAATATTTGTCCTCTCCAAAACTCATGCTAAAATTTAATTGCCAATACAACAGTATTGAGAGATAGAGCCTTTAAGAGGCCACTGAGTCATGAGGGCTACTCTCTCATGCAGTATTCATTAAGGATTCAATGCCTTAATAAAGGGGCCTTCAGAAGTGGACTCTCCCTTTGCCCTTTTGCTTTCTGCATTGTGGTGACACGTAAGAAGGTCCTCATAAGTTGGCAGCACCTTGATAATAAACCTTCCACCCTCCAAAACTGCAAGCCAAAAAATTGTGTTAATTATAAATTACTCAATCTGTGGTATTATAAGAGCACAAAATGGACTAAGACACCCAATGTTTAAAAAAAAATTACAAGGCACACACAAAAAAAGGAAAAATATGATCCACTTAAGGGAACAGATATATAAATACATCCTCAGAAAATGTTTCTGAAGAAACACCAACTTTAGGCTTACCAGAAAAGACTTTAAAACAACTGTCTTAAATATGCTCAAAAAGCAAAAGAAAAACAAATAACTAAAAGAAATCAGGAAAAAATATATAGGAACAAAATGAGCATATGAACAAATAGAAATTATTTTTAAAGTACCAAACCGAAATTCCTGAACTGAAAAATGTAATAACTGAATTGACATTTTTAACCACATGGGTTCAACAGCAGATTTAAACCAGCAGATTAAATAATTAGGGAATTTAAAGACAGGCCATTTGAAATTATCAAGCCTGAGAGGCGAAAGGAAAAAAACAATAAAGAAAAGTGTGCAGACCCTAAAATTTATGGGACACCACCAAGAAGACCAGTATATATTTTATGGAAATTCCAGAAGAAGAAGTGTAAGAGAAGGGGTGGGAAAGCTTACTGAAAGTAATAATGGCTAAATACTTCCAAAATTTAGGGAAATAAATAAATATACAAACACAAGAAGCTCAAGTTCTAGGATAAAACCAAGGAGACACACTACAAGACTCATTATAATCAAATAGTTGAAAGCGAAAGACAAAGAGAATCCTGAAAGAAGCGAAGAAGTAACTCTTCATGTACAAGGGATCCTCAATAAGATAATGAGCAGATTTCTCAATAGAAATGTTGCAGATCACAAGGCAATGGGTAATATATTTAAACTGCTGAAAGAAAACAAGCAAACAAACAAAAAATAGTGTCAGCAGAGAATTTTATATTTAGCAAAAATGTCCTTCCAAATGAAGAGAAATTGACATTCTCAGATTTTTTTTAAGCTGTTGACTACAAACAGACCTATCCTACACCAGGAGTGAAATGTAATGTATAAACTATGAATTTTGGGTGATTTTGATGTGTCAATATGGGTTAATCAGTTGCAACAAATGTACCACTCTGGAAGGAGATATTGATAATGAAGGAGGCGATACCTGTGTGTGCCTAGGGATATATGAGAAATATTGTACCTTCCTCTTTTCTTCTGAACCTAAAATTGCTCTAAAAATAACATCTTTAAGAATTAAATAAAAAAAAAACAGAAAATGTTAATGTAGATGTGTCAAAATTTAAACTTTTGTGTACTGCTGGTCAGAATGTAAAATGAGGTAGCTGCTATAAAAAACACTGTTGTGGTTCATCAAAAAATTAAAAGTAAAATTACCACATGATCCAGCTTGACACCTTCTGAGTATATGTAAAAATAATCGAAAACAGCATCCCACACGTGTATTTGTATGACTGCTTCACAGAAGCATTACTAGTAATAGCTGAAAGTTGGAAGCAACCTAAGTGTCCATTGACAGATGAATGGATAAACAAAATGTAGTAAATACATACAATGGAACATTATTCCACATTAAGAAGGAAGTACATTCTGGCACATGTTACAACATGGATAAATCTTGAAGACATCATGATAACGAAATAAGGCAGTGATTAAAAGACATACACTGTATGATTCCACTTATAGGAGGTACCTAATACTCAAGTTTATAGAGATGAAAAATAGAATTGTGGCTGCCAAGCACTGGAGGAAGGGGATAAAGGTGAGTTATTGTTAATAAGTATGGTTTGACAAAATAAAAACAAAATGTTCTGAAAATAGATGGTGATGATGTTTGCACAACATGAATGTACTTCATGTTACTGAACTGTAGACTTAAAAATTGTTAAAAGGACCAATTTCATGCTATGTATATTTTAGCACAATTTAGAAGAAAAAACCAGGCAACATCTTACCTCAAATTCTTTGCATTGCCTCTTTCCTCTGTTCTTGTCCAAATTTATCAACACAATGAATTCTCTCAATGCTTCCTGTCTTTACTCAAATGTAATGTCTCAATGAGTCCAACACCGAGCATTCCATTTAAAATAAGACTGTGCCTAGAAACTCTAAAGCTTCTTGAACCCAATATAGTTTTGATAGCACTGATGATGTTCTACCTGACAATTTTAAAAAGTATATTAATTCTATTATATTTTTTTCTATTTCCCCAGTAGAATGTAAGCTTTGTAAGAGAATGGATTTTTATCTGTTTGCTTACTAGTACAATTCCAGCAACCATGACACTGCCTGGCTTACAGTAGGTTCTCCACAACCTTAATCTTGAAAGCTGAATGGAGGTTGCTGCATAATTAACTACATATTTAATGTCATGCCTGAGCCTTTTGATCCTAAAGATGTCAAATTTAGTTATAAGCTATGTGTGGGTTTTACCTCCTTCCCATTCTCAATGAGTCTTTATCAAATGGTACAACTTGATCTCAGCTGATATTGTGGTGAATTAGCCAAATATCTATCCAAGCTTGAAAATAATATATAAAATAAAAATGCATTGAGGGCAATTTAGGAACACCCAGAGGTAATCATACAAAGCCAACTAAAGACTTCCAAAGAATCCCAAGAGAAAAACAGATCAGTCTCCAGAATGAGATGGATGGTCAAGGTGTAAGCAGTACTTAGATTTCATTTGTAGCCATCTTCAGCATGTACCCAGAAATACCTGGTGTTGTGGAAAACTGGATTTCCAGCAGTCAAGAAGAATGGGATCCTACAGACAGTGTTTTGTAATATTACCAGAAATCATACTCGAAAGTTGATGAAGGATAGAATTGTCCAAATAACCTCATAATGATGCAACTCTAAGATATATTAATAATTTTTTTTTGAGATGGAGTTTCACTCTTGTCACCCAGGCTGGAGTGCAGTGGTGCAATCCCGGCTCACTGCAACCTCCACCCTCTCGGGTTCAAGCAATTCTCCTGCCTCCACCTCCCGAGTAGCTGGGATTACAGGCACCTGGCACCATGCCAGACTATCTTTTTTTTGTATTTTTAGTAGAGACAGGGTTTCACCATGTTGGCCAGGCTGGTCTCAAACTGTTACCTCAGGTGATCCACCCACCTCAACCTCCCAAAGTGCTGGGATTACAGGCATGAGCCACCGTGCCTGACTTAATAAATTTTAATATTATAAACAGGAAATTTTAAGCACAAAAAATGTCCCACTGGTTATTCAAATATGTCAAACTCACAGACATCTGATTTTAGCATAAAATTCTCCAATGCATAAATAAATTGCTGTCTTCTTTTAAAATTTTTAAATAAAGTATAAAATTAATTATAAAGGTTAATTTTACTTTCAGGAAGCCAAGAATTAATGAGAAAACCTAGACAATTAAAACTTTCCTGGATGAATCAGATTACACCCTCTTCTGTACTATAAATGGAAATGTTATAAAAAACAGTTAAGAAAAGAAAAATGTATATTAATAAATATGTAAAAGAAATTAAAAAGGGTACAGAATACAAGGTAACATATAATTCATGGTTTATATCTTTCAAAATGTATTATATTTTAATGAACATCTTTTGAATGTAGTCAAGTAATTTTTCTAAAGCATTTTTCTTAGAGATTGGAATAAAACATTGGTGAAAATATCATCAAATATCTATTTCAGTTGTAGAACACAATACATCTGGGTATAACTTACTGGTTTACTTATTAAATTTCTCATCTTGTTCTGATGAGCAGAAAAGTGCTTTAATATAAATGCAGTTAAGTTTGTCATTTTATATCTACTCAACTTAGTTCCCCAAATTTATTACTGGTATCATCAAATTGCTCTTAGCAATTTCAAAGCATATGAAGAAGAAAAATGTATCAAGTCGAAAAGGAAGTAAAACTTTCCTCAACATAATTAATGTCCATTTTTATTTTTATTGTCTGATCAATTATTTTAAAAGGTTACAAGATAATGCAATAAAATTTTGATTGATATGCATGGCCAGTATCTCAGAACTTCAGGAGGTAAAACAAATTTCAATAAAAACAATTATAATAAATTTTACCAGAGGAAAAAAAGAACTTAGTTCAACTGAGATTTCCTACTGGGCTTAAAAAGTATGAAATTAAAGGCAAGGAAAAAATCATTACAAGCTATTTCTACAGGATGCCCAAAAATGTGCTTAATTTACTTCATTTCTAGACTCATTTTCAAGCTAGTTACTTCACCTTGTGCTACTCAAAACAACTATTTAATGTAAAGTTTTCTGGTGATTATCTAAATGGTTGCATATAAATGTGCCTTTTCTGGTTAAAGATTCACCCTATGCTCATGTATAAAAATAGTGGGCAAATATTAGCCTAATAATAATCCATGTGCTTGTTTACAGTTCTGCTCTTGTAAATAAGACTTTTCTGTCTTAATTAGAGACACTAGCCTTCATAGATACAATCAGTATAGAAAAGCTATCTGAATTAGATTTTAAATATATTTTAAATATAGATAAGTGGACTCTATGAATAATTGCATGTGATATATAAATAGTTTAAGTAAAATTCTCTTACAGTCAACCAAAACTGATTGAAGTAATAAAAGTTTTCCTGTTTTGATTGAAAACAAGAAAAAAGGGGCAGGGAAAAGCTATGTACCATTAACTACAAAATGTAATAAATAAACAGTGGTTAAATACTCGCCCTACTTCTGACCCTTTGCTAGGCCCTAGAAATACACATGCCATCTTTTGTGTCAAGTATCAGTAACCAAAGTACCAGACAAAGTTTACTGCAGAAGTGAGTCTTGCTTGTTAAAGATGTCTTAGGAGTTAATCAACAGAGGCAAAGGGCGGCACGTAAGTGCAAGGGACACTATTCCCAGTAGAGCCAATCAAAAGAGAAATAGCACAGCTTACCCAGGAAACTAACAAAGTGCTATCAAATTGCTGCCGGTGAAGTGAAAGGAGAAAGATAAAGCAGGAAAGGGAGGAAGAAACCAGAGAATTAGAACTATACAAGGAGCTTGAATTATATTTGGTGGGTAATGCAGAGCCATTGAAAATTTTTACCAAGAAATTATATTATCAGACATAAAGAATTATAATTGTTTATGAAGCAAAACAACAACTAAAGATCACAATTTCCCAAATAGCCATTAGGAAATACTAAGAACATGCTTTCTTCTGTAATCTTATTTATTATTATTTTTTAATTTTTCACTTTTCATGTCTCTGTTGCTCTAATTACATAAATGGAATTGATAGCTGCCACTCAAAACATTGCACAGAAAAAACTCAACTGGACCTTAAAACCTGCGTGGGAGAAACAGGCTTAAAGGCAGATTCGAACACCATTTAACTGAGTATACATGAATTCAACCACTCATCTGTCCGACCTTCATAGATTATTTCATCCACTCATGCATCAATCATTTATTGATTGCTGAGTTCACTTACAGTAACAAGCTCCTTCTTATCCCTAAGAACTGCATATGTTTTTTCCTTTCCATAGTGCTTGATAGCATCCACGTTTCAAATGTAACAAGTCATTTCAAACTTACCTAGTATGTTTCTTGCTCTAGACCAGAGATTGGCCATTTATTTTTTCAAGAAGCCTTTTGGTTCCTTTGGGTAGAATATTATTTTATCTGTCTCAAGGGGTGCTTGTTGTTACTGGCTTGGTCGTTATTTTCAGGACTTGTCATTGAACAGAGCTAATAAATATATTTATTATTTTTTAAAGATAAAATACATCATAAATCTATAATGATATTTTCAAATATTACTATATCAAAAATATATAAATATACTCAGTATGATTCAATTTATATAACAATAAAGAACATGCAAAACTAAATAGTTTTATTTGTGGATGATTCATAAGATGGTGAGCCTATCAAAGAAAGCAAAAAAGTTTTCTCTATACCTGGCATAATTAGCTTACCTCCATGCATGAAGAGGGCTGCAACCCTAAAGTGGTGCTCAGAGGCCACTGGGAGTTTGGGCAATGCTCTTTCCCTTTATGGAGGTAGTTACATAAAGTAGCTGTTAACTTTACAGCAATTTACTGATTTATAGATATGTTCATAAAATTGTCCATGTGCCTTAGAGTTCTCGGTGTAAAGTCAATTTTAAAAAGTTGCTGTGTCCTGCTCTTCCTAACTTTTCTCAAGCATCACTAATTTTTTTTCCCAACATTTTCCCCCAACCATTTCAGTGCTATTTTTGAATATTTCATGCTTTAAAAATTTCATGCACAGCATCTGGAACTTGTTGGAGGAATGACACCAAAGGCTCATAATAAATAAATATACTCTGGCTTGTTTGATTAACTTTACTAGAACTTTTTCTTTTCCTTCTCTCTGGCACTATTGGCTCACACATCAGAAATAAATAACTCCATTTGCTTTCATTAAATAAATTATCAAGATTATACCGTCCCTGTCTCTGTGTCTTAGTTTAAGTTCAGTTTATTTTAGACTGAAAATGTTTGCTGAGCACTTTATTGGTGCTCTGAACTGTGCCACACACAGAGATGGCAGCATGGAGCACCTGCCCTTGAGGGAGTTTTGGTTATGATGAAGAAATATGTTGGGAAGCTAAATTGTCGGAAAGGCTTTTTCACTCAAAGTCTGCAGCCAGTTGAAAGGCAAATGCTATTTTTATTTATTTTCAGATTTGAAATTGTAAAAAAATCTGGTTCCTGGTATATATCTTACTTATCATTGACTAAAGTATCTGGGAAGTGAAGGTAAGTATTATCGTTTAATTCACTTTAGTAGACTCGAGAAGCATATCACTTTCATGATTTTTTTTTTTTGTCTATTTGTTTGTTTTTGTTTTTATTGTTGCTTAGAACTGGTAAATGGTGGTGCTGGGATTTGATTTCTGGATGTAATTCTCTTACTGTACATACCATTTATTCCAAGAGTTTATTCCATATTTTTCTATTAGCCATACATGATGCACTAACTCTACTAATTATTACAAACATAATCCAATCCCATCTGTGAGCCAAGCCTTTGCCTGGATCTATTTGGTATTTCAGTGTAATGCCCAGCTTTGTTTTTACCAACCCTGTTTTTAGGCTTGTTTCCACCTGAATTGACTCTCCCTTAGCTAAGAGAGCCAGACAGACTCCATCTTGGCTCTTTCACTGGCAGCCCCTTCCTCAAGGACTTAACTAGTGCAAGCTGACTCCCAGCACATCCAAGAATGCAATTAACTGATAAGATACTGTGGCAAGCTATATCCGCAATTCCCAGGAATTCGTCTGATTGATAACGCCTGAAGTCCCGAGTCTATCACCTTGTAATAGTCTTAAAGCCCCTGCACCTGGAACTGTTTACGTTCCTGTAACCATTTATCCTTTTAACTTTTTGCCTACTTTATTTCTGTAAAATTGTTTTAACTAGACCCCCCTGCCCTTTCTAAATCAAAGTATAAAAGAAAATCTAGCCCCTTCTTTGGGGCCAAGAGAATTTTGAGCGTTAGCCATCTCTCGGTCGCCAGCTAATGAAGGACTCTTAATTCATCTCAAAGTGTGGTGTTTTCTCCAACTTGCCTGGGTACAACATAATGGAGGCCCCAGTGAGATATTAACACCACCTGGCAAGAGCTGGTTTCACTCCGGGCTCCCCCGGAAGGACGGCCGGCTCGGAGTGGGGGCACCACCTGAGGAAACAATTTTTAGGTTCCTGAACAGTGACCGTCTTCCAGAGGAGAGCGGCTCGACTACCGTATCAGTGCCCTAAAATTCAACATCTGAGTCCTCAGCTTCTCACCCCGGGGTCAGGTAGGTCAGATTTGACTTCGTTCTGGTTCTGGTAAGAGGGAAGCAGCCCTGACGAGGGTGTCCCTCTTTTGAGTCAGCCTGTTACTCTAGGACGCTGGTGTGTTGAGCCTTGGTTTTCTGGTAGGCGCCTTTGTGTCTTGGTTTGGGTGGGAAGTGGTCCCGATGAGGACCCTCCCTTTGACTTAGCTTCTAAGACCCAGGACGCTTGGTTTCTGGCAGACCGGTCTCTCTCTCTCTCTCTCTCTCTCTCTCTCCCTCTCTCTCTCTCTCTCTCTCTCTCTCTCTCTCTCTCCTCTCTCTCTCCTCTCTCTCTCTCTCTCTCGTGTTCAGGTTTCTTGGAAAATCCCCAGGAAAGAAAAAACGTGTGAATCGTGTGTGAATGTGGGAAGACAAAGGCTTGCGTTTGTCTTCCAGTTTGTAGCTCCGCAGAGAAAGCTACGGAGTTCGAATGGCCTTCACCTGCGGTTCCGTGGCAACCTCATAAGGCTTAAGGCAGCATCGGACATAGCTTGATCTGAGCCGGGGGTTTATACAGGCCTGCGAATGCTAAGAGGAGCCCAAGTCCCCTCAGGGGGAGCGGCCAGGCGGGCATCTGAATGATCCCATCACGGGACCCCCTTCCCTTGTCTGTGTAATAAAGAAAGTAAAACAGGAAAACTGTCATAATTGTTTACATGCCCTAGGGTCAATTGTTTGTTTTATGTTTATTGTTTTGTTCAGCGTCTATTGGCTTGTTTAATAGTTGTCAAAGTGTTACATGTCAGGATGTGGATATTGTCCACGACATCTGGGTAAAAATTTCTTCAAGGTTCTTAGTGCTGATTTTTTGTCACAAGAGGTTAAATTTCTCATCAATCGTCTAGACTGGCCACCACAGTCTTGTCTTTTCTGTCATAAACAAGTAAGGTGTTGTTACGGAAAACGGTGTGGAAAACATTCACCTGATTGGAATTTCTGGCACCATGAAGGTTGCGGGTATTTAGATTGTCATACCCCACGTCCTAGTGATTGGTCTTCTAAACTGAACTGGTGGTGGGTTCAAAACTGCCACCCTGCAGACCTTCTTGCTCACCCTTTTTGTCATTCTGTAACTTTTCCTGTGCCCTTAAATAGGACCTTGTGTAGGGAAACCTACGGCCGTCATGCTTTACTTCGTTTAGACTCCTATTCTGTTCCCCTGTGGCTACTCTCTCATCATAAGTGAGAGGTGACAGCGTGCTGGCAGTCCTCAGAGCCCGCGCTTGCTCTTGGCACCTCCTCTGCCTGGGCTCCCACTTTGGCGGCATTTGAGGAGCCCTTCAGCCCACCATTGCACTGTGGGAGCCCCTTTCTGGGCTGGCCAAGGCTGGAGCCCACTCCCTCAGCTTGCAGGGAGGTGTGGAGGGAGAGGCGCCAGCGGGAACCGGGGCTGCTTGCCGCGCTTGAGGGCCAGCTGGAGTTCTGGGTGGGTGTGAGCTTGGCGGACCCTGCACTCGGAGCAGCCGGCCGGCCCTGCCGGCCCCGGGCAATGAGGGACTTAGCACCCAGGCCAGTGGCTGCGGAGGGTGTACTGGGTCCCCCAGCAGTGCCAGCCCACCAGCACTGTGCTCGATTTCTCACCAAGCCTTAGCTGCCTTCCCACGGGGCAGGGCTCGGGACCTGCAGCCCGCCATGCCTGAGCCTCCCACTCACTCCATGGGCTCCTGTGGCGGCCCGAGCCTCCCCGACGAGCACCACCCCTTGCTCCACGGCACCCAGTCCCATCGACCACCCAAGGGCTGAGGAGTGCGAGCGCACAGGTGCGGGACTGGCAGGCCGCTCCACCTGCAGCCCCGGTGTGGGATCCACTAGGTGAAGCCAGCTGGGCTCCTGAATCTGGTGGGGACATGGAGAGTCTTTATGTCTAGCTCAGGGATTGTAAACACACCAGTCGGCACTCTGTATCTAGCTCAAGGTTTGTAAATACACCAATCAGCACCCTGTGTTTAGCTCAAGGTTTGTGAGTGCACCAATCGACACTCTGTGTCTAGCTGCTCTAGTGGGGCCTTGCAGAACCTTTATGTCTAGCTCAGGGATTGTAAATACACCAATCAGCCCCCTGTGTTTAGCTCAAGGTTTGTGAGTGCACCAATCGACACTCTGTATCTAGCTGCTCTGGTGGGGCCTTGCAGAACCTTTATGTCTAGCTCAGGGATTGTAACTACACCAATCAGCCCCCTGTGTTTAGCTCAAGGTTTGTGAGTGCACCAATTGACACTCTGTATCTAGCTGCTCTGGTGGGGACGTGGAGAACCTTTATGTCTAGCTCAGGGATTGTAACTACACCAATCAGCACCCTGTGTTTAGCTCAAGGTTTGTGAGTGCACCAATCGACACTCTGTATCTAGCTGCTCTGGTGGGGACGTGGAGAACCTTTATGTCTAGCTCAGGGATTGTAACTACACCAGTCAGCACCCTGTGTTTAGCTCAAGGTTTGTGAGTGCACCAGTCGACACTCTGTATCTAGCTGCTCTGGTGGGGCCTTGCAGAACCTTTATGTCTAGCTCAGGGATTGTAACTACACCAATCAGCCCCCTGTGTTTAGCTCAAGGTTTGTGAGTGCACCAATTGACACTCTGTATCTAGCTGCTCTGGTGGGGACGTGGAGAACCTTTATGTCTAGCTCAGGGATTGTAACTACACCAATCAGCACCCTGTGTTTAGCTCAAGGTTTGTGAGTGCACCAATCGACACTCTGTATCTAGCTGCTCTGGTGGGGACGTGGAGAACCTTTATGTCTAGCTCAGGGATTGTAACTACACCAGTCAGCACCCTGTGTTTAGCTCAAGGTTTGTGAGTGCACCAGTCGACACTCTGTATCTAGCTGCTCTGGTGGGGCCTTGCAGAACCTTTATGTCTAGCTCAGGGATTGTAACTACACCAATCAGCCCCCTGTGTTTAGCTCAAGGTTTGTGAGTGCACCAATCGACACTCTGTATCTAGCTGCTCTGGTGGGGACGTGGAGAACCTTTATGTCTAGCTCAGGGATTGTAACTACACCAATCAGCACCCTGTGTTTAGCTCAAGGTTTGTGAGTGCACCAGTCGACACTCTGTATCTAGCTGCTCTGGTGGGGATGTGGAGAACCTTTATGTCTAGCTCAGGGATTGTAACTACACCAATCAGCACCCCGTGTTTAGCTCAAGGTTTGTGAGTGTACCAATCGATACTCTGTATCTAGCTGCTCTGGTGGGGACTTGGAGAACCTTTATGTCTAGCTCAGGGATTGTAAATACACCAATCGGCACTCTGTATCTAGCTCAAGGTTTGTAAACACACCAATCAGCACCCTGTGTTTAAATCAAGGTTTGTGAATGCACCAATTGACACTCTGTATCTAGCTGCTCTGGTGGGGCCTTGGAGAACCTGTGTGTCTAAACTCTGTATCTAACTACTCTGATGGGGACGTGGAGAACCTTTGTATCTAGCTCAGGGATTGTAAACGCACCAATCAGCGCCCTGACAAAACAGGCCACTCGGCTCTACCAATCAGCAGGATGTGGGTGGGGCCAGATAAGAGAATAAAAGCAGGCTGCCTGAGCCAGCATTGGCAACCTGCTCGGGTCCCCTTCCACACTGTGGAACTTTGTTCTTTTGCTCTTTGCAGTAAATCTTGCTACTGCTTACTCTTTGGGTCCACGCTGTTTTTATGAGCTGTAACACTCTCCGCGAAGATCTGCAGCTTCACTCCTGAGCCCAGCGAGACCAGGAGCCCACCGGGAGGACCAAACAACTCCAGACGCTCTGCCTTAAGAGCTGTAACACTCACCGCGAAGGTCTGCAGCTTCACTCCTGAGCCAGCGAGACCACGAACCCACCAGAAGGAAAAAACTCTGAACACATCTGAACATCAGAAGGAACAAACTCCAGATGCACCACCTTAAGAGCTGTAACACTCACCGCAAGGGTCCACAGCTTCATTCTTGAAGTCAGTGAGACCAAGAACCCACCAATTCTGGACACATAAGGACAATCCGAGTGGTCCTTTTTCCCCTCGTCCCTGCCCCCTACCCCACACATCTCGTTTTCCAGTGCGACAGCAAGTTCAGCGTCTCCAAGACTTCGCTCTGCTCTCACTCCTTGAATCCGTAAAGGAAAAAGCTAAATTTGAACTGTTTGCCTTTGAATCGTGGAGACATCAAAAATATTTAGGATAAAGGTCTAGAGGAAGATGAAGAGGAAGAACGCCTAGATCAAACGGGCCCGGAAGACCTCGGGCTGGCCCCTAGTCCGCCTCCCTTAATCTTAAAGCTACAGCAATGTGGCAAGTGGTATTAGCTGTTGTGGTTTTTCTGTTCTTTCTGATCGTGTTAATTCTGTTTTTCCGACACTCCAGCCCCCCAGGGAAAGAGTTTCTCTGCCCGTGTTGGAATCTTATATCTCTGCTTAAGACTTTGCTAAATTGCCTTTAAATAATAATACCAATAAAAAATGGGAAACACTTTCTCCCAGCCCTGTAAGGGTTGGAGCCCTCTCCAGTGTATGCTAAAAAATTTTTCTTTTGGTTTCAGAGGATTATGGAGTCCGCCTTAAGAAAGGCAAGCTCCGGACACTCTGTGAAGTAGAATGGCCAAAGTTTGGAGTTGGGTGGCCCTCTGAAGGGTGGTTGAATCCTATAATTGTTCAAGCCATGTGGCGGGTTGTTACCAAAGCTACCGGCCACCCTGATCAGTTTCCCTACATAGATGAATGGTTAAGTTTGGTTAGTAATCCTCCTCCATGGATCTGTTCCTGCACCATTCACAATTCCACCTCCAAAGTCTTCCTGAGCCAGGCCACGTTTTTGCCTCGACCCTCAGCCAGTTCGGCTCCCTCTGTACTGCCCACCTCTGAAGAGGAGAGTGTCCCTCACCCAGTCCCACCGCCTTACAACCAGCCTGCTCCCTTAGGGTTGTCTCATGTTTCCTCGACAACATCTCCTGTGGGCTCGCCATCCATTGCCTCCTGACTGCGACCACGGCGGGAGGAAGTAGCCCCTCTACTACCACTGAGAGAGGCACAAGTCCCTCCGGGTGATGAGCACTCAGCCCCCTTCCTGGTTTATGTCCCTTTTTCTACTTCTGACTTGTATAATTGGAAAACCCATAATCCTCCTTTCTCTGAAAGGCCCCAGGCTTTGACCTCACTGATGGAGTCCATACTCCGGACCCTTCGGCCCACCTGGGATGACTGCCGACAGCTCCTTTTAACTGTCTTTACCTTGGAGGAGAGGGAGTGTATCCAAATAGAGGCCAGAAAGCACTTCCTTGCATCAGCCAATAGGCCAGAGGAGGAAGCTAGAGACCTCCTAGAGGAGGTATTTCCCTCTACTCGGCTCAGTTGGGACCTAAATTCCTCAAGTGGAGGGAGAGCTTCGGACGATTTTCACTGGTATCTCCTCGTGGGTATTAAGGGAGCCGCTCGGAAACTCATAAACTTGTCTAAGGCGATGGAAGTCGTCCAGGAGCCCGATGAGTCAACAGGAGCATTTTTAGAGCGCCTCCAATCGGATTTACACCCCTTTTGACCCGGCAGTCCCCGAAAATAGCTGTGCTCTTAATTTGGCATTTGTGGCTCAGGCAGCCCCAGATATTAAAAGAAAACTCCAAAAACTGGAGGGATTTGCTGGAATGAATGTCAGTCAGCTTTTAGAAATAGCCCAAAACGTTTTTGACAATTGAGAGTTTAAAAAACAAAAACAAGCAACACAAGCAGCTAAAAAGGCCGCTGATAAAACATTCAAAAGACAAACAAAAATCTTAATGGCGACTATCCAAGAGGTACAGGATGAAATGGCCCATTAATTTGGGCAGACACAGAAGAACAGACTTTTGAAAACCTAAAAAAGGCATTAACTGAAGCCCCTGCTTTAGCCCTTCCTAATATCTCAAAGCCGTTTCACCTGTTTGTCCATGAAAGCCAGGGAGTTGCTAAAAGGGCTTGAGACTCCAGACTTTAAGACCCTGGAGATGCACAGTGGCCTATTTATCTAAGAGACTGGATCCTATGGCCTCCAGATGGCCAAGTTGTCTGTGAGCTGTAGCGGCTACAGCAAGCCTAGTCCAAGAGGCTGATAAGTTGACTCTGGGCCAAAATTTAACTCTTACGGCTCCTCGTGCTGTAGAGGCTTTACTTCAAAGTGCTTCTGGCAAATGAATGTCAAATGCTCGCATCCTGCAGTATCGGAGTTTACTGTTAGATCAGCCTCCTTTGACTTTCTCTCTTATGTGGTGTTTAAATCCAGCTACTATCCATGACTGTCAAGAACTGTTAGAAACCACCGAAACTGGCCGACCCGACCTTCAAGATGTGCTGCTAGAGAAGGTGGATGCCACTGTGTTCACAGACAGTAGCAGCTTTCTCAAGCAGGGAGTACGAAAGGCTGGTGCAGCTGTTACCACGGAGACAGATGTTTTGTGGGCTCAGGCTTTACCAGCAAACACCTCAGTGCAATAAGCTGAATTAATCGCCCTCACTCAGGCTCTCCGATGGGGTAAAGCTAAACGTATTAACGTTTACACTGACAGCAGGTACGCCTTTGCTACTGTGCATGTACGTGGAGCCATCTACCAGGAGCACGGACTACTCACCTCAGCAGAAAAGACTATCAAACACAGATCAAGCAGCTCTCTGGTGCACAGCCTGTGCCCAGGTAAATGCCAAGCAAGGTCCTAAACCCAGCCCAGGCCACCGTTTCTGAGAAAACTCACCAGAAGAAAAGGAGAAAATTGACTTTACAGAAGTAAAACCACACTGGGCTGGGTATAGATACCTTCTAGTACTAGTAGACACCTTCTCCAGATGAACTGAGGCATTTGCTACCAAAATCAAAACTGCCAGCACGGTAGTTAAGTTTTTACTCAATAAAATCATCCCTCGACACAGGCTGCCTGCCGCCATAGGGTCTGATAATGGACCTGCCTTTACCTCGTCCATAGCTCAGTCGGTCAGTAAGGCATTGAACATTCAACGGAAGCTCCATTGTGCCTATCGACCCCAGAGCTCTGGGTAGGTAGAACACATGAACCACACCCTAAAAAACATGCTTACAAAATTAATCTTAAAAACTGGTGAAAATTGGGTAACTCTCCTTCTTTTAGCCCTACTTAGAGTAAGATACACCCCTTACTAGGCTAGGTTCTCACCTTTTGAAATCATGTATAGGCGGGTGCCGCCTATCTTGCCTAAGCTAAGAGATGTCCATTTGGCAGAAATATCACAAGCTAATTTATTGCAGTACCTACAGTCTCTCCAACAGGTACAAGATATCATTCTGCCACATGTTCGAGAAGCCCATCCCAGTCCAGTTCATGAACAGATGGGCCATTTGTTCCAGCCAGGTGACCTGGTGTTTCTTAAAAAGTTCCAGAGAAAAGGACTCACTCCTGCTTAGAAAAGACCTCACACCGTCATCCTCTCAACGCCAACGGCTCTGAAGGTGGATGGCATTCCTGCTTAGATTCATCACTCCTGCATCAAAAAGGCCAACAGAGCCCAACTAAAAACATGGGTACCCAGGCCTGGGTCAGGCCCCTTTAAACTGCACCTAAGTCCGGTGAAGCCATTAGATTAATTCCTTTTATCTACCTCACTTGTTTGTTTTTGCCTGTTATGTCCTCTGTGCCTTCCTATTCCTTTCTCCTCACCTCTTTCACAACAGAACGTGTATTTGCAAACACCACTTGGAGGGCCAGTACCTCCAAGGAAGTCTCCTTTGCAGTTGATTTATGTGTACTGTTCCCAGAGCCAGCCCGTACCCACCAAGAGCAACACAATCTGCCGGTCCCAGAAGCAGAAAGTGTCAACTTTGCAGCAGGATTTGGACACTCCGGGAGCCAAACTGGATGTGGAAGCTCCAAAGGTGCAGAAAAAGGACTCCAAAATGTTAACTTTTACCTCTGTCCTGGAAATCACCCTGACGCTAGCTGTCGAGATACTTATCAGTTTTTCTGCCCTGCTTGGACATGTGTAACTTTAGCCACCTACTCTGGGGGATCAACCAGATCTTCATTCCATAACTCGTGGTTCTCGTCCTAAATCATGAACTAAAAAGAATTGTAATCCTCTTACTATAACTGTCCATGACCCTAATTCAGCTCAATGGTATTATAGCATGTCATGGGGATTGAGACTTTATATCTCAGGATTCGATGTTGGAACTATGTTCACCATCCAAAAGAAAATTTTGGTCTCATGGAGCCCACCTAAGTCAATCAGGCCTTTAACTGATCTAGGTGACCCTATGTTCCAGAAACACCCTGACAAAGTTGATTTAACTGTTCCTCCACCATTCTTAGTCATAAAATATACACTCCAAAAGGTGCGAGAAAATCTAGATAGGCACCAACAAAAATAAAAAAATAACATCCCCTGGTATCAAAGCATGTTCAGCTGGAACCCATGGCTAACTACTCTAATCACGGGGTTGGCCGGACCCCTCCTCATCCTACTATTAAGTCTAATTGTTGGGCCTTGTATATTAAATTGGTTTCTTAATTTTGTAAAACAACGCATAGCTTCTGTCAAACTTATGTATCTTAAGACTCAATATAACCCCCTTGTTATAACTGAGGAATCAACGATTTGATTCCCAAAAACACAAGTGGGGAATGTAATGCCCAACCTTGTTTTTACTAACCCTGTTTTTAGGCTTTTTCCACCTGAATTGACTCTCCCTTAGCTAAGAGAGCCGGACAGACGCCATCTTGGCTCTTTCACTGGCAGCCCCTTCCTCAAGGACTTAACTTGTGCAAGCTGACTCCCAGCACATCCAAGAACGCAATTACTGATAAGATACTGTGGCAAGCTATATCCGCAATTCCCAGGAATTCGTCTGATTGATAACGCCCGAAGTCCCGAGTCTATCACCTTGTAATAGTCTTAAAGCCCCTGCACCTGGAACTGTTTACTTTCCTGTAACCATTTTTCCTTTTAACTTTTTGCCTACTTTATTTCTGTAAAATTGTTTTAACTAGACCCCCGTCCCCTTTCTAAACCAAAGTATAAAAGAAAATCTAGCCCCTTCTTCAGGTGGAGAGAATTTTGAGCGTTAGCCGTCTCTCGGTCGCCGGCTAATAAAGGACTCTTAATTCATCTCAAAGTGTGGTGTTTTCTCTAACTTGCCTGGGTACAACATCAGAGCCTTCTGAATGTGAACTCACCTGTGGGAAGCCCAGGACACTGGAAAAGTTAGGCTCTCACATATATAAATACAACCCAATATACTGACTGGAGCTGAAAATATCACTTATTCACACAAATGGGCAGCTCTTACGGGCAATACTGTTGCCATTAAAATGAGATAAAAGCAAAATGCAATCATTTTTGAGGCAATACAGTATAGTTGAAAGAATCTTAGTTTGATCATTGGAAAAATATGGACTCTTATCCTGTTCTGGTGCCTACATGGGGTGGTGAGTAGGCAGTGAAACCTTGACAGCTTCCCATTGCTTTGCTTACCCAACTTCCTCCACATTTTGGACCTAGCCTCACTTTCTAGAATTTTAATAAATTACTTCAGTGTTTCCTCCCTCCTTTCCGTAACACCCGTTCCTACTATCACCAAGCGCACATATCCTAGTCTTTCTGGATTTTGTACTGAGCAGGCCATGCACTCTTCTGGCTCAGGGCTAACATGGGGTCAACTCTGAGGAACTGTTCTTTGATTTCTTGCCTAGTCATCTAAGCAGTGTTTTAGTGTCTTTGTCGAGGTAACACACAGACATGAGATAAACTGACCTAAATTCCCTAACGCAAATAACTTGCATATTATGCGAGGACTCTCAATGAAATTAAACACAAATGGATCAAAGACAGTAGACAGTGAGGAAGTATCTGACTGCTGAGGTAGTGCTGGAGTAGGAAAACTTAAACTGTAATTGACAAATTGCTGGAGGCCTGATGTGGACAAGTCTGTGAGTTAATGACTCTGCAGATGGGGGTGTGGGAGGCCACATTTTGTAATTTTTACTTCCTGGAGTTCTGCTAGGTTGTCATAGTGAAATCAGAGAAAAATTCCCTTATGTTTCCAGAAGGAATAAGGAAAAAGTGTCCAGTTTGAAATACACCAGAGTATTCTATTCTTAATAAGGCTTTCCCTCAAGAGAAACTATTTTACTAATGCCTTCCCTACTGAGATGTCAAAAAAAAAAGAAAGAAAGAAAAGAAAAGAAAGCCTAAACAGCCTGTGGGAAAGAACAATACCCAAGTTCAGCTCCTCCAGCCATCCTGTCCCACCAAAGGCTTTGAAAAACAAAATAAAAGGAAAGGCATTTGTAAAGTTAGCAGCCAATGGGGCATAGGCTCACTATATAACTAATATCTAATCACAGTACCTCCCCACAAACCTCACCACTATGTTACTAAAAGCATATTTGCCAGAGTTCCTTTGACACAGTACATCATGTCCAGCTTTCAAAAAAAATTGCAAGACATATTATAGGAAAATGGAAAACAGGAGCCAGTTTGAAGAGACAAAGCAAGCTTCAGGACCAAACTCAGCTATGGCAGACCTGTTGGGATTATTAGACAATGAATTTAAAATAACTATGATTAATATGCTAAGGGATCTAATGGAATAAGTAGACAGTATGCAAGAACAAATGAGTAATGTAAGCAGAGAGATGGAAATTCTAAGAAAAATCCCAAGAGTACTAGAGATCAAAAACAGTGTGACAGAAATGAAGAATGAATGAGCCTATTAGTAGATTGGACATGGCTAAAGAAATAATCTCTAAACTTTAAGATAGGCTAGTAAAAATTTTCAAAAATGAAAAGTAAAGAAAAAAGATTGAAAAATAAACACTACAACAGACTATTCTAGAACTGTGGGCCAGCTACAAAAGATGTAACATGCATGTACTATTAAAAAAAAAAGAGAAAAAGAGGAAAGAGAGGAACCTAATAAATTTTTGAAGCAGTAATGATGGAATATTTCTCTAAATCAATGTCAGACACCAAGCCACACATTCAGGAAGCTCAGAGAACACCAAGCAGGATAAATGCAAAATACAAACAAACAAACAAAAGCGTATACCTGGTCATATTATGTTCCAACAACAGAATATAAAAGATAAGAAAACAAATCTTGAAACAAGACACAGGCAAAAAACACCTACCTAGAGAAGAGTAAACTTTAGCATTATATTCATCTCTTTTTCAGAAACCATGCAAGCAAAAGAGAGTGAAGTGAAATATTTAAAGTGTGGAGATGGAAATCCCAACTACCTAGAATTCTGTATCCTGCAAAATTATCCATTAAAAGTGGACAATCAAGGACTTTCTTAGACAAATAAGCATTGAGGGAATTTGTTGTCTGTAGACTTGCCTTGCATGAAGTGTTAAACAAAAAATAGCTCCTCAGAAAAAAAAGTAAATTGAAGTAGATTAGAAACTCAGGCCCATATAAAGAAAAGAAAATCACTGGAGAAGAAATAAGTGAAGGTAAATACAATGTTTCACCTTTCTTTCACCACTTTTGTAAAAACAAAAATATGTATATTTGTTGTATGTATGTAAAAAAGTGGAATGTGTGTCCAAAATGTGTGTATAATGTATGTATAAAAGTGGAGTAAATGACAACAGTGATACAAGTGACAGGAGGGGAAAATTGGACAGTTGCACTAACTAGGAAGTAATACAGTGTTATTTGAAAAGGATGAATCAGCAAAGCACAGAGGACTTTTAGAGAAGTGAAATTATTCTGAATTGTACTATGATGCAGAGATATTTTATTATACACTTATTAAAACTCATAGAATGTACAATCCCCAAAGTGAACCCTAATGCAAACTATGGTCTTTGGGTAATAACATGTCAATGTAGGTTCATCAACCGTCACAATTGTACCACTCTAGTGGGGGATGTTTATAGTGGGGCAGTGTGTGCATGTGTGTGATAAAAGGACATAAGGAATAACCCTCTTCCTCTTCCTCTCAAGTGTGTTATGTATCTTCCTCTCAATTGTGTTATGAACCTAAAACTGCTCAATGAAAATATTCTATTTAAAAGAAAAATATCAAGGAAAATACACCACAGAGTTTTCTGGCTTTGGACAACAAGTTAGAATAGGTGTAGCACTAGTGCTGGAGATTTGTGTAAGATGTAATCTAGTCTTATCTAATCAAATGAGATGTAATCAATGTGGAAATTTTTAATTGAGAATATTTATTTGTTATCATTAGTAGTAATAGTTATAGCCTAATTTAGCCCTTTTGGAAGAAAGTAAGTGTCCTAAAAGATAGTGTCTTAGATTGGTTTGACTCAAGCCCTACTGCTGATGGACAGGTCATCAGAGCAAATGACCATTCATTCATTCATTGAAGAATAATTTATTTGATGCCTATGTAGCAGACATTTCTTTGGAAGTAAACTAGACACATGAACTTTTACTGTCTGAGGCTAAGCTATTTGACATTAGACCAAATTTTTTCTCCCTCACTTTCAATTTCTACACCTATTAGAGGCATGTGCTCACTTTGGACTAGACTATATTTAAATTTTATCTGTGCTTTTTCTATGTGACTATATGTAAGTTAATTTGAGCTTTCTGAGCCTCAGTTTCCTCATCAGTATAATGGGTACAACATAACTTATTTCCTCAGGCTGTGTTGCAGTTGAAATTAAGATAGCTGACCATTGGTGTGGTTGCTACTGATTCATTCCTGCTGACCCTAGGGATCCTATGTGGACCACCAATGGGTGCTACTTAGGGTGTGGCTCTTCACTCCAGAGAAAGGTAGGGGCATGGGTGGTGGAGGTCAGGATTTATAAGGTCAGTGTTAACATAGGACTTCACTCTGTCTTGGACTGCACACCAGAAAGGCCACTCATAGGATGCACACATAGAGAGCAGAGCTACCGCCTAAGGATGAGACAGGAGCCCAGTTCTCATGAGGCAGCCACACCAGTGCGGTGGTGGTGGTGGTGTTGGTGCTCCAAGTTGTGGAGAAGCTGCAGGTGCCATGGCCACAAGCCTGCACCCTTAGAACCTATAGAAAAAAATTGAAAGAACTCTCTACCTTGTCTATTATAGTAGAGATCCTTAAGGAGACTGAAGTTGAGATAATAGTGAATAGCTTCAGAAAAAATTACGAGCATTTTAGGAGCTTTGCCAGAGATTCTGTGTGGCAGTGGAAGAAGTTCTTGTGCAATGAAACAGTAAACCTGATGAACTGGACTTGAAGAAGAGCAACTCCAGAAAGTGCCACAGGATTGCTCTTTAGAAGGAGGAGGAAATGAAAACTGAAAAGCCTCCAGTCAGACAGCTGAGACCACAGACAGAAAAAACACAGAACACTCTCAGAGATTAAGCATCTCCAAAGCTTCTCAAAGTCAGAAGAAGAGAAATGAAAGAATGCGGTTTCACCAACCTTCACCAGCTTATCTTCAGACCAGGAATCTTCTGATTATGGCCGTGTTCGGACCCCATCATCTATCAGTCCTCAACCGCTGTCTGTGGACTATTAGAGATTCCTGGAGGAGGACCCATTGTTCTACACCAGAAACCTGGAAAAGGCCACACTAATGCCCTTTAGGACAGATCAAGGGTCAGCCAAGAAGGGGCTGTGGGTCAAAGCAAGAAGCAAAACCTTTCCATAAGAAAAAGTACTTCATTGAGTGCAAGACTGATGAGAAGTTCTGCTTTGATCAGTGAGAAATCACATGGGCCCTCTCCAAAGATGAAAACCAAAGGCCACCCTCAGAAGATGACACAAAATAGAAATGACCCTATAGTGTCCCTTGTCTAGAAAGAGAAAGAAAGAGAGAACAGCAGCATCAAGACGGTTTTACCCCTCTTGGAGATTGCTTGGATAGATAGCCAGTGAGACTCCTACGTGAATTTGAGGAAGCAGATATGGATGATGAATTTGAGCAGCCCACCGTGTGTATCTCAGCCATCACTAGTCTTAGAAGAAAAATAAAAATACCATGAAAAATTCAGACACTATACTTAGAAAAAAAAGTTGAAAGAATGATTCTAAAACCACGAGTAAAATTTGGATCAGTTCAGAAATTACCTAAGGTAAACAAAAATAAGTCAGAGAAGCTGCAGCAGTTTGAAGCTCATCCAGCCAAGCTGAAAAGGGTCCCCATACCAGTATCGCCTGACGTTCCATTTCTCAGGACACAGGCTGATTGCCATTCACCTCCATCCGTCTCCTTGACTCATGTCCTCCTTCCAACCAAAGTGAAAAAGCACTCTCTTCACCCTGGGAAGAAGAAGAAGCTGGATCTACTCTACACAGAATTAATTCTAACCTTCAGGCATGTTCGGGTTCTAAATATCCCACTCCTCCAAAATTATTAGCATGCACCAGCCTTGCGTCCAAATACTTAAAAGCATCAATTCAATCTTTGAAGTGGAATGAATCTCCTATTTTGTTCTAAAACACATTTTAAAAAGATGTATGCCTCATCAGTTATATCACCTACAGAAGTACAATCTTGTACCAGTTGAAGAAACAGATCAATTAATAAAAATTCAGTCATCAAAACTTTAAAATTCCATGAAAGGCTGGAAGATCATGAGTTATCAGGAAATGTACTTGTGTTTCAGGATGCCTGAGAGCAGAAGCTGTGAATGCTGATATGAATAGATATTCATCTCCACATGCCAGTTAGCCCAAGGGCTGACAAGCAAAAATTGACTCTGTCAACTCTGTGGCTAAACCACCTTACCATGTTTGAAGGGGGCAAGAGAAGTTTGGGACAGGAGGAGCAGCTGGTCAGCAAAAGTAGATTTTTGTGATATATAATCAAGTATCAGGCTGGAAAAAGCCAATGTATGTTACCACTTGCAAGTGATAAGCCATATCACACAGGAAGCAGTCACACTTCCTCCAACAGCATCAGAAGCAGCAGTAGTTTTATCCTCATGCCTCAGAGACTGGTCTGTGCCTTCCTGAGCATCAGCAGTACCCACTTGGTGAAGGCAGTCAGCAGCATGTGAAAGAAGATTGCCCTGATGATGGCTAAGACAATTCATGATTTCAAGAACAGATTCTCCCCATGGCAAAATGGGGGCTTGCCTTGGAGATGGGATTTGCAAAGGAGAAATACAAGACAATGGGGGTTGGGGAATGGAGCTTCCAAAGGAGAGTAGAGTCTTTTGCTTTGTGGATTCTTTTGGGTTCTGAATCCTGCACCTTTGACCCTGTATTCCATAAACAGTCTCCCTGCCTGGACAAAGTGTCAGAATTCTGAAGAGGGGAAGCCTCAGTCTCATTGAGGATTTTAAGGTCAATTATGTTTTTATTGTTAGCTGGCCTCTTTGTCAACAATAAGACATAGTTTTAATTAATAAATATCTCCAGACTGTATTTATACTAACAACATTAGACTGGGTATGGTTGTGCGTGCCTGTAATCCCAACTCCTAGGGAGGCTGAGGCAGGAGGATTCCTTGAGCCCAGGAGTTTGAGGCTGCAGTGAGCCATGATCATGTCACTGCACTTCAACCTGGGAAACACAGTGAGATTCTGACACAAAAAAATTATTTATATATATTATATGTGTGTGTGTTTGCATATATGTATTAAATACATACATAAAATCTATCTATATATATTTATCTATATATATCTATATATATTTATCTATAGATAGATATATATCGATATATATATAGATATATATCGATATATATATAGATATATATATCTATATATTATGTATTAAATATATACATTCAACCTATCTATATATATATTTAAGTCACAGTGTCAATTGAAATGCAGGTCTATTTGACTAATAATGTTCTCTTAATCTCTGACTTGTCTGTTTTTTCAAACCAATCTCATTACACTATTTGATAAACATACGTCTCACCCTCTCTGAGGACAAAGTCATGCATCATTCATCTTTGTATCCCTGATCTAGTTTCCAGTGAGTAATCAATAGATATCTGTTGAATGATAATGTGTGTGTAAGTATATATGTGTGTGTGTGTGCAAATATATATATAGAGAGTAATTGTTTTGTTTTGCTTTTTTTTTTGCCTTTGTCATGTCACTTTATGTCCTTTTTGTCTTTTATCTAACAAAAACATAAAGCCAGCCAATTCATACATAGGACCCCTTCCAGTTCATCTTCTAGGATTAGCTTATAATTTAGAAGGCCAACACCTCTCGTTAATTTACATGTTCTGTTTTAAAAGACAATGAAACTAATAATATTGTACTTTTATTTTCTTTGTTGATTTTCTTCTCAGTTTTCTTTGCTATTTCTGTAATTCCTTCTTCATATATATGACTATGTAGAATCTATTATTATCAGAGTAAGACCCCTGGACCCAAAGGGAATTGCAGAGGTGAAGTTCAATAACTCAACAATAGCCTATGTAGAATAATAACGGAAGACAAACAGGATGGAATTTTTAAAATATTCTCAGCAGATGTGCCCCAGTCACCACACCTACTACCTTGGCACTACTTAAGATTACCAGAATTCAGAAACGTAAGAAATGAAATAAATGAGAAGTGAGGGGTACACTAAGTTAATTATAACTGGATTTCTGCTATCCTGGTAGAATAATAGCTGAATATAAAAATAAAATTGTGTTATATAGATGAATAAAGAAAGAAAGCTATATTCCTTGTATATCTGAGTTAGTGGAATGAGATTTATGCCAGTTATAAATAGTTGCTGGTGACTTTATTGTGTCTTCCCTTGACAACCAGAAAATCAATATTTATGGAGTCTGTTTAATGAGCATAGTATTAGTATACTTTTCGTAACTGCAAAATGAAAAGCCGCACTTTCTTTAAACCTGGAAATCTATTCAGGAAGATAGTTTACATACTAAGGGACAAACTTAGAAGTGTGATTCTTCAGTCATAATTTTTCAGGGATATTGTGGAAAAGTGCTTCTTGGGTCCGAATTTACTTTTAATTAACAATGTTCTTTAGCACCATTGCTTTAAATGGCATTTCCCACTTATCACTTGTAAGTTCAGCACGACACAAAATAAGCAATTTGTATGTATTCTTAAATACTTTTAAGGTCATGTCCCTTGTGCTTTTCTGTTTAGAGAGCAACAGGTATAATTTAGCTTATTTATAAAAAACAGAGGTTTTTAATTTTCTAAAGTTTCAAACCATTTATGTTGGCAAGAAGTTAAAGTACCTTGATCAAGCCAGGCTAGAATAAAAACGTTGAGAATGTCCACATTTGGCCAGGCACGGTGGCTCATGACCATAATCCCAGCACTTTGGGAGGCCAAGGCGGGCAGATTACCTGAAGTCGGGAGTTCGAGACCAGCCTGACCAACATGGAGAAACCCTGTCTCTACTAAAAATATAAAATTAGCTGGGGATGGTGGCACATGCCTGTAATCCTAGCAACTCCAGAGGCTGAGACAGGAGAATTGCTTGAACCCGGGAGGCTGAGGGTGCAGTGAGCCGAGATCGTGCCATTGCACTCCAACCTGGGCAACAAGAGCGAAATTCCATCTCAAAAAAAAGAGTCCGTATTTATAACTGGTAACCAACCTGTGTTTGGAAATGGAAAATAATGTATATCTTAATAAGCCTGAAAAATAGTTGGAATGAAAAATGGCTATTGAATGAATAAAATAATTATATATTAATTAAAATGAGTTAATATTTAGGACACATTTGAGAACTGAAGGATTGTGGAGGTTTAATAAATGGACTTTTTTTTTTCAGAATAATTCTTAGGCAAAAATGCAAATATTTTTTCACTTGCAAGTGGTAACATACATTGTCTTCTTCCAGCCTGATACTTGATTATATATCACAATAATTACTGGTGAGATCATAGAATGGAAGAAATTAGATGAAAAAGTGATATATAAAGAGCGTTTTTCATAGTGCTTGAACCTAGTAAGTATTACATGTTCTGACTATTGTTATTATCATTGCTGCTAATACTACTGACAATATACATCCTCACATAAAGCAAAAATGTAAAAATATCAAGAATTTAAAATTTAAAAAGTCAAAATCTACTTCAAGTCTTTATTTGAATATGACATGATTATCTATGTAGCAAACCCCCAAAATCTACAAAATCCTCATAGAACTCGTAGGTATTATACCAGTGTCACAGAATATAAGATCAATATATAAAAATTAATTGCTTTCCTATATACTGGGAATAAATTTTTGGAATTGGAATTTTTAGAAATACTATTTACTATAGTACCAAGAATGAAAGTACTTGGAGATAAATCTATCTGTCTATCTATCTATCTATCTATCTATCTATCTATCTATCTATCAATCAATCATCTATCTATATCTATCTATCTAATATCTAATATACTAAAAACAACAGAATGTTGATGGAAGATCAAAGATGATTTAAAGAAATGAAGAAATACTTTGTTCTCATAGATGGGAAGACACAATATTGTTAAAATATTAATTCTTCTTAACTTGATCTATAGATTCAATGCAATCTCACTCATAATTGCAGCAAGGCTTTTTTTGTATGTTAACAAACTGGATTTTATAAGTTATATAGAAATATAAAACATCTACAATAGTCAACACAATACCAAAGGAGAACAACAGCATTGGAAGAATCTCACCACCTTATTTCAAGACTTATTATAAAGCACAGTAATTCAGAAAATGTGGCATTAGTAAAATGTTAGACACATAGGTTAATGGAAGAGAATGAAAAGCCTAGAAATTAAACTCACACAAATGTAGTGAAATAAATTTTTACAAAGTCACAAGACAATTGAACAGAAAAGGTTAGACTTTTTAACAAATGGTTATGGAACAATTGGAAGCTTACATGCAAAAACAATGAACTCAGACCCAGAACTTATACCTGAATAAAAAATCAACTCAAAGATTGATTGTGGACTTGTATGTAAAATCCAAAGCTATAAAATCTCTAGAAAAAAATAGAAAAGAAATCAAATGTGTCCTCAGGTTTGTTGATACATTTATAGATACAAGAACAAAAGCACAAAATCCATAAAAGAAAGAGAGAGAAAAAAAGACAAGTTGAAATTTATTGAAATGACAAATTTCTGTTCTGTGAAAGACGCTATTAACAGAATTAAAACAAAGCACAGACTGGGAGAAAATATTTGCAGAAGACATATATGATAAATAAAACTTGTATCTAAAACATAGAAATCTTGGAACTCAATAATAGATATTTTAAAAAGTCACTTAAAGTAGACAAAATATCTGAACAAAAAGCTCACCAAAGAAGATATTTAGATTTAAACTAAGAATATGAAAATATGAACAGCATCATTTTTCATTAGAAAATTCAAATTAAAACAACCAATAGATACCTCTAAAAACCTATTAGAATGGCTAAAGTAAAAAAATAACAACAACCAAAAAATCCCTGATACTTCAAATTGCTGGCAAAAATGAGAAGTAAGAGTAATTCTTACTCATTGCTAGTGAGTTACTCTCCCTCATTGCCAGTGAATGTGCAAACTAGTACAGTCCTTTGGAAGAAACTTTTAGAGTTTCTCACAAAGTTAAATGTAATTTTACCTTAGAAACCAGCAACCATGCTCCTAGGAATGCACTCAAATGATTTGAAACATTTGTTCACACAAAAACCTGCACACAAATGTTTATGGCAATATAATTTGTAATAGACAAAAACTGGAAACAAGATGCCATTCAGTGGTTGAGCAGATAAACTGTGGTATACCTATACAATGGAATACAGTGAATACAGTGATGAAAAAAAGAATGTGCCATTAAGCGATGCAAATACATGGATGAATTTTAAGTGCATATTGCTATGTGAAAGAATCCAGTCTGTAAAGTCTATATGATGTATAATTCCATTTACATGACTTTCTATAAATGCCAAAACTGTAGAGAAAGTAAACAGATCAGTATATGCATTTGGCAATGAAGAAGGTTTAGCTAGGTGAAACACAGAGAATATTTTAGGATGGTAAAATTATTCCGTGTGATACTCAGATGATGTATACATGACACTAAGCATTTGTCAAAACTCACAGAATTTTACAGCAAAAAGATTGAAATCCAATATACCCAGATTAAGGACAACAATGTAAGAGTTTGAGAAATCCAAAGATAAAGACCGTTGCAAATGTATGTGACTGTATTTTAAATGTATGAAGCAGTTTTACCATAGGGTGAGGAGAAAAGGTGTTGATAAAAATATCTTAGAAATGGAGTAAAATTTGTAATATTAAAGACAAAAGAACTGTGCATAAGTACTGCTGTAGTTATTAAAGGTGTTTTCTACAAAAGCGTGTGTTAAAATTATAAAACCAATATACATTTGTACAAGAAGTGAAAAATGTATAATGGATAGCAGATGGCAGGAGCCTGTATTCTTGCTGTGGGAGCAGAAGATTACAGTAAGCAAGGGGAGAAGACTAGAATGATCTATATGGTAATTAATTAGGGTTGGTGACAATATAAACATGTTTAGCTTATAGAAACATACTAATACACATAGAAATATATATTTATAGATAATGTGCATAAACACCCATTATTATATGTTATGTTATATATATTCTCACTCTATCAGCTAAGAGCCTAGAAGGAAAGACACCCCAGTAGCAATAAGCATGGCTAGTGTCCGGATCTTGGTTCCTAATATCATTCTGAAACAAAACAAGATCCAGAATACTTTGGAGAAATAGATGATTCTAGGGCTGAGGCCAGGAATAAACAAGATGAGCCTGGAGCATCTTGCAATACCAGAAAGTAAGAAAGTGTTCAAAGAAACCATGATTGTGGAAATTTGCCAAAGGGATACAGAAGTCAATTTAAAGAGCTTCCAATGACCAAAGCTATATAAATTCAAGCAATGAATAGTACAAATCACTATCGGATTATGACACAGTATAAAATAAATATTTATGAGTCCGTATTGATATCAATAAATGATTGAGTAAATAAGTAAATGAGGAAAAGTAGACAAATCTTCCATATAGCACTCAATATAATTTATGTAGATACTCTGTTCTTCAAAAGATGGAGCCTAACTCCCAACCCCATAAGTGTAGGCTGCACATAGTGACTTCCTTCTTTTTTTTTGTTTTGTTTTGTTTCGTTTTTTTGAGACGGAATCTCTCTCTGTCGCCCAGGCTGGAGTGCAGTGGCGTGATCTCGGCTCACTGCAAGCTCCGCCTCCCGGGTTCAGGCCATTCTCCTGCCTCAGCCTCCAGAGTAGCTGGGACTACAGGCGCCCGCCACCACGCTCGGCTAATTTTCTGTATTTTCAGTAGAGACGGGGTTTCACCGTGTTAGCCAGGACGGTCTTGATCTCCTTACCTTGTGATCTGCCGGCCTCGGCCTCCCAAAGTCCTGAGATTACAGGCATGAGCCACGGCTCCTGGCCTATAGTGACTTCCTTCTAAAGGCTATGGAAATGAGGAGAAAGAGTAACTTTATCATGAATAAATCTGACAAACACTACCTCAACCAGGTGATCAAGTTTAATATTAATCATAATGTCATGTCAATAGTATGAGCCTTTATTAGAATGTGGTGAAAACAGCACTCTGGTTTTCCTCTCCAAAACCCCAAACCCTATTTTAATCGTTTTAAAAAAATCAGACAGGCTGGGCGCAGTGACTCACGTCTGTAATCCCAGCACTTTGGGAGGCCAAGGTGGGCCGATGGCGAGGTCAAGAGATCAAGACCAACATGGTGAAACCCCGTCTCTACTAAAAATACAAAAAATTAGCTGGGCGTGGTGGCGGGCGCCTGTAGTCCCAGCTACTCGGGAGACTGAGGCAGGAGAATTGCTTGAACCCAGGAGGCGGAGGTTGCAGTGAGCCGAGATCGTGCCACTGCACTCAAGCCTGGCGGACAGAGCAAGACTCGGTCTCAAAAAAAAAAAAAAAAAAAAAAAAAATCAGACAAATTCCACGAGAGGGGCATCCTGTAAAATACCTGACCATTACTCTTCAAAACTATTAATGTCATCAAAACTGAGGGACATCTGAGAAACTTTTACAGCCAAACAGAACCTAAGGAATCATGATGACTAAATGGGATGTAGTATCCTCAATACAATCCTGCAACAGAACAAGGATATTAAGTAAAAACTAAATAAATGTAAATGAAGATTTACCAATGAATCAATATTAGTTTGTTAATTGTGGCAAATGTACTATGCAACATGACAACTCCCTTCACAACTTTTATAAAAATATAAAACTATTCTTTAAAAAGTTTATGTAAAAGCTACTGGAAGTTTTGAGTCATTTTATAAAAACAAATTAACCAATTAATGCAAAAAAGATAAAAGTGAGAATGTAAGGAAAGAAAACGACATAAATGGATATATGTGGATCATATAATATGCACAAGGTGCTTTGCTAAGCATCTTGCACATATTATGGAATTTGCCAACTTTGTGTCTTATGACTTTACAAAAAGAACATTGTTATTTCCAAATTTTAAATTAATAAATTCAGTAAGAGAGCTTGCATGACATGACCTAATATAAAAAATTGCAATAAATAATATTAAAAGTTTATAGCAGCATGATTTAGAGTCCTTTGGGTATATACCCAGTAATGGGATGGCTGGGTCAAATGGTATTTCCAGTTCTAGATCCCTGAGGAATCGCCACACTGACTTCCACAATGGTTGAACTAGTTTACAGTCCCACCAACAGTGTAAAAGCGTTCCTATTTCTCCACATCCTCTCCAGCACCTGTTGTTTCCTGACTTTTTAATGATTGCCATTCTAACTGGTGTGAGATGGTATCTCATTGTGGTTTTGATTTGCATTTCTCTGATGGCCAGTGATGATGAGCATTTTTTCATGTGTTTTTTGGCTGCATAAATGTCTTCTTTTGAGAAGTGTCTGTTCATGTCCTTCGCCCACTTTTTGATGGGGTTGTTTGTTTTTTTCTTGTAAATTTGTTTGATTTCATTGTAGATTCTGGATATTAGCCCTTTGTCAGATGAGTAGGTTGCGAAAATTTTCTCCCATTTTGTAGGTTGCCTGTTCACTCTGATGGTAGTTTCTTTTGCTGTGCAGAAGCTCTTTAGTTTAATTAGATCCCATTTGTCAATTTTGTCTTTTGTTGCCATTGCTTTTGGTGTTTTAGACATGAAGTCCTTGCCCATGCCTATGTCCTGAATGGTAAGGCCTAGGTTTTCTTCTAGGGTTTTTATGGTTTTAGGTCTAACGTTTAAGTCTTTAATCCATCTTGAATTGATTTTTGTATAAGGTGTAAGGAAGGGATCCAGTTTCAGCTTTCTACATATGGCTAGCCAATTTTCCCAGCACCATTTATTAAATAGGGAATCCTTTCCCCATTGCTTGTTTTTCTCAGGTTCGTCAAAGATCAGATAGTTGTAGATATGTGGCGTTATTTCTGAGGGCTCTGTTCTGTTCCATCGATCTATGTCTCTGTTTTGGTACCAATACCATGCTGTTTTGCTTACTGTAGCCTTGTAGTATAGTTTGAAGTCAGGTAGTGTGATGCCTCCAGCTTTGTTCTTTTGGCTTAGGATTGACTTGGCAATGCGGGCTCTTTTTTGGTTCCATATGAACTTTAAAGTAGTTTTTTCCAATTCTGTGAAGAAAGGCATTGGTAGCTTGATGGGGATGGCATTGAATCTGTAAATTACCTTGGGCAGTATGGCCATTTTCACGATATTGATTCTTCCTACCCATGAGCATGGAATCATGCTGCTATAAAGACACATGCACACGTATGTTTATTGCGGCATTATTCACAATAGCAAAGACTTGGAACCAACCCAAATGTCCAACAATGATAGACTGGATTAAGAAAATGTTGCACATACACACCATGGAATACTATGCAGCCATAAAAAATGATGAGTTCATGTCCTTTGTAGGGACATGGATGAAATTGGAAATCATCATTCTCAGTAAACTATCGCAAGAACAAAAAACCAAACACCGCATATTCTCACTCATAGGTGGGGATTGAACAATGAGATCACATGGACACAGGAAGGGGAATATCACACTCTGGGGACTGTGGTGGGGTGGGGGGAAGGGGGAGGGATAGCATCGGGAGATATACCTAATGCTAGATGACGATTTAGTGGGTGCAGCGCACCAGCATGGCACATGTATACATATGTAACTAACCTGCACAATGTGCACATGTACCCTAAAACTTAAAGTATAATAAAAAAAAAAGGAAAAAAAAAGTTTAAGCCCAGACTTGTTTGTTAAATTTTTTCATTTTATATATATATAAACATGAAACTTGCCATTTCAACCAGTTTTTAGAGAATAATTTAGATACATTAATTACATTCTCAATGCTGTATATCCATCCTCCACTACTTCCAAAGCATTTTTATCACTCCAAACACAAACTCTGTATTCACTCTCCTATCCCTCCAGACCTTGGTAATTTCTAATCTTTTTGTCTCTGTCAGTTTGCCTATTCTAGATATTTATTATATAAGTGAAACCATACTATGTATATTCTTTTTTTGTGTGGCTTATCTTACTTAGTGTAATGTTTTTAAGATTTATCCATGTTTTAGCATGTATACAAATTTCATTTCTTATTATGGTTGAATAGTATTTTACTGAATATATATTCCATTTTTAAAATTTTTTACCCATAATGTAAACTTGGTTTGCAATTTTATGTAAATTTAACTATCAGCTTTTTGATTTATGCAAAAAACAGGCTTTTCGGATTTAGAAATTTAGGGATTATGTTAAATATATATATACAGATTGATACTTTAGTTTTGACATCTTAATGCTATTAAGTATTCCTGCTTATTAATTAAGCAGGAATTAAGCTTATGAATTAATTGAATTCCTTCAATTAATATTAGGTCTTCTGAGATTTCTTTTAGCAATGTTTCATTGTTTGCTGTGCAACTATTTAACTTTGTGGTTAAATGTATTCCTAGATATTTTATTCTATTATATTATATGCTATTGTAAATGAAATTGCTTTTTAATTTTTTTTTTTCAGATTGTTCATTATGGGAGTTTGGAAATATAACTTATTTGTATGTGTTGGTTATGTAATATTCAACTTTGCTGAATTCATTCAATTGCTCTAGAAGCTTCTTTTGTGGATTCCTCAGGATTTTCTATAAATAGGATTTGCCACTGTGAATAGAGAACTTCATTTCAATTTAGATTTTTGTATTTTATTCTCTGCTCTAGGTAGAACATCCATTATAATGTTGAAGAGCAATGACAGAAGCAGATATTCTTGTCTTGTTTCTGATTTAGGGGTAGAGACTGCATTCTATGACCAATGAATATGATGTTAGTAATGCATTTTTTAAAAAGTACATTAGTGTATTTTATCATATTTTGGAAGTTCCAATATATTGGTGGCTTTCTGAGTGTTGTCTATATCAATTGAGATGACAATTTTTTTTCATTATTTCCATTAATACTGCATCACACTGATGACGTTCTGTGTTGAACCGTCGTTGTTCTCTGGGATAATAAATTCCACCTGGTCATGATGTATAATTGTGTTAAAATATTGTTGGATTAAGTTTGATATCACTTTGGAGAGAGACATTTGTACTTTTATATTTATAGGGGATATTGATCTATAATATTCTTTATCATGATATCTTTGGTTTCTGACTCATCAAAGGATTAAGGAACTGTGGCCTACTCTGCTGTTGTTTAGAAAAGTTTGAGAAGTATTGCCATTTATTCTGCTTTGTTTTTTAAAATATAGTGTAGTAATAAAAAATTGAGGTAGAGTAAGATCAACAGATCAGAAGATATTTTCCATTAAAAAGATAATATGTTACAGTTCTGAAGAGGGATGCACAGACAGGTACCAAGGGTCTATCAGGAGGCAGAGCAAGGTCAGGAGCCATGGACGAGAAACTTTTTTGTGTTTTATATGAGAACGAATGGGCAAAGCAAAGTAAGCAGGTTTAGGACTTGCTAATTTGAATAATTTCAGTGGGATCTGGGACATAGGGACTGTTCCTAGTTGTCTGATACCTGGCCATGGGGTAATCAGGGCTGGTGGATAGTGGTCTGACATGTTTGGGCCTGAAAAATGAAGTGGTAGGTGTGGGTTCTGTATTGGTTGGTTGGTATTTGAAAAGCATGCTTGCAGGTGAGTTGCTTACTATCTCAAGGAACCAGCTAACCTTGGGAGGGGCAATTCCTCCAGGATCAGTAAGGCCCCAGATGTTAAAGCATCACAGTACAGAAAACAAAATGTTTGGTAGAATTCACTCATGAAACCATCTGGTCCTGGGCTTTTCTTTTTTGGGAGGCTTTTTGGAAAACTTTTGATTACTGATTCAATCTCTTCACTGAGTCAAAAATAACTTTTTCTTGAGTCATTTGAGGCAATTTTTTGTGTTTCTAGAAATTTATCCATTTCATTTGGTTTTACAAATTTGTTGGTATACAGTTGTCCTTAAGTATTCTTGTGTAATTCTTTTTATATCTCTAAAGCCAGTACTAATGTTTACTACTTTCATTTCTGATTAAATTACTTTCTCTCCTCTCTCTTTTTTTTTTTTTTTTGGTCAATATAGCTAAAGGTTTATCAATTTCATTAATCTTTCTCAAAGAACCAACTTTGGCTTTTGTTGATTTTTCTCTCTTGTTTTTCTATTCTGTATTTTATTTATTTCCTCTCTAATCATTATTATTTCTTCCTTTATGCTAGGTTTCATTTTAGTATGTTCTTCTTTTTCTAGTTTCTTAGAAGGTAAAGTGGGTTTATTGATTTTAAATCATTCCTTTTTCAATGTAGCTGTTTGCTGCTATAAATTTCCTTGAGTACCACCTTCTTCATATCCCATATATTTTGATGTGTTCTATTTTTATTTCAATCACGCCTGAGTATTTTCTAAATTTCTCTCTGATTTCTCCCTTCATGCATTTGTTGTTTAAGGCTATGCTATTTATTTTACACATATTTGTCAATTATTTTTGTCTTTTACTGATTTCTATCTTAATTCCATTCTAGTCATCAAATATATCTTGGATGATTTTAATATTTTTAAATTGATTGAGACATGTTTTGAATCTTAATATATGGTTTATTTAGGAGAATAATCAATGTGGACTTCTGAAAGATATGTTGTCTGTTGTTGCATGAAGTGCTTTTCTTATGTCTGCTAGGTCTACTTTGTTTTTAGTATTTTTCAGTCCTCATTTTAAAATTTATATTGTGTCTAGATGTCTAACCATTACTTAAGGTAGTGTAGTAACGTCTCCAGTTATTACGGCATCACTGTCTAGTAATAACCTTAATCCTGTCAGTTTACTTCCCAGATTATGCGCTCATTGTTTATAAACAATGTTTATAATTGTTATATCCTCTGGATGAATTGAACTTTATATCAATATATAAGGCCTTTCTTTGTCTCCTGCAACAGTTTCGACTTAAAGTCCAGTTTATTATTAGTTTAGCCACCTCAACTTTCTTTTGTTTAATATTTGTGTAGCATATCATTCTTCATCTTTTCTTTTGTATCTAAATGTGTCTTTGGATCTAAACTGAGTCTTCTGTAGACAACACACATATAGTTGGGCATCTATCACTCTCTGTCCCCTCTAGAAATTGGGTTCTTCTATGTAACAGGCATGGAGAAACAACAGTGTGCTGCTTGTTTGTTTTTTTGTTTGTTTCTTTGTTTTGCTTTTAATGTTGAATCTTATAGTAGCCCGTTTATTTAGTGACTTTCCTGAAATATTTTTGCAGAAAGTGTATGCCTTGTCATGTGTGATAGCTGAAGTCTCTGTCCCTTAGCTTGTGTTCAGCTAATGTTTTGACAGAAATTTCCTTGAACATCAGGAATAAAAAACAAACATAAAACCTCTCCCAATTTTTGAACATTGACTCTGTGTTGGATCACTCCTAACACTACTCAGCTTTTATTGAGTCTAGGAGAAAGCTTATCATCTTCTCAGATTTTTCTGAGGATGCATCTTTCTTTGGGTATGAATGGTATGAATGTGGTTTTCTAAATTCCCAAATACAGGGGTGTTTTTGAAAGTCTAAAATCTCCAATGAATCTCTCTCAATTTTTATTCAGTGGCCTTATGTCGCTTGCTGTATGTATTCACAATGTATTTTGCACCCGGAATCTCTGGGTAATTATTTTACCTTGCAGCACTTTTTAGCTTCATTATAACTCACTTCACTTCATCGTAATTTGTTAGCTATTTTCTTTCTCTCTTGTTTCTTCTTTCTTTCTTTCTTTCTTTCTTTCTTTCTTTCTTTTTTCTTTTCTTCTTGCTCCTCCTCCTCCTTCTTCTTCTTCTTTTTTTTTTTTTTTTTTAGAGTCTCACTCTTTCACCCAGGCTGGAGGGCAGTGGCATGAATGTAGCTCTGTGCAGTCTCAGCCTCCGTGGGCTCAAGTGATCCTCCCATCTAAGCCTCCTGAGTAGCTGAGACAACAGATATGTGCCATGATGCCCATATAACTTATTTTTTTTTCCACAAAGACAGAGTCTCACTATGTCATCCAGGCTGGTCTCAAACTCATAGCCTCAAGCTATTCTCCTGCCTTCGCCTCCGAAAATGCTGGGATTACAGGTGTGAGCCACTGCACCTAGCCTCATTGGCTATTTTTTCATATACCCTCATCTTTCCAATATTATTTCTTTGTACTCTTCAGATTTCTTTGTACTGTGCTATAGCCATACATAATTTAATTCCATTCCAATAACTCACCATACGTAAAACCTCTTGCCATAGTACATGTGTTTCTTCTGTAAAGGAATGACTTACTCTTACACGAGCTATCTCCTACTGAATTCCATCTCCCAGCATGGACATTTCTAATACTCAGCTGCAGAACTCAAAGTCCTCACATGCATCTAAAACTTGTTTACTAGCTTCACTCTCCTTTTACTGCTGCTGCATATCCATGTTCATTGTTCCTGCATACTCAGACCTCTGAGACTGCTGCTATGGGAGTTTGGCTCTTCCTACTACTTCTGGACTCAGAGAAAGTGTCACAACCCAGGGTATTGGCTTTAACTTTCTAGCTCTTTCTAAAGGGTCCAGGTGATACAAACTAGAAGTTCAAGCTGTTAAACTCCTCATGGTGGTAAAACCTGGCCATAGGAGATAAGACATAGAATGGATCTGGCAGATAAATTTCTTCTCTGACATCCCTCAGAGAAATTGTTACACATATGCTGAGGTTCAGTGCACTATCTCTGTGAAAGTGTCATAGACTGATGAAAAAACAGTGTTTTCCTGAGAAGTGTGCCTACCTCAGTAGCACATCATCTTGTATTCATTTCCCTCCTTCCCTACCTAATTCACTTTACCTATTTTTTTTTCTGCTGTTGTTTAATCTGGGATTATCTCTTTTCCATTTAATTCCTAGAATATACATTTTGGCTCAGTCTCTATTTTCATGGAAACTGAGGCACAGAGAGGTTAAGTAATTGGCAATGCTGTAATTTAGACCTAAGCTGTATGGTTCTACCATATGTGTGCCTAACCATTGGGATAGGATGCTTCAGAGTTCCTTTAATAAGTTCCCCATCACCTTGTATATTTTGTCATGTCCCTATACATAAACTATATAGTAGTTACTCAATATTTTCCAGGAGCTCCACGAAAGCAGGCCACAAGTATGCCTTGTTAAGTCTTGCATTACCAGTCCTAGCACAATACCTGCCATACATAAGTACTAAGCAAATATTAAGATAATTCATTAAATAGTATGGAAATTACAGAAATGTTATCATATTGTTTTGCTGTCAGGCCCATATGCTATGCCTGTACCAGATTGAATGATGATGAACCACCTGCCCAGGCCTAACTTCATGCCTTTTAGAATATGTAATATTTAGTTTTTATTTAAAGGACTTGCTTACAGGGATATTATTCTTGTAAGTGAAAAATATATAAGGAGAATTATGGACAAAAGAACATCTATCACTCAAGGTTAGATGCTGAAGAGAATTGTGACTGCATATATTTAATTACCATTGGGAAAAATCAAAGAAGAACTTTATTTTAATGAACTTCATAATGTATACCATGGCATACTTTCTGTACTTTGTGCTTATTTCATTTGTGACTGAAATGTCTGTGCCCACTCTCTCTGCCTAGTAAATGCCCAATCATTCTTTAAAGCCCTGATTAAAAGATGCTTTCTCCAGAAGGCTTTATACGTCCATTTGCCCCATGAAGAATCCGTTACTTCCACTTCTTTTCTTCCAGGACATTTTGTTCATTTCTCTATTTTATCAATTACAATATAGTTATAATTATATTTGTTGAGGTCTAATATTATTAGTCTCATAGAGGCTGACGTTATTGTAGAATTAACAGTGAATGTTGAAAAAGAATAGCATTCACAATGCTTAATTCTTCTTTTACTTGAGCTAGTGTATTTTTAAGTCAACAATCTGTGAGTAGTCATACACGTGTCCAATCACTTTTCTTTTATTTCTGACTTCCCCAATTAACTCAGGTAGCTTGGCTCATATATAGATTCTAAATGCCAGATTATAGCATAAGAAGTTTGAAAAATGTAGGTTTAGAAATTTGCATATTAAAGGATTAGCTAAACACTTTAACAAATTAGAGTTTTAAAAACTGAAGAAAAATGGCAAAGCTTGCTACCTGATAAAATGTACTTGTGTGTGTTGTGTCTGAAAAAAAAAATCTCTTCCTTTGCTTCAATACATATTTATTAACCCTGGGTCAAGTGGTTAAGGTTCCATCCAGTATTATGGCATAGGGAGGTAGGAACCCAGGAAGAACCAGGTAGTCTACCTGGGTTAAGGAAAGATAGCTGAAAATCTGGGAAAACTGAGGCAGCTAACATTTGCAAGATAGATGACCAGAAGAGAAGTTGCACAGAGTCCTAAAAATCTGCAGAGGGTCCTCCTCAGGTATTCAGCACAGTCCTGATAAAAGCACTTATGTAAAGAAACTACCCGTGTTTGAGAAAAGAAGCACCCAAAAGTGTTAGTGTAAACAGTACTTGGTCCTCATACAAGGCTGGGAATTGTGCCTGTTCCAACAGAAAAAAATGGAAAGCCTCATACATGATGGGAAGTTGGGCAAAGTGTTCAGTGCCAGTCAGATAATTAACACATCCTAAAATCAAAACCTGGAAGGGTCAAACCATTACCTCATAACTGAACTGCATACTAGAGCAAATCTCTAGAATATTATCAAGAAACCAATATTCAGCTGTCTAAAATTTATGATATCTGGCATACATGCAAAATTATCAGGCATTGAAGAAGCTAGAAAATACGACCTCTGCTGAAGTGGAAAAAAAGTCAATCAAAACTCTGACTGACTGATGTTAGAATTAGCATAAAAAAACACAAAATATTTACTGCATTAGTTCTGCATTTTGTGTGTTCAAAACATTAAGTAAAGATATAAAAAATATTAAAAAGACCAAAACACACTTACAGAGACAAAAACTTTAATGTCCAAGTTGAAAAATACGCTGTATGAGAATAAAGATTAAAAATTGCAGAAGGAATGATTAATAAGTTTGAAAACATGATAATAGAAACTAAACAAAATGAAACACAGCAGGAAAAGAAGAATTTTTAAAAATAATTAAGGCTTCATAACTGTAGGATAACTTTAAGCAGCTTAATATACATGAATGGAACAGCAAAAGGTGTTGAAAGAAAAAAAAAGGATTTGAACATATAATGAGTACTTTTCTTTCTAAAGTTAACCAAAACTATTAACCTGCATATCCAAAAATCTCAATGAACCCCAAGCATATAACACATGAAGGAAAATACACCAAAGTACACTGCAATCATATTGCTCAAAACTAACAAAAAAGAGAAAATATTAAAAACTAAAGAAAAAAGGCACATTACATTCATAGGAAAAAGTGCAAATTTCTCATCACAGACAATGAAAGTAAGACAACAATGAATGAAGATTTTTAAAGTGCTAAAAGAAATGTAAACTGTCTGCCTAGAATTTTATATGTAGTCAAACCGCCAGCAGTGACATAGAATACTTAAGCAATACTATCGAGTGACTTGACCTAACTTAATTTTATAGAACACTCTACCCAAGAATAGCAAAATACACATTCATCTCAAGTGCACATAAAATATTTATTAAGATACAGGACATTTTAAAACAAAAAGCCCAACTCTCAATAATTTTATAAAAATTTAAGTCATACAAAGTATGTTCTCTAACCACAATGAAATTAAATTAGAAATACATAAAAAAGATTTCTGAAAAATCCCCAAGTATAGGAAACTAAATAACAGATTGTAAAATATATGTAAGACAAAAAAAAACTAAATGAAAATTCAGATGTATTTTGAATTGATTAAAACTGAATGTACAAAATATCAAAAATTGCTGGTCACTACGGAAGTAATTCATAGGTGAATTATACATCACTAAATGTTTATATTAGGAAAAAAAAACAGTCTTGAGTCATTGTCCTCAGCTTCTACCTTGAAAACTAGCATAAGAAGCCTAATTATTCCAAAAGAAAGCAGATGAAAACAAACAATAAAGATTACAGTGGAAATTATTGAAACAAAATATCAAAAACATATAGAGAAAATAAATGAAACAAAAAGCTAGGCCTTTGAGAAGATTAATAAAATTGATGAGCCTTGAAGCCAGCTAATCACAAAATAGGGAGATGACACAAATGATCAATAACAGGAATGAAAAGGTGACATTGCTACAGATTCTAAAGAAAGGATATTAAAGAGATTATAGAGCAGTTTATTAACAACTCTATGCAAACAAATATAAAAAATAAAATAGATTCCTTTAAAGACAAAACTACCAAACTCACTCAAGAAGAAATAGACAAACTGAGTAGTCCTGTATTTGTTAAAGACACAAAATATATATTTAAAATTGTTTCCACAAAGTAAACTAGTGAAGTGTGCCAACAATTAAGAAAGAAATAATATAGATTGTATAAAAACTGTTCCAAAAAGTTAGAGAGGAGAGAATGTTTCCATTTTCATTCTCTGAGAATAGAATCATCCTGTTGTCAAAACCAGATAAAGAAAAATGGAGGCTAATATTCCTCCTGAACGTAGATGCAAAAATTATACAAAAAAAAAGAAACAATAGCATAGAATTAGCAAATCAAATCCAATCATATTATTAGGGATAAGATATAATGACCATGTGTGATTTATTTCAAGAATGTAAGATTTATTTAAAATTTCAAAATCAATGTATCGCAATATTAACACAAAAAAGATAAATAATATGATTACCCCAATAGATGCAGAAATAACATTTGACAAAACCCAACTTACTTTCCTGATAAACACATTCAGCAAATAGGAATAGGAGGGAACTTTGTCAGAAATTAATCATCGGAACACCCATGTGACTAATTCTTTAAACATTTGGGGAGAATACAATATACAAGGAAATTTCAGTGGCCAAACATAATTTCATATTACAACAAACTCTTTATCTGTTTCTTACATATGAAGCTGGGTATGCTGAATCAACCTCTCCCCTTCAACACACACTTTTGTCTCTCCTCTCTTTATTCTCCCTCCCTCTTTTCATTTACCCAACTAACTTCTGCTCACCTCCCTGCCCTTCTCTTGTCTATTTCCCTCATATATTTCAGCTTCTCCGGGGCCTTATTTTATTTTATTTTATTCTATTTTGAGATGGAGTTTCTCTCTTGTTGCCCAGGCTGGAGTGCAATGGTGAAATTTTGGCTCAATGCAGCCTCCACCTCCCGGGTTCAAGTGATTCTCCTGCCTCAGCCTCCCGAATAGCTGGGATTACAGGCACCTGCCATCACATCCGGCTGATTTTTATAATTTTAGTAGAGATGGGGTTTCGCCGTTTTGGCCAGGCTGGTCTCCAACACCTGACCTCAGGTGATCCTCCCGCCTTGGCCTCCCAAAGTGCTGGGATTACAGGACTGTTCATCTTATTATTAAATGTCCCAAATCTTCACTTTACTCCCAAGACTTACCTCTTTCCCTCTTGGGGGACAGTGGAATTTCAACTCCACATCTGGCCACCTCATGCTTTTGGGTTTTTGGAGACCAGGTGGCTCTATTTTTTACTCATCCACTATGCCATGTGCAGATTTCTTCTAGAGAATGTTTGAATACAAATCTTGTTGCTGTACTGGGGATGATCAAGCTTCTCTGTTTCTGCCTGTGCCACCTTGTCCCTCTTCTCCCTAGCTCTGTAGGGGTGGGAATAAGTGAGTGTGCACAGTTAATGTGTGTGTTTGTCCATTTGTGTATTCAAACAGGAGTTGGTAGCAACCAATCAGATTAGATGGCCATGGCCTAGAATGAATGGCTGACCAATCAGAACAGCTGTTACTCTTATCCCAGAACATACCAGCTAAGTATTGGCTCTATAAATATCACTTATATGCGTGGTCATTCATTGTCTAACTATATGTTCATTCATAATTCCATAATTGTGTCGTGTTTATATGAACTTAATTACCTATATAGGCTTTAATAACTTTTGTTGGAATAAAAAGTGCATAAAACCAAATTTACCATCTTAATAATGTATGCATGTATAGGTTCAATAGCGTTAGGTACATCCACATTGTTGTTTAACAAATCTTCAGAATTTTTCATCCTGTAAAACTGAAACCTTCTACATTTAGATAACTCCCCAATTCCCCCTCCCCACAGACTTTTGTTTCTATGAGTTTAGCTACTATAGAAAACTCATATAAATGAAATCAGATAATATTTGTCTTTTTGTGTTTGGCTTACTGCATTTAATGTAATGTCCTCAAGGTTCATCCATGTTGAAGCATGTGTCAGAATTTCCCTTCTTTGTAAGGCTGAATAATATCCCATTGTATGTAACATATTTTGTTCACTTATGTAGCTGTAGATGGATTCACAGATTGTTTCCACCTTTTGGCTACTGTGAATAGTGCTTCAGTGAATATGGATGTGTAAATTGCTCTTCCGTATTCTTCTTCAATGCTTTTGGATATATATCCAGAAGTGGAATTGCTGGATAATATGATAATTCTCTTTTTAATGTTTTGAGGCACTGCTATATTGTTTTCCATAATAGCTATGCCATTTTGCCTTCTTACCAAAAGTACACAAGCATTCCAATTTCTCCACATTCTAGCCAACAATTGTTATTTTCTGGGTTTCTGGTTTTGCTTTTTAAATTTGACAGTAGCCTGCCTAGCCCTGTAGTAGCATATAGTCTTTTGACTTCATATTCTTAGCACGGTCTTGAACTCATAGTAAGCACTTAATTAAATCAACAACAACAAAAATCACTATTAGCAAATTACACTGATGGAGTAAATATTCCTTTGCTGATAACTAATTTCGACAAAAAGATTGAAATATATAATATACTTTTATGAATACATTGAAAGTTCCATGCAGGACCACTAGTTCACATTATTTACACATGATCAAGAACTACACAGCAACTTCCTGATGCATTATTAATTCCTTGTGGATGCCTTCCTGCTTTTCTATGCTTATCCATAAATGCATGAGTGCTTAATTTAATCTGATGTCACTCCCCAAAGCTGGTGCAGAGCTGTACCATTCCTGCTGTCATGGTTAAGAAGGTCAAGTGGCATCGACAAAGGAGGCCTGAACATGAGGACATGCTTCTGGTTCAGATGTAATTATAATGATATAGTCAAATTAATATTAAATTTATGAAAGCTGTATTTTACAAATAATCTATTTATTATTTAAAGGCATCCCTGGGTTCTCTCAAGCCAGGACTGCTGCTCTGACAGCGGAGGAATGCCAGGAACAGAGAGCAGACAAATTGTTCAGCGTGGTTTAATTTTTTATGCATGTTTTATACATAAGTAAATTGGAACATGGAGATTAGATCACACTCCAGCTGTTTCTTTTTAAACTGTCTTGTCCCTTCTAAGCTACTCCAAGACAATAATCAGCGCTTTCTTCTCCCTGGGGTTATATATGAACACAGTGCCAAAGGGATATTAACCTGAGGCAAGTGGATGCATGTTTCCTCTTCAGGCAATGGTCACCATGGATGCTTCCTTTGGCTACTGCCATCAAATTGCTTTTCAGCTTTTTCTTGAGTTTTTTTTTTTTAATTTATTTTTTTTTGAGACGGAGTCTCGCTCTGTTGCCCAGGCTGGAGTGCAATGGAGAGATCTCAGCTCACTGCAAGCACTGCCTCCTGGGTTCAAGCAATTCTCTGCCTCAGCCTCCAGAGTAGTTGGGATTACAGGCTCCTGTCACCATGCCCAGCTAATTTTTGTATTTTTAGTAGAGACGGAATTTCACCATCTTGGCCAGGCTGGTCTTGAACTTCTGACCTCGTGGTCCACCAGCCTCTAACCTCTGCTGGGGTTAGAGGTGTTTTTTATAAAAGTGAGAACCAGCAAGGTTAAACCAATTGCCAAAGGTTATCCAGCATGTTGCTGTGTGAGGCGAAACTAACAAAGCAGTTTATTATCCTCTGCTCTTAATTAGGTCATACTAAATGTAATCAGAAATTATTTTCTCCAAGATAAACTTTTATTTCAATTTGCTAGTACAGAGCTTTTATCTTCCATGCACTTTCTCTGGATGAAACAAATGCTGAAAGAGATGAACATAGAAACAGATCCATCTCACTACAATAGCTGTTTAAAGTTGTCTATGGAGAATAATGTCTATAGGCAAACAAAATAAGTCACATTACAGGTATTCATTGATTGTTTTTTATATATAAGTTGCTGTTTAGGCAATCTCAAAGATTAAAAACAATATCATGCAAATGCATGGTGTGTATGCTGAAGGAGCATATTCACTGGCTATAGAAAGAAGATGCAAAACAATCCTAACTCCCCCAAAAAACTCAAACATCTTGTGTGACAAGTGCATCCCCAAAGCTACTGTCAATATAAGGACCACCCTAAACAGTGCCTTGCTTTATCTAGCACCTGAGAGCCTCCCCTTCCTGAATGCAACCTCTGAACCTGCTTCCTTCTCAAATATCCCTTTCTTGTAAAGAATGCTAACCCAGGGAAGATATGTGCATGACTGACTGTGGAGGGGCTTAAATGTGATGCAAACATTTGGACATCGTCATGTTTATGAAATCAACCAGTGATGCATAAACTGAAAAAGAGTAGTGAATTGAGTTCCTTGGATAGATGAGGTTCAAGATGTTTTGACATGTTATCAAAATCCAATAAAGTGACTATGTTATATCAATAATGCAGAACACTGCATAATTTACAAGTACTCATTAGGAGGCTGATGATCACATTCCTTGAGAAGTTGAGGCAGCCGCTCAAATACGTTTCTTCAATTTCTTTGGCAGCTATAATGGGAAGCTGGCATCTGTATGACTTTTTTTTCTTATTGAAATCTTAATAGACTTGTGTGTCTCCTACTTATGACTTACAAGCCGCTTGGAGCACCATCAAAAAAATACTCTATAAATACAAAGGCCATATTTTTCTTTAGTTTTAAATGTTGTATTTCCCTCTATCATTGTAAGTTGTGTTTTTAATCTTCATAATTTATTAAGTGATTTTCTCTTTTAATATCATTTAATATTTCAAACATCTTTCCACAAATAATTGGGCCATTATATTACTGGATATGCAATGGTTCGCTAAATTGTAGCTATTTCTCAAATAGCTTGGCTCAATAGGATGAGGAATCCTCTAAAAAACACCAATTATTGTATACCCTTAAATTGGATTTGATAAGGAGGAAACTACCTTTGAATTATGTTCACTTGGATTTAGAAATCTTCAAACAAATGTATTTATTCATCTATGAACATTTAAGTGGAATAATTTAAGAGACGTAAAGTGCTCCATTATCTTCAGGATGTTGGTTTCTTCATCTGGAGAATCAAATATTTGATCCAATTAGAAGAAAAGAAACAGCTGCAAATGATATCAATATTAAACAAAACAAACAAGCAATAACTGCTATAGAAAGTTTAAAGAGATTTGTGTGGACAAGAATAAAAAATTATAAATCACTAAATAATATACATAGATTATTTCATATACAACCTCCGAATTTTGTCAATCTTAAATAATGAGATAGTTAATTTTACCAAAGTTAATTACTAGGAAATGTTCTTCCTGTTTTTTTTGTTGTTGTTGTTGTTTTTGTTTTTTTTGAGACAGAGTTCTGTCGCCCAGGCTGGAGTGCAGTGGCATGATCTTGGCTCACTGCACCCTCTGCATCCTGGGTTCAAGTGATTCTCCTGCCTCAGTCTCCTGAGTAGCTGGGACTACAGGCACCCACCACCACGCCCGGCTAACTTTTGTATTTTTAGTAGAGGCGTGGTTTCACCATTTTGGCCAGGATGGTCTCGATCTTATGCCTGCTGGGATTACAGGCATAAGCCACTATGCCCGGCCATTACTGGGAAACTTTCTATGTGCTAGGCACTATGCTATATGGTAAGAAAAAAAATTAGGGATGACAGTTTGCTCTGGCAGATATGAGTTCAACCGAGGTAATTGCCATACAAACAAATATTGCTAAACTTAGAACAAAGTTAAAATAACAAAGTCATGACTCAAACATGAGGTGTTCAAACGGAGGGATTAACTGAGATTTGTTTGAGGTGATTAGGGGACAGGAATGTATGCTAATGGATGCATTTGCTAGGATTATTTTGTGTAAGGGACAGGGTATAACAGGATTTATTTCACCTTTGAAAAACAGAGTTACATTTGTTTCCTGTTGTCATTATAACAAATTACCACACATTTAGTGCCTAAGGCAATACACATCGATTGTCTCACCATCATGGAGAACAAAGGTCTGTTGGCAGGCGTCCATTTTGTTCTGAGGGCCCTAGAGGACAATCCATTTGTTTCCTTGCCTTTTCCACCTGGATGCTTTGACTGATGGTTCCCTTCCTCCATCTTCAAAGCCACCAAATGCTTGACTTTTTCCTCCCCTCTCAGTTTTCTCTTACTACAGCTAGAAGAGTTTCTTTATTTTTACGGATTGAAGAGATTAAATTGACCCCTCCTGGATAATTCATGATGATCTCCTCATGTCAAGGTCTTAACTTTAATCACATATGACAAATCCCTTTTGCCAGGTAGGGTAACATATTCACAGGTTTCTGGGGTTAGGATGTCGACATCTTTGGGAGAACATTATTCTGCTTACCGGAGATAATTTAATGTGTGTAAAATTTGTGTTTTCTTTCTTTTCTTAATTAGCCAATTTTTTCCTGTTGACCAAGTTGGAAAAGCTTTTTGTTAGATACCAATAATAATAACTCTCTACTTTAAAGGAACATAGAGAGGAAGAGATAGATAGAAATAAATATATATGCAGATATGCCTATGTGTACAAAGGTGGCATGTGTGAATTCATATGTATATAATCTTTATGTTGTCTCCCGTCTCCAACATTTTCTTTTCTTTTTTGAGACTTAATTTCACTCTTGTTGCCCAGGCTGGACTGCAATGGTGCAATCTTGGCTCATTGCAACCTCCCCATCCTGGGTTCAAGCAATTGTCCTATCTCAGCCTCCCTAGTAGCTGGGATTACAGGTGCCCACCACCAAGCCTGCCTAATTTTTTGTACTTTTAATAGAGATGGGGTTTCACCATGTTGGCCAGGCTGGTCTCCAACTCTTGACTTCAGGTGATCCACCTGTCTTGGATGCCCAAAGTGCTGGGATTACAGGTGTGAGACACTGCGCCCACCCTAACATTTTCTAAATTGTCTAATATTGGGTTGTCTGCAGAAGAGATATTTAGTAAATACCTACTGATGAATAAAGTTTCATCTCTTTTTGCTATATATATATTTTTAAATTTTTGAAGCTTTAGAAAGTGACAACCATGGGTGCTCAAACTGTAAGGAATATGTTGAGATTGTCCCATTTTATCAATAAAATCACAGACAAAGCATAAAACAAACAATTTCTTGCACTATATTCATCACTCTCTCTAATCTTGAGCACCGATGAAAAATACAGGCACCAGTCTCCTGAGCCTAATTCATCATATAGTCTAACCCAAATAAGGAAATTCCTCCCACTGTGCCCTGTCCTGTGGTGCCCACAACTGCGTACTGATGGTGTTGCCTTATATCTCAACTCGTTTCTGCACATATGGGTAATTCACGTGAGTCATGTTTCTAACGACATTGACAACTAGACAGGTTTTGCATTATAGCCTCACAAGCAAGAGAAAGGGAGGTAGCTCTGCTTGAGTTATGGTGTTGTGCCAGGAAACAAAAACCAGCAGACCCTGTGGCTATAGTCATCAGCTCAAATAAATACTTATTGAATAGGGGTATAGTAGGCAGTAGTATTTGTTGACTAATGTATAAGGAACACACACAGACACACACATACACTGCATGCACTTCAGGTCTGTATCATATGAAATGGTTGTCACTAGCCGTATATGATAATTTGAACCTAAATTAAAATTAGTAAAATTGACTAAAAGTAATTCAGTTTCTTAGTCACTGCAGCCACATATTAGAGGTCATCATTCGTGTGTGACCAGTACCTATTGTATTGGAAAGTTCAGATACAAAATATTTCCATCATGGTGGAAGCTTTTTTGTACAGAAGTGGTCTATATAAAAACATATACATGGCCAGGCACGGTGGCTCACACCTATAACCCCAGCACTTTGGGAAGCTGAGGTAGGCAGATCACCTGAGGTCAGGAGTTTGAGACCAGACTGGCCAACATGGTGAACCCCATCTCTACAAAAATACAAAATTCAGATGAGCATGATGGCAGGTGCCTGTAATCCTAGCTACTCAGGAGGCTGAGGCAGGAGAATCCCTTGAACCCGGGTGGCAGAGGTTTCAGTGAGCCGAGATTGTACCACTACACTCCAGCCTGGGCAACAGAGCGAGACTCCGTCTCAAAAAACAAAACAAAACAACAACACCAACAGAACATATACATAATATAGTCTAAATTTGAATTTTGCTCTATAATATAGTATACTGTCAATGTACTTCTAGTCAAGTACACTTCTCAGATGCAGGAAGAGACCATGAAAATTTATCTTTTTTAGATTTCCAATACATTAATTAAGATAATGTTTGACCTGATTTATACATTTTACAATATTTGCATTTAACTACTAGAGGGTTTTTTCTGATAACATGTTTATTTCAAAATTTTCTTTATGTGTATTTGAAGAACAAATAAAGATATCATACTCATCATGGTTCTCCAGAGAAAAAGAACCAACAAAAACACATAAACATACACACACACACACACACACACACACACACACACACACAGATATTTATTATAAGGAATTGGCTTACATGATTATGGAGGCTGAGAAGTCTCACAATCTGTACAATCTGTAGTGTGCAAGCTAGAAACCCAGGAAAATTGTTCATGAAGTTCAAAAGCCTGAAAGTCAGACAGTTGATAATATAGATTCCAGTCTATGTTTGAAGGTCTGAGAACCCTTCAGAAACACTGAGGGCAGGAGATTGATGCCCTGGTTGAAGCAGTTAGGCAGACAGCAAATTCATTCTTCCGTCACTTTTTTGTTCTATTCAGGCCTTCAAGGAATTGAATTATGCTGAATCACATGGGGGCAGCAATCTGCTTTACAGAATCCACCAGTTCACATGCTAATCTCTCTTGGAAACCCTCATACATACCCAGAAATAATGTTTTAGCAAATATCTGGGCATCCTGTGATTCAGTCAAGTGGACACATACAATTCGCTATCACATTTCCTGTCTGAATGGGAGGCCAGAGCCATATATAGCTTCCCTATTCTTTCTTTGCTAGTATGAACCTCATTAACCCACTGGTTAATAAATATATAACTATGCAAATATCTTGTTTAATCAATCAATATCATAGTTTTCAATAACTTTGCATTTTTAAAAATTATTACGTCTGTTTATATCTGTAGATTTGAAGTTTTAGAGTTTTTAATGCATGCTTTAATCCATGTCTGAGAACATGTGTAACAATTTAAACCTCTACTAGTATTGCATGAATATGCCCATATTTATGCCTACTGGATTTCATGTTTTGCCTAATCAATCTGATTTAAATTATGCTGTAATTTTAATCTGTATTATGAATGTAATGTTAATCTGTATTATTGATTTTATTTCCTTGAGCAGCACTTTAAAATATGATAAAAAATCTTCACGTTGTACAATCCAGAAAAGAAACAGGGATGAAAGGAGAAATTTTCAGGCAGAAAGAAGCCAATCAATCTTGAACTTCAGGGATTCAGCTGAAGAATATTTCTTGCTAGAACTAGGAGTTGATCAGATAAATGTCAGGTACACATGCATGTGTTATGGTCATCCTGGAAGAGCAAGAAGGGGCCCCACCCAAGGTTCATTTGGCCTGATGACACCACACACACCAAGAGGCTATGATAAAGGTTTTACTTACAGAATTGAGGCCTTAAGGAGAGGAGGGCAGGTCTCTCAAGCAGTTCTGAAATATCTTGGGAGAGCAAGAAAGGCCTGGGTGTTCATTGCATTTAGCGTATGGGACAGTCCTCTGGTGCAGTCAGGAGCTTGTATGGTTCTAATTGCCCACTGGCACCAAAGAAGGAAACCCCAGCCTTTTTCATCGGCTTGCCCATTGTGGGGCACAAGGGGAAGAGGAGAGGGTGAGACTTTAAAGCTGCCAGCAATTAGATATCAAAAAATGGGGCCACGTTCCTCCTTACAGTATGTCTCTGTGTGGTTTACCCACCGTCAACTACTATCTCATATGTGTGTGTAATTCTGTTCTGTGTATCTACGAGTAACTCAGTTTTATGGAATTGCTTTGTTTGCTTTCAGCCTTTGTTTTCTATAGCTTCAGTAACAAGTCCTTGATTTGCTGTCTCCTTTCCTTTGTTCACAAGCATCTCTGTTGCCCTTGAGAACTAATTTTACTTTTATCTTTGCATAATCTGGGAATCTAAAAAATTTTGTTATGTTGAAAGTGTTTCTAAATCCCATTTCCCAAAAAACTTAATCAATAAAAGAAGTGTTTTGCGTTCAAAAAATAAGTCAATCACTTTCATGTAACTTGTGTTAAGACAGTTCCCAAATCCAGTTTCTAACTCCTAGTCCTTTAAATAGCAACCTTGTGAAGAAGAGGATGACAATGTCTACTGCAGGCAATCTCAGATCTCCCATCTTGGGAGTCAGCATTCTAAGATAGTTTTCAAGATTCCCAGTCCATAAAATATGTGCCCTGTATTATTCCTGGGTTTGTGAATATAATTAAAGAGTCATGTCCCTGATGAAGTTATGTTATACCACATCGTTGATGTCAAAAAAGGGAGAATTTAGATTGATGTGACCTAACCAGATGAGCCCTTAGACAGCACTGAGGTCTTCCTAAAGGAGATGCTCCATTGCTGGCTTTGAAGATGGAAAGGCTACCTTCACTGAGCCTACAAGTGTCTAAGGAAGTTATGGACAGCTCACTGGATCCTCATTAGTTCCTTCCTGCAGCTCAATCTCCTTTGACTTTTGACTCCAGTGACTAAGAATAGTGTTTATTGAGGGACCCTGCTTTGTGCTATGCACTGTTTTTCAAATAGTCACAGTTGGAGACTGAGCTGTTGGCGTAAGATTTCTGTCATGGTCAAAAATGTTCTCGAACTTCTCTGACGCCAGTCAAATAAAACCCATGAGCACAGCATCCTCTTTATTTTAGGTAAAACCTCATTGGTGACCCTAAATGATATGACTCAGCTGGTGATGTACAATATCTCTCAAGCTTGCCCCCTGAGACAGGGTTGGGATGGAGAAATTCGCCAGTGGAAGAAATCTGTCTGATCCTGTGAAAGCTAAGATATCCAGAATAGCTTCAAGCATCTGGATATTTTAAAAGCTGGCCACACTCTTTAATTCAATAGTTTTCAAATATGTGCTTCCTTGGATTAGTGAAAAATATTGATTTCATGTTTCAAGATTGGTTAAAAAGGTATGTGGTTTTATTAGCAAAGTTCTCTAAAGTGCTGAAAAAGCAAGAGAACCTACTACCAAAAAACATAAACCGGAATGATAGCTAAAATTGTATTGTTTTAACCCACTTAACGTATCTCTGATTATCTAAAGAATGTATGTACAACTGTACTTCTTTGTTACTTTATGATTGTCCTGGATTTTCTCTGTCTAGGCTAACTTGATATCTGTGCCATCCTCCCCAGGCCAAACTCTCCTCTTGCCATGAAGTTCAGTATTTCTTAGGCCATCAGAGAAAAAGAATTAAACCAACATATACTAAGCATCTACTAGCCGTCAAGTACTGTGCCTTCGTGCCTTTTTGCCTTTTGCATAGAAGGCCACATGTCAGTTCCAGTTAGGATTTTTTGAGGTAGGCACGAATTTTACCATTTTGGAGGGGAACAAACTGAGGATAAAAGAGGTAAATCACTTGCTCTAAAGTCACTATTCACTGCAATTATCCATGTTTCTTCATTACAAAATGTTAATTTTAAGAATCTATGATAAGTTAACTGATGTTGCTCTGACTTCAATACATTTAAATAGTCTCGGTTTCCTACAAGAGGAAAAAAATTACCTGGATGGCCAGGCGTGGTGGCTCATGCCTGTAATCCCAGCACTTTAGGAGGCTGAGGTGGGCAGATCATGAGGTCAGGAGATCCAGACCATACTGGCTAACACAGTGAAACCCCATCTCTACTAAAAAAAAATACAAAAATTTAGCTGGGCGCGTTGGCATGTGCCTGTAGTCCCAGCTACTCAGGAGGCTGAAGCAGGAGAATCACTTGAACCTGGGAGGTGGAGGTTGCAGTGAGCCCAGATGGCACCACTACATTTCAGCCTGGGTGACAGAGCGAGACTCCATCTCAAAAAAAAAAAAGAAAAAAAATTACCTGGATAATCCTAACTGTCTCTTCATAACAATTGTGCCCCTGAATTGGGGTTGCCACACAAAAGCCCACAAAAATAAAAACACCATTATGATCATTCCAAACCATTCTCCTCCTAAATGAATTAAAATCTAAGACACACTGAAAGACCATTGGAAGCCATTCTTGAGTTTATGTCTAGCACCTTTGAGAATAGAAAGAGGAGGAAGAAAATGAGATTGGTACCACTGGTCTCTCCAATTCAGGCAACATGTCTGAGGCACATAGAATTACTGACAAGACGCAACGCGAGACTCAAATCTCAGTCAAGCTGTTCGTGGAAGCAAGGTGAGGACATGACATAGAACATCCAGGAACCTGTCTCACCTGTGATCTCCACAGGTGCTACAAGCCAACTGTGAGCAGCTCAGAGTCCTTCACCCATGCGTTCCTTCTTGCTCCTGCCTAACCCTGCAAGACGTCAGCTTCCTCTCTGCAATCATTCACCTGGCTCAGGCCTGATCATTCTGATGGGAGAGTAGAGGTACAAAATCGTGGGAGAAGAGCTGACGTTTATCCCTCTTCAATCCACGATTCCATCCATCTGTAAAAGATGATAAATAATAACTGCTTTGCAATGCTGTGAAAATTACGTAGAAAACACCTCTCTCAGTGCTCTATATGCATTCTTTGAGTTTAGTCGTATCATTTTTAGAGGGGAAATTTCATTTCATCTAAAAAACTGGCTGCCGTTATCTCATAGGATGAATTAGTTAATTTCCGTCTAACCCCTCAGACAATGAGAGACAATTAAATAACAGACACATTATATAAAATTAAGTGCTTTAACAGTGCCTTGCACATAGCCAACATTACCCATACATATAATAAACTACCTAAGCATGTACATATAATCTATCCATTAGCCTATTTTCTATGTATTTATGTATCCATTTATCTGTGAAGAGGGACAAGAAAGTAAATCCATTTTATGTAAGTTGGTGTAAGTGATCTTTCAAGGACGGGATACAGAGAGATATATAAAAACAAATAAAATAAGCCCTTTAGGGATGTATGTGTAAGAATTATACAAAAAAGGCTTAGAAATACTCAAAAAATATAAAGTGCAGGCCAAATCTGAGATGCAGTTGGAACACATTCTGTGTGCTCAGAAGAGGGAGAATTGCAGGCTAAGGAAATCAGGAAAGCCTTTGGAATATGGAACTTAAAAGATGAATAAGGGAGATTACTACTGTTTGCCAGGCACTAAGGATGGATATAGATATTTTGTATGACTTATCTCCCCAATTTTCACAGCACCAGAAGGTGGATAGTACTTATCATCATTGTAGAGATGAAAAAACTAAGACCAAGCTCATACAGCTGCTGTGAAGCAGAGCAGGCATCCTGGACTCACAGTCCTTTATTCTTCACGAGATGCTGCCTCTTCAAGGAAGAACAGAGACCTGGTTGGGGAAATGGCAAACTCAAAGATGTATCGGGGAAAGGGGGAGGAAAAGACATTTTATTGAAGTAAAAGGCAGGTATGAGATAGTTTTGGCTTTTATATTTATTTTAAGATAAAGGAAAAAAAGAGAAAATGTAATCATTATAGAGTGTAGCACAAATCAGCATTTTTGAAGTGTTTTGTACATAAATCAATAGCTAAAAGAGAAGACTGAAATGTTCTCACCACAAGGAAATAATAAACAATTAAGAAAATGGATATGCTAATTCTCTAATTTGATCATTTCACAATGTATACATGTATCAAAATATCACCTTGTACCTCACAAATATATGCAATTTTTGTCAATTAAAAATAAAATAAAATGTTCAAAATGAAGAAAATAGAATAAGACAAAAGTGATGGAATGTTGCTTTCAAGATTGTTTTATAAAAGACTGATTTCTGTCTGGAACACTTTCTCTGGTCATCTAGCTTGCTAGCTTTTATGATGTTAACTGCTATACAGAGAGGCCCACTGGCAAGGATCTGAAGGCAGCCTTTGGTTAACGGTGAAAAAAATAAGGTCCTCAGCCCAACGGCTCACAAGAAACATCATCAGGCCACATGAGTAAGCCTGAATAAAGTCATTCTCAAATCAAGCCTTGAGATGAAACCACAGCTCCTGCTGACATCTTGCTCACAGTCTGTTGGACCCTGAAGCAGAGGGTCACAGCTCAGCTACATCCAGATTATAGGTATACAGAAAATGTGAGATAATGAATGCCGTTTCAAACCACTTCATTTTAGCAATCATAGCAATAGAACCCTAGCACATCATGCTTTGGGAGTTTAAACTTTATTGTGTTTTTTTATGGGTACACGTACACAAACACACAGATACATACACCTTAGCAATCTCATTACTTTTTTATAATTTGGACAGTCCAATGTACTGTCCAATTTAGGTACATATTTCCAAAATAAGACATGTTCTCAGGTGCTAAAATGAGTTGAATACCCTTAGAAATTAAAATGGAGCCTGGATACAAAATAACTCTCAAATCTCACAAGCATTAGGCATAAGAGAAGCTTATTAAATTGTAGTTCTACTAGAAAAAGAAATCCTGAAAATCAAGAAGATAACACTTTTTTTTTTACAATACAGAAAACAATCTTCTACAAAATTCAATGCATACTCACAACATATTTTCCTTATTTTTTATTTTATTTTTTTTGAGGTAGGGTCTCACTCTGTTGCCCAGGCAGAAGTGCAGTGGTGCAGTCATGGCTCACTGCAGCCTCAACTACCTGGAGTAAAGAGATCCCCCTGCCTCAGCCCCGAGTAGCTGAAACCACAGCTGCCTGCCATTATGCCCAGCTATTTTTTTTTTTTAATTTGTAGAGATGAGGTCTTACTGTGTTGCCAATGCTGGTCTTGAACCCCTGAGGTCAAGCAATCCTCCCAACTCAGCCTCCCAAAGTTCTGGAATTATAGGCATGAGCCACTGCATCCAGCCATATCTTTTAATGACAACATTGCAGGGCTAATTCAATTTTTCCTGGAATGATTTAATGGCATTTATTGTTATTGTCCTCACCTACAGGCAGTGGCAGTATCTAGTTTTCCCTCTCAAAATGTTCAGGGGATAATATTCAGTATCTTTAATTAATGAGATTCCAGGGCCATCAACTCGGCATCTCTGTAAAGACATAAAAATAACAAGACAAACAATAGAAAATAGGCAACACAAAGGAAAGCTGAAGGTGTCAGTGAAACTTCTCTAACACAATACACTTTAAAGAAATATGTACTTTAACAATCCTATCGGATTTTTTATTGTTAACTGAAATTATAAGTTGCAGTAGAGCTGAGAAATGGAACTTTAACCCAAATAAAGCATGGCTATCTAGCCGGTTAATTCAAGGGGCCCAATCTACTGATTTCTTCTCAGAACATGAGGCAGAGGCCATGCAGTGTTCGAGGTGAGAAGTTTCCAACTGTGCAGTAATTGCTAGTAGCACACAATAAACAAATGTTCTTACCAAAAGGCAGATAGACTGAAATTGCTAGAGCCAGGACAATAAATGCACAGAGAAATGAATTAAAGAAATACATTCTAATTGAATGCATTGTACAACTTATCACCACAGACCAAAGCTAATACTTAATATAATTCTCAGAAAGCAGGAGAACATGCAATAATCTGACACGTGCAACTGCATAAACGGCATAAAATTAAATGCAGTGGAACTATAAAGTAATGAGACTGTTGAGGTGTATATGTGTTTACGTTCAAGTATATGCTTGTACAAAAATGTAGCAGGAATTAGAACTTTAAATGAGTGCTGGTTCTTTTCCTTTGGAAAAAAAAAACCATGTGTATTGCAGTGATATCACACATGTCTTAGTTTAGTAGTAATGAGTATTTTTACTTAAGGACCCCTCAGAGGCAGTTGCTGAGGCATGCCCTAAAATAAAATGTTCACGGGGTTAGGGGGCTGGGGGCAGGTAACCTAACTAATCTTCGCAGATTGCCTAAAATAAGGAAAACATGATGGGGTCAGATAATCTGGAAAGTGAGTACTCCGCATATAGAAGACACCTCCACTCAGCCCAGGCTAAGTGATGCCATAAGGGCCCTCTATTACCAGACTCTTATTTTTCAAGGGAAGTTAGAAATCTTTATTTAATGTAAATTTTCCTGATTTTTAAGTTAGTAATTAATCCAAGTATAAAATTATTTTGCAGACTAAAATGCTTAAGGAAAACAAAACACATCTATGGTTTAGATTCAGCCCAAGATGATTGCTGTATAATCAGTCCATGAATTCCAATTACAACTCAACACTCAATACAACTCAACACTGCTTGATTGAAAGCAGTGGCTGGTTGATAAGATAGGAGAAAGAGGTAGTGTTTGTAGTGCTACAGAGAACAGCATATGGAAAATAAATGTAGGGGCAGGACAGAAGGAAATAAGACTGAGGCACATTTTGAAGGCCAGTAATCTAAGATTAGAGTAACAGCAAAACATCTTTTTTTTTTTTTTTCAGAGGAAGATATACACAATGGAAAAAAATCAAGGATAAGGCTAAAGTAATAGAATTAGATGTAACTATTTTATTCATTAGAGTCTTCCAGAGAAAAGAAAACCAATAGTGTGTAAGATATGAGAGAGATTTATTTTAGGGAATTGATTCATGCAATTATGAGCCTTCAAATTCTGCAGGATACGGAAGCAGCCTGCAAACCCAGGGAAAAAATCAATGTTGCAGTTCAGGTCCAAAGGCCTTCTTTTGGCAGAATGTCTTCTTCCCCTGATGAAATCAGTCTTCATACTGTTAAGGCCTTCTACTGATGGGTTGAGGCCCATCCACATCATAGAGGGTGATCTGCTTTACTCAGTCTATCAATTTAAATGTTAATCTCATCCAAAACATACTCATGGAAACATTCAGAATAATGTTCTGGCCACTGTGGTCCAGCTGATTTGACACATAAAACCAACCATCACAACCCCAAATATAACAAGATCACTGTGTCAAGCTTCCCAAGAGACTACTGGAATAAATAACCTATTCTTCATTCTGTTGTTTCTGATAGAAACCTCTAGTGAAATTAAAGTTTGCTTGTTTGCAAGTGACTGCTTCCAAAAGAAAATAAATACTTCTGTGAAATCAAAAGCAAATTATGATTCTATTGTTTTTGTTTTAGAGAATCTTCAAAATAAATAAAGATCTTCAAAATGATCCTATTTTTTCTGTTCCAGAGAAATATTGCTTATTCGCAGAATTGTTAATCAAGTAGACAAGAGAGGAAAATTTTAATACCACTCAAAGCATCATAGAATTAAATCATTAAGCAATTTTGTATTGGGGATTTTAGAATTATGTATGGCTTTTCATCTTTTTATTTATCTTTTATACAAGATTTGAGCCTGCTTTTTAAAAGACACAATCAATAAAATATATAAATACTAAAAATATATTCTAGAACAGATACATAAATTTAAAACACCAATTTGAACAGAACATGATGAAAGTGAAATGTTGGCATGCAAGTCATAAAGAATCACAGAGCTTTTAAAGATATTTTGTTCTAAACTTCCTGGAAGCCAATGCTAGAAAGGTAATGTGAAAAGGTATTTAGTTTCATTTTGGCTAAGGAGACAGACTCCATGACTCACTAGCTAAACAATTTGTTTGTTCCTAGATAAGAACATGGGTGCATAACACATAAACTCCAGGATAATGATAGGTACTAATGTAGGACCTAAGCATTCCTGACTCTTCCATTTAGTAACTATTTAAGGATCACCATTAACATTTACTTATTTGAAATGTTACTCCATTTCTTTGAAAATAGAATTTCTTTGTCCCTAGGATATGAATCAAGCCAGCATACAATACCTGATGTTCATGCCTCACAGAAATTCAAACAAATAAGTCTACGAATACGTCTATCCAAGTTTATCCATGTTGTAGAATGTACTCGAATTTCATTCCTTTTTAAGGCTAAATAATATTCTATTGTATTTAAGATACTACTTTGCTTATCTATTTAACTGTTGATAGATATTTAGGTTGTTTCTACCTGTGGGCTATTGTGAATAATGCTGATGTAAACATTGGCGTACAAGTATCTGAGTATTTGTTTTCAATCTTTGGGTATACACTGAGAAATGAAATTGCTGGATCATATGATAATCTTTTGTTAAAATCTTTGAGGAATCACCAAGCTGTTTTTCATAGCAGTTGCACAAGTTTAAATTCCCACAATAAAGAAAACAAGAAGGTCAGTTTTTCCACAATTTTCGCTAACGCTTTTTCTTTAAATAGTAGTTATCCTAATGTTTTTAAAATGGTACCTCAGTTTGGTTTTGATTTGCATTTTTTTAATGATTCAAGTTATCGGACATCTTTTCATGTGCTTATTAGCCATATATGTTTTACTTGGAGAAATATCTATTCAAGCCCATTGCTCATTTTTGATTTGCTTGTTCTGTTTGTTGTTGTGTTGTAGAGACCCTTTATATATTTTGTATATTATCCCTTACTAAATCTATAATGTGAAAATATTTTCTCATTTTGTGAATTTTTTTAACTCTTCTGATAGTGTCTTTTGGCAAAAAAATAATAATTTTAATGAAGTCTAGTTTATCTACTTTTCTTTTTGTTGCCTGTGAGTTTGGTGTTTACCCAAGAAATCATCAGTTATTCCAATGACATCTAGCTTTTACCAAGTTTTCTTCTAAGAATTTTGTCATTTTAGTTGTTACTTTCATGTCTTTGATTTTATGTGTTAATTTTTTATATGGTATAAAATGAGTTAACCTTCATTCTTTTTTATACGGATATCTAGTTTTCCTAGCTCTATCTCTTAGAATGACTATCCTTTCTTCATTCAATAGTCTTCGAACCATTGTTCAAAATCTTTTGACCATTTACACAAACGTTTATTTTGTGGTTTTCTTTTCTATTTAATTGGCCAAAATGTCTACTGTTATGACAGTACCATATTGTTTTGATTGCTATAGCTTTTAAATAGGTTTTAAAGTTGAGAAGCATGGGTCCTCCATCTTGATCCTTCCTTTTGAAAATTGTTTTTTCTGTAAGGGTTTGCTTGAGATTCCAAATACATTCTAGGATTCTTTTTCTATTTCTGCTAAAGCACCATTGTGGTTTTGATAGAGATTGTATTGAACTGTAGAAAGCTTTGGATGATATTGTTATATTATCAATATAAAGTCTTCCAATCCATAAATATGAAATTTGTCTCCATTTATTTATGTCTTCTGAGAATTCTTTCAGTAAAGTTTTATAGTTTTCAGTGTGCAATTCTTTTGCCACTTTTCTTATGCTTATCATTCTTTTTGATTTTATTGTAAGTACATTTTTTTCTTTATTTTCTTTTTGATAGCTTCTTGTTAGTGTATAGAAACACAACTGATTTTTGTGTATTGATTCTGTATCTCATAACTTTGGAGAATTTATTTATTCTAATAAATGCGTGTGTACATATTTTTTAGAGTTTTTTACATATAAGATTATGTCATCTGTGAACAGGAATATTTTTACATCTTCTTTTCCAATATGGATATATTTTATCTCTTTTTCTTGCCTTACTGCTATTTCTAAGACTTTTCAGTGCTATGCTGAGTAGAAGTGGGAAATGCGTGCACCCTTGTCTTGCTCCTGATCATAATGGGGGAGATCTTTCATCTCTCAGCATTTACTATGATATTAGCTGTGGGTTTTTCATGTATTGACTTTATCATAGTGAGGAGTTAACTTGCTTTTAGTGTATTTGGTATTTTTTATCATGAAAAGGTGTTGAATTTTTCAGAATACATTTTTTGCCTCTATAGAGATAATCATTTTCCCTTTGTTCTAATAATGTGGTTTATTATATCAATTAATTTTCATATCTTAAAACTTTCTTACAATCCGAGAATAAATTCCACTTGCTCATGGTATACAATCCTTTTAGTATGTTGTCAAATTTGCCAGTATTTTCTTGAAGATTTTTGTACCAGTACTCACAGAGGATAGTGATCTATAGTTTTTTCTACTTTTAGCAATTCTTTCTGATTTTGGTATAGGGTAATGTTGGTCTCAGCAAATATGTTAGGAGGAATTTCCTCTTCTTCAATTTTTTGAGTGCTTAAGAAGCATTGTCGTTAGTTCTTTTATGTGTTTGGTAACATTTACCATTGAAGCATCTGGTGGATGGCTTTCTTTTTTGGGAAATTTTCAATAATTGTTTCAATCTACTTACTAATTAAAGGTCTATTCAGGTTTTCTGCTAATCATAATTCAGTCTTGGGAGAGAGTGTGTTTCTAGAAAGCTGTTCATTTCATCTAGGTTATCCAAATTGTTGGCATACAGTTGTTCATAGTATTAATTTATTTATGTAAAGTCTGAAGTAATATCGCAAATTTTATGTATGATTTATTAATTTGAATCTCCCTCTTTTACTCTAAACAATCTAACTAATGATTTGTCAATTTCCTTGATCTTTTCCAGTAAAAAATTTTGCCTTTATCCGATTAAATCTATTGTCTTTCTAGTTTATTTATCTCAGTAGGAATATTTATTATTTCCTTCCTTATGCTAGTTTAGTTTTAATTTGTTCTTTATCTAGTTCTTTAAGGTGCAGTTAGATTCTTGATTTGACCTTTTTTTAAATGTACATTTTTACAGCTATATCTTTTCCTCTTACCACTGCTTTCACTGCATTCCATAAGTTTTGGTATGTCATGTTTTTATTTTTATTTTCCCAACAGTACTTCCTAATTGTACTTGTGATTTCTTTTTTGACTCAGTGGTTGTTTGTGTTGTTTAATTTCCATTTATTTGTGTATTTTTCAGTTTTCTTTCTATTATTTATTTTTAGTTCCATCCCATTGTGATTGAAAAAATACTTCACATGTTTTTAGTATTTATAAATTTATTAAGACTTGTCCTGTGGCTTAAAACATAGTCTATTCTGAGGAATGTTTTATATTTACTTGAGAAAAATATGTATTCTGCTGGTACTGGGTCAAGTTTTCTATATATCTGTTAGGCCCAGTTACTTTAAAGTGTTGTCTAAGTCTTCTATTGTAAATCTTTCTAGATGTTCTATTCATTATTGAAATTGAAGATTTGAAGTTTCCAGCTATTATTATGTCTATTTCTCCTTTCAATTATAGTAATATTTGTTTCATATACTTTGGGACTCTTATATGTGGTAAGTATATGTTTATAATTGTTATGTCTTCCTGGTTAATTGACTCTCCTATTAATATATAATGTGCTTTTTAAAACTGTTTTGTAACAGTCTTTAGTTAAAGTCCATTTTGTCTGAAATTATTATTAGTACAGCTGTCCCTGATTTGCATGAAATAAGTTTTGATTACTATTTGCATGAAATATGTTTTCTCATATTTTCACTTTCAATCTATTTGTCTAATACTAAAGCGAGACACTCATAGAAGGTAGTATACAGCTGGACTTTGTGTTTTTATTAATACTGCACACCTCTGTCTTATAACTGAAGAGTTTAATCCATTTCCAGTTAATGTAATTACCAATAAAGAAGAATTTAGTTCTGCCATTTGTTGTTTGTTTTCTGTATGTTCTTTAGTTTTCTTTGCTCCTCATTTCCTTCATTATATCTGTTTTTGTATTTAGTTGAGATTTTAGAGTGACACATTTTGTTTACCTTTTTTGTTTTATATACTCTATAGAATTTTTCTGATTAACATAGAGATTAAATAAAATAAGAAGTTATAAGAATGTATTTTTAATCAATCACAACTTAACTCCAATTATATACAAAAATTCTACTCCTATATGTTTATATCTCTCTTTATATCATTTATGTCAAAAATTATATCTTTATACATTTATGCCCAATAGCATAGATTTATAATTGTTTTTGTATGTTTATTTGTTAAATTACATAGAAAGTTTTAAGTTGAATTAAAAAGAAAAATTATAATGATACTTGGTTTAATATTTGCCATGTATTTACATTTACCAAATAAATTTGTGTATGAATTCAAATTACTGTCTGGTATTCGCGCATTTCAACTTAGAGGAATTCCTTTAGTCTTTCCTGTAGGTTAAATCTAGTGGTGGCAAACTCTCTCAGCTTTTGTTTTCTAGAGATGTCTTAATGTTTTCCTCATTTTTGAAGGACATCTTTGCCAGATACAAATTTTTTATTTTCTCTAGCACTTTAAATATATAATTGCACTGCCTTCTGGCTTCTAAGGTTGTTGAGAAATTTGCTGGTAATCTAATGATTCCTCTTATGAGTGAGTTGCTCCTCTCTTGTTACTTTCAGGATTCTCTTTGCCTTTGGCTTTTTATAATGGGTTGATTAAATACATCCCAGTGTTGACTCTCTATCTTCCTTGAAGTTTGATGAGCTTCTCAGATTTGCAGATTCAAGTCTTTCTTCAAATTTCAGAAGTTTTAGCTATTATTTCCTAAAATAGTCTTTCAACACCTCCTTCTCTTTTCCAGATTTCTTAAGTGTGTAGCTAGTCTGCTATATGGCATCCCACAAGTCTTGTAGGCTCTGTTCTTGTTTCTTCAGTCATTTCTCTTTTTTTTAAACTCATACTCATTATTTAATTTTTTCTTTCTTCAGGTTCACTATTTTTTTCTTCTGCCTGTTTAAATTTTTCATTAAACCCTGTAGTGCATATTTCACTTCAATTGTTATATTTTTCTGGTGCAGATTTTCCTTATGATTTCTTTTCCTAATTTCTACCTCTTTGTTGTATTCTCATTTTGTTCATATATTATTTTTCTGATTTTCTTAGTTCTTTGCACATATTTTTCCCATAACTCTTTTATAATATTTAAGACAAATAACTTAAAATATTTGTCTATTGACTTTAATATCTGGGCATTGTTAAGAGTGGTTTGTATTTACTTATTTTGTTCCATTGTATTAGCTATGCTTTTCTCTTTGCACGACTTACAAACTCTCTTGAAACTTGAGCATTTACGTGTTACAATGTAGTAATTCTGGAAATCATATTCTCCTCTTTTGCAAAGGTTTTATGTATGTATGCATGCATGCATGTCTGTATGTATATTTTTTTTTTATGAAAGACTGTAGTATTTCTTTTGTTTTGAGACTTTTCCAAACTTCCTTTTGCAAAGACTATGACTTGTTGAATGTGATACCTGAAGCCTCTCTTCTCGTAGCTCATGTTCAGCTAATGTTCGGTCAGAGGTTTTCAGGAATCCTAGAAGTTAAAACAAAACAAATAATAAACCTAGAAAAATAAAGAACAGCAATCATTCTCATTCTGTGCTGGGGCACTCCAACAACACTTAGATAGGTTTCATCTGGGCCTAGGATTCAACAAAAGGTGAAAGTTTAAGTTCTCAGTAGTTTATGTGGCTGCTTTTTAATGTCTAAATTTTCAAAAGAGTTTCATTCTAGTTTCTCCTCTAGGTCTAAGATGTCCTATGGCATGCATCTCCACCTGGAATCATTTGTCCCCAGCATCTGTATCACCTTGCAGCTTTTGTGAACAGTGTCTGCTGTTTTTCCTCGTTGAGTTAGGCAAACAGAGATCATCATTTTGCTTCAGTACTTTAGATATCCTCCAGCCTGATTAGAACACATTTACACAATCATTTGCAAATAAGACCTGTTCTGTTTCCTCTGATTCAAGGGGGAAATAGTAGCCAGCTGCTACTGCTCATGACTAAAATTATTGCCACACTGAGCAGGATGTAGAGCAAGGGTGAGTAAAAATACCACAACACTCTATGACTGTTTTGTAAACAGCTTTGTCTTGATTGAAAATTTACTTGGATGATATAAACCTTTGGCTATTTTCCAGACCTCTTACAAAGTTGGTTCAGTTAGTTTCTGGTAGTTTATTCAGGGGAGGAAGGGCAGCTTAGTGCTCCCAAGTCTTGGGGAGCTTCGTGCTTCTAGTCTGCCATTTTGCTGATATCACTTCCCTTATATCTACTTTTAGAACATTTTTCTAAAAGGCTTGTTTGGATTAGTGGGTGGTAACATGTCAAAATTATTGTTTTTTAATTGCCAGTAACACTCCACATGTTCCATAACTTTACCAAGGAGATATATTTTTTATTTTGTAAGCATTTTGTTTCTTCAACGTGCCACTTCAGATATTGAAGGTTTTGAATTTGGATAAGTTTTATAGGGTAAATGTATTAGCTATTCTTATTATATTTTCTTAGATATTTAGAAAACATTTCTAAGTGAGGGAACTAATATTGTCTGAAATTTATAATATAAAAAATAAAAAATAATCAATGGCTGATTATAATGTAGGATATATTTGTTATCCTGAGATTCTAATAATTTCAGGAAATACTTCCAGACTACCTTATATAAATTTTCAAGTTTTCTTTTTTCCATCCTAGAGAATGTTAAACTTTGGTTTTGTCTCCCTGTTCTAATTTCCCCCATTCTTCTACTGAAAAATGTAAAATGTATTTCTAAAAAGTGTTAGTGCATTTGCATGTTTATTGTTTTCTCCTCTCCATTCATTACAAATGCA